>NC_000001.11:118038683-118341713 GCF_000001405.40 Homo sapiens | reverse complement strand
CATTTCCACTTCATGAATCATAGCCCTACAGTTTGTTTTACTTTCCCTGACCCTCACACTCCACACCTCCTCTAATCAGCCCTATTTTCTGGATGATAAAAAACTGCCAGATGGATCCCTTGCTTTGGTTGATCCCTGGATCATTTGTACACCTGCTGCTCCTGCTTGTACTTGCCACTGGGATTTCACTGTGTAAGAGCACTGCCAAGGTACATTTGTCACAGCATGGCTCATTATCACACAGACTAAAGGCAGGTCCTTGTCCTGAAACATAACCATTAAAATTGCCTGCAGGAATCCTGTTAAACTAAAAAGTGTTTATGAAATATGTCCCCACATCCCATTAAAAAAATTTGGTAGTAACCTATTGGTCGCATTTTTTCCATAATTCTGCATTCTTATAGCTGAGAACTCATTTTAGCTGTCTCAGCCAGGCTTCATGCTCGGGAACCAACCTTGTAAGTGGGACAAAGTAAGTGAAATCAAGAAACTCAGCCTTAAGTAAACCTCGTGTGCTTTCTGCTCTGGACTGACAGTCTACTTCTAGCAACTAGATTACTACTTTGCTCTGAGACTCAATACTCTTACATGTCCCTGATCCAGGGGCAGTTGGGTAAGTGGTGGAGTCACCTCTGACTTTGTTACCCAATGCTGTGGGAATATTTGAGTGGTCCTCTATAATTCACATTTTTTACAGTGCTTTTGCACCCATTGTCTCACTTGACTCTCACAATAGCCTGATTGGAATCGGCATGCTTTATATTTATTCCACACTTTTACTATAGAATAAAGTTCTCATAAATCCAGAATCAGTGCTTTTTATTTTTAGGCAACATTTATTTTCTTTCTTGTCGTAAACCTGTTCTAGAATGTTTGGAAATAGAGATTAATATGAAGAAGATCTAAATCACCTATAGGCTTACTATCCCATGATAACCATATTTAGGAGTTTTCAACCTATGTGTATATTTTACATTGCTGAAGTCATTCTGTATGCAAAATTTTGCAACCTGAAATTTTGCATCTAACAAATTTTGAATTTTTTACACTGTAACATGTTGATTTTGGTCCTCATATGAAATTTCATTTTAAAGAAAAAGAAAGAAAAGAATCCTTCAGGTGTAATCAAGGCTGTCCTGTACCATTATAGGCAAAAAGTCCTTGAGCCTGGCATTACACAAACCAAAGGGAATGGTTTGTATCAGGCACATGGAAAACAAAATACTATGATGGCCACCTAGACTTTATTGGTTCAGGAAATGTCTAATTCATTTATTTAACTATGTAAAATCCTAATTTTTTTCACATACTGTGGGGAACAATCTGTAGTATGACCCTTATGTCTACTCTGAGACAGTGCATGATATGATAATGAAACAACTAAACAAAGCAAAGCGTTCCTGCTGAAGGGGGATGCTCATGACAGGAAAAAATGTTCCTGAGAACAGCAGAGTTCTGTTTAGCCAGGCTCACTGTGGGCAGCATCAACCTAAAAGACAGGTGAGAGAAAGCAGCCTTTTTTGTGGTTTGATTGAAGAGTCCTGGAACCTGCTCTGCCCTCTCACCCAAAGCCTAAAATGTCCCCACACCCTTTGCCCCAGAATTCCCACTGTTAGTCACTCCTTTGGAGTTACTCTACTATTACCTGACTGCCCCTGAATCAGGAGCATTTGGGAGTATTGAGTCTCAGAGCAAAGCAGGAATCCAGTTGCTAGCAGTAGACTGTAAGCCCAGAGCAGAAAGCACAAGGTTTAGTTAGAGCTGAATTTCTTGATCTTACTTACTCACTACCTGCCCTTGACAAGGTTGGTCTCAGAGAATGAAGCCAGGCTGAGGCTGCAAAAATGAGTTCTTAGCTCTGAGAATGAAGAATTATGGAAAATAATGCGACGAATAGGTCACGACCAAATTTTTTAATGGGATTGAAGGTATTGAAGAACATTGTTATAATGCACATTTGTCATTTGACTAAACCATGACTCACTTTAAGCTATAAGCTGTAATTATTGACTAAACCATTACTCACTTTAAGCTATAAGCTGTAATTAATGCCTAATGCATAATAAAGATCTAACTCATCACAAGAAGATTACACAGCTCTTGGACCAGGACCTGAGTGCACAGAAATGCAAGAAAGGATGGAAGGAAATACAGTGTGAACACTACAAGAAGGCTCTGCCCAGAGGCCTGAGCCTGAGAAGGAGCTTGGGAAGCCACAGCAGCATATAAACACTCCGTACACAGGAGTGCTGGAGGCAGAGGAGGAGCACCAAGAGGGAGCAGTGGCACACAGAACAGCATTTGCCATTGTGAATGCTGAGGAATAAAGATAGAGTTTATGCACCTAAGAAGAGACAGGCTGCTTCACACTTAGAAAAAGTAAGTTAGTAAATTGTTATTCTCAACATCATAACCATTTCATGTGTGGGTAAAACAGAAAGTTTTCCTTGGAAGCAGCAGTAAAGTTCAGCCATGGCCCAGGGCCCAGACCACTGGGCAGAGGCTCTTCCTGTTGGGAGAAAGAGCCACATTCCCCTGTTATTTGTGACAGCCTCAGGACCCACAGGCTGCCTGCAATGTGCAGACTGCATAATTCAGCACGAAGATTGCCAACAATTTTTGGCTTCAGCTTTTTTACTGGTTTTCATTTAGGAAAAATTTAAATTTTTTTCCGGACAGTTCTTGTTTTAATGAAGAAAAATTAACTTGGCAAAAGAGAGAGTGGGTGACAATGACCCAGAGAGTAATTTCAGAGCTTACCGTCCTGATTAAAACACCCAGGGCAGTCATCAGCAGTTCATTCTCACTTGGTTTGAGAGAGAAGAACATTCTGTCTTTAAGAAATGACAGTTGTTCATACTCACCAAGTCTGAAGCTAAGAAAATATTTGTGAGTTGAGATGCAGGGCTTCTGATGGTGACAAGGGGAACAGCATTACAGACTGAGTTAATAGAGGCCAAAAATTGAGGTTTAACTCCCACTTCTGTGCCACACAGATTACACCAGGATCTCTCACAGGTTACATAAATACCAGGTAGCACGGGCCACATAATCAAGTACCCAAATAAACCATAAATTGACTCAACTTATCTCATTAAATGCCTTGACAAAACCATAAACTTCTTACCACACACAGTGCTGCCCACTCCACTTCTAACAGAAAATTGGTACTAACCTTTTGAAAAAGAATTCTCCAAGCCACACATAGGGATTTGTTCATTGTCCCAGCAGAAGGTTCCATTTGGACAACAGAATATTCTCAGGTTGAAAACGTGGCCACCTTACATCTTGAGTGAGCCTTCCAGCCTGAGCCAGTGACTATGACAGGTCTGTGCTATAAACCTCATGTAGAGCCTGTGAAAAACATTCAACCATGTTTCAGCTTTTGTTCCTGAAGACTTCAATTAGGACATGTCTCCACAGCTTCTCAATTTTATTCTCCAGATACACAAAGGATGAACAGACTGGTTTTTAGTTCAAGTGACTGTGTGTGGGGAATCATCAAATACGGCACAGCTTTTGCCCCATTCAACACAATCTTCTTGAAATGGACATTTTGGCACTCAGCATTTTCTTGCTGTCTATATTCAATATGCGCTATTCCAACTCAGACCCCTTTGCCTTATACCTTGATCCACTCACTTAGCAGTTTCACTTTAAACATAAAGCAGAGGCTTTTACACTGATTTTACAACTCTATGCTTATAACCTTCTACTGTTCTCAACTACTTTGAAAAGATGTATGAAGATTTTTGCTCTATGTGACAAAACAAGTATTATTAAGGCCTGTGCAGCTATCAAGCCTCATATTTTTAGCAGAGAGCATAGCCATGAACCTCAGAGTAAACATTCAGAAAATTACTTCAATGAGTGCATAGTTATTGTAATGTAGTAAGCAGTAAGGTCATTGAATTAAAGTTAGTTTGGGTGTGTAAAACTCTATGCTACTGTCATAGTTATTATTGCCAGAAACCAAATATTTTTGTTCCCCCTTCAAGCACTTAGAAAAATTGACTAGTAAAATGTGAGTAGAATAATGTTAATTTGGGGCAGGAATCTTAAGAGCTGGGGTGCAATATGCCACCTCTCCCTTATCTTCTCTTGTGGGTGAGAAGAAATCCTCCAGGTAGAGGTTGCTCCATCATTCTCATCCTGGCATGAGAATGCTGCAAAAAGCCCCAGCTGATGCATAACAGATGTGTCATGAGAAAGAGAAGTAAACCTTTGTTGTTTTAAGTCATTGGGATTTTGGAGTTTTTACTGCAGCACAATCTAGCTTGTTCTTAATATAGCTACCTATTTTGCAGATGTGAATCTAGAATAGATAAGAAAAAGAGGCAGAACTTCTGGGTTGGGTTCTTGTTGAAGTCTTAAGTGTACTTTCAAACAAGAACACATGGTGGTCTGCTCACCCTCTTTGGCTCAGCAGTGAACTCAGAGAATTTTTGGCTCTAACAACGACAAAGTGGAAGGAGTGAGTTAGCAGGACTTATGGTTTCCTGGTGTCATTGTTTTGGTCTGATATCAAATAGCTACATGTGTGGGAGAGAAAGAAAGGACAGTACGTTGGATTGTACTAAACGTTGGATCCCACTCAATATATTTTGTTATGAGAAAAGCACGATCATCAATAGCATCAAAAACACCTGCTGAGGATTATGTAAAAGACAACAAAAGGATTTCAATTGTTTTGTGAAAAATGATTAATACTAAATGTTTAACTTTTATTTTAGGCTTGACAGTACATGTACAGGTGTGTTACATAGGTAAACTCATGTCGTGGGGGTTTGTTATACAGATTATTTCATCACTCTGGTATCTTGCTTCATGGAGATTTTTCTGTATGCATTTCTCCCTTATGTTTCTTTAGGATAAGGACAGAAATGAAATTACTAGACTATAAATTATATAGATTTTATATTTATGATATATGTAAACACATATATGTACTATATGTTGCTAAATATATTGTATTTATACATGCATATGTGTATATACATTACATACATAAAATACAGATACTGCCTTCAGAATTGTACCAATTTATATTCTTACTATCAGTGATCAGGAGTGACCATTTCCCAAATCCTAGAAAATTCAAAAAAATGTAAATCATTAAATCATTTTGTAAACTTTGACAACATTATAGATGGGAAAACTTTTATTTTCTGTGCATTTCCCTGATCACTGTGAGGCTGAATATTGGACGTAGTGAGAAGTAAAAGGTGCCCTAGATGTAGGCCAGAGGTAACCTTGTGAGAGATAACCTCAGGAAAATTAAGCTTTCCTCACTGGTGAAGTTTGTAGGGATGCAATGGTCTGGTGCATGCTGAGACATCCTCTCTAAGGTAAAGTACAAATTACTACACCTTGCACCTTCCACTACTAAAAAAGAGGCACAGGGTTTGGTGGTCCTCTTTCAACTTTGAAGGTAGCACATATCATAATTGGGAATAATGTTTTAGCCCATTTAGCAAGTGACTCAGAAGCATGTTAGTTTCGATTAGGGTCCAGAACAAGAAAGGGATCCATAGTGGGTTCCCTACAGCTTTGGCCATGTGACCCAGCAAGGCCAATAATACTAGAGGTATTGAAAGTGGTTAAGGTACTAGACACAGATGCTATGTGGAGCCTCCAGCAATTACTAGGGGATATTCAGGACAGGATTTTAGAATTCTAAAACAAATCCACATATTATTGTGCAACAGATAATTATCTGGCACTTGATTGATAGCTACATGCTCTACTAGACGCTGAGAGCCTGATCATTAAATAGCAGATGACTGTGTGACCAGAACATTTGACCATGACCTAGCTCTCTTTAGATCCACCAAGTTATATGATCAAGAGAGAGCAGCAGCAAGTCATTGTACAATGAAAATAGTACATCTAGTATTGAGCTTGAGAGGTTGAGAAAGTACAAGTAAATTGCATGAACAAATAGTTTAAGACTTCCAAGACTTTATAAACTCTTCTCCCTCAACTGTGGTCTCATGGTAGTGGTGAGGCAGGCCTCTACAATCAGTAAAAAAAAAAGCGGGGGAGGTGAATCTCAGGCCTGGCTCACAAAGCAGTTGGCATAATACCAGAAACAGACTGCTGCCACACTATAGCTGCACTCAGGGGAGTCTCTCAAAAACAGTGGTGAAGGGAAATTCCCCAGTGAGCAAAACTACAAGCTCTACACGTGGTTCAATTTGCATGGAACAAGAAGTTGCCTGAAGTACAGCTATTTATGAATTCCTGAGCTGTGACAAGGGGCTTCAGTGGTTGGTTCAGAGTCTGGAAGGAGCAAGACTGAAAAATATGAGAAAAAGAATTTCAGGGAAAGAGTCATATGACTGATGTGGTTGGGCTTATGGAAGAGGACACAAGAAGAAGTGCTGGATAGTAGCTTCCTGGGATATTAACCATAAATTTTGGAGGTTTGGAGAGAAAGAGGTTAAAGGGTGACTATCTACTCTCAGCAGCCTCTCTCACCAATAAGGCTTTTGGCACAGACCTGAACTTCCTTGTTAACTCAGGATTGACTGATCCAGAGGGGATGAGGCAGGCATCCTCTCAAAGCAATACTGGAGAGAGGCAAGAATAGAATGGATCTATTTCCTCAGTGCTCTGTTTTGAACCCTTTTCCCAAGGCTTCAGCCCCCAGAGCAATCTCGCCAAGGGTGTCTAACAATTTTTAAGTTAGTTTCTAATATCCATCTTCCTTTTGCCTTCTATAATTTCTGTAAGATTGATTTAGGGACAATAAGTAAAGCCTTTTATAGTTCGCTGTCTTCCTGAATCACTGTTTTTAGCTTCTTCGATAATGAGATTGGGGTGAAAGAAAGTGCATAGAAAAAAAAAATTTAGAGCTTGTTCAGAAAACAAAGGAAGCTGGGAGGGCTATGGGGGAAAAAGAATGCTGAAAGAAGAGAGAAAATATATACATAGTTCCTGGACTTTTCATATATTTCTGGTTCAAGTTCAAGTCAATGCCTGCTTTCATTGGAACAAATTAGGTCCAGTTTCCTAAACTCAGTCTCTATGGTCCTATGGATGACAAGTAATCACCGGATCATTTCTTCCACAACTGCTGGGACCTTACTTAATCTGGAAATCCTAGGCTAGATTCAGAAATGTGTGAAACAGTGGAGGAGGGGAGATTCCCTGCAGAATTTCAAGGTCTGAGATTTCCCAGAAGGCAGAGAATATACACTTTTTATTATTCCCATGACTTGAAGCTGATATTTTCAGGTATTTTTTTGATATGTAGAGTCCTGGCTATTGTAATAAAATTAGATATTTCAAATATTTTGCTTTTCTTTTTATCCTTCCCTATATGTAGTCAAGGGAAACTCACACCAGGCAAGTGTTTTGATTTCATTGTTGGTGTATAAGATTTCATTGTTGTCATTGCTGTGTTTATCACATTCCTTCTGGATATGGGCTATTAGCAGTCCACCAAAAAATATAAATTCTGAAATGCAATGTACTTCAATGGGCTAGCTATCTTAGAAGCCTCTATCCTCATCCCAACACACATGGGAGGCCTCTCCCATCTGGCCAGAACTAGCAGCTGAAATTTACCCCTAGGGCTTCCCACTCCTGTCAATCACAGCATCCTGCTGTGAACACCATGTGGCCATTCCTCTCACACAGACTCTCATGCCAGCAGAACAAGTAACCACATGGGCTCTAGTCCACACAGCTAAAGCCCATGACATTCCAGGAGATAGCAATGAATCAGTACACGTCACCACTACAGCATCACTGCTCTGCCCAGAGTCCTTCATCCCAGAGGGTCCCCAAATATTTTGCAAGCTGATACTTTATCCAAGCTGTGCATAAGCCTCTTGCTTCATCCACCCCTGGAATCCATGCGCAGCACCTCGGTGGTGGAATGCTGCAGCTGTTCTGCAGCCACACCACAATCCCATGGATCTCAGTTTGGGACAGGAAACCGAGAGGAATACCATATCCAATTGAAAGGACAGGGGGGATTTTCAGGAGGTAAAATTCACTGAGCCAAACTTGGAGGCTGGCCAGGACACCTGGTTCACACCCTTCCTCTCCCCAGAAATCATGGGTCCTTGTGACCACCAACAGCCTGACTCTAAGCTCCACTGGCCCCTAGGCACCAAGCAATGTCCTCCTAAGACTAACTTTAAACTCTAAATAACATGAAGGAATAACAATAAAACACTATAGAAACTAAGGGCGTCTCACCTCACACCTGCTAAGCTTAGCTAATGTCACCTTAGAAGGAACAGAAACATCACTGAGGTTACAATGAAGGTGTGGAAAAAATGGCCAGGGGCCTAGTCTTACTTCCTTTGTGACATAAAAGGGACATTCAAATCTGGGGAAGCATCTGATATTTGGAACTGAGGGTATGGGTCAAAGCCAGAAAGGTGGTACCCCACACGATGTCATCTTTGAAGACTCTGTTTAAGTGAAATATAAGTAATCCACTGAACGAATGATTTTTCCCAAAAGCAATGAGATCAGTCTTTATGGGTGATCTGTTTGAAGGTACACTCAATTAGACAACAATAAAAGCACCGTAACTAGCTCTAATCCTGCTACTACTATAATAATAATATAATAATTACAACAACAATAATAAACATTATTGAATACTTTTACCAGGCACTTCACATGAATTCTCATTTAGTCCTCCCAATATAAAATACACATTATCTCTAACCCCATTTTACACATAAAGAAACTGAAGTGCAAAGAAGTTAAGTAACCTGTCCAGGATCACACAAAGAATAAGTGCCGCACCAGCATGTGACCCCAGACAGTCCAGCCGCTACGCTTTCAGTCACTCACTACACCCCTCCCCTCACCACCCTGTAACTGATACAAAAAGAGCCAGGTGACATCACAGGAGTCATTACACCTTGTGGTCCTAGAGAGACACCACGTACAGAATAAAAAAATTAAGACCAATTTTAATTGGGAACAAATAGTCCCACTTATTCCTTCCATAAATATTTATTGAATGTCCACAAAGTACTGATGCTGTGCTAGAATTAATGGTGAATAGGATAGAAATGGTTCTAGGTTTCTTGGCTCTTGCAAGTTAGTGGACATCCAAAACACCCCCCACAATTTTCAGCAACTTCTTTCTGAAAGCTTTTGCAGCAAAAGTACCAAAATATCTAAAAAGCAATTTCTGCAGTGGAATTTTAAACTCTGTTTTGAATTGTCTACTTAGTTACTCACTTGAGAAAGATGAATTATTTATATCTCAATTGATGCTCTTTACAACCTGCCTTCATATGATATTTTAAAGAGCATCTTTGAGGAAAAGAACAAGTAACATATGAGAAAGTACTTGAAGAGAATTTACTGAGTGGGGTGGAAACATTATGATTTATATAGAATGCACATATTGACTTGGATCTTTTTTACCTCTTTCAAATGGCACTTGCCTTTTGTGATGGATAATTTTATTTGTCAACTTGGCTAGACCATTGTACCCAGATATTTAGCCAGGCATTATTCTAGATGTTTCAGTTTCTGTGAAAGTATTTTTTAGATGAGGTTTACATTGAACTCAGTAGACTTTGAGCAAAGCAGATTACCCTCCATAATGTGGATGGGTCTCATCCGATCAGTTGCATGCCTTAATAGAAAAAGACTGACCTCCTCTGAGGAAAAAGAATCTTTTCAGCAGACTGCCTTTAGACTCTTACTGCAAGATCAACTCTTCCCTGGATCTCCAGCCTGCTGGCCTTTCAGATTTTCGGCTTGCCAGACTCCAAAATCACAGGAGTCAATTCCTTAAAATCTCTCTCTCTGTCTCTCTCTCTCCCCTCCACCACCCCTATTCAGCCCGCTGGTTCTGTTGGTCTGAAGAAGTCTGTCAATCTGTCTAATACATCTTTCAAAAGCCACTAACTGTTCCCCTCCCTTCCATCTCTCCCCTAAAAAGATTTTATGTGGAAATTTCAGGCACTGGAGAAGGCTGACCAAGGACACACCTTCAATTAGGAGACCTTACCAAATGACATTCTACTGCAGAATTTTTTCAGGTCAGCCTAGAAGTTCTCTTAGACTAAATAGAAGGCAAAAGGAAGGGTAAGAAACAACTGAGGAACCAGAAGTTTAAGCAAAAAAAGTTTAACCAAAAGTTTAATGAGGTATAAGTAATTCACTGATTTTTTTCCCAAAAGCAATGAGATCAGTCTTTATGGGTGATCTGTTTGAAGATACACTCAATTAGACAACAATAAAAGCACTGTAACTAGTTCTAATACTGTTACTACTATAATAATAATAAAATAATTATAACACTAACAATAAACATGATTGAATACTCTACCAGACACTTCACATGAATTCTCACTTAATCCTCCCAATAACTATAAAATACGTATTAACCTTAGCCCCATTTTACACATAAAGAAAGGTGTGTAAAGAAAGGTGAATAAATGCAAGTCCAATTCCAGGGCAGCAAGAGTATCAAAGATAGGTCAAAATATGAGGAAAAGCTGGAAGGTTGGAACTGGAGTGTTGGGGGAACAGGCCAGATATCCACCCACGATGCTAACTTTAAAGGCACCATGAGGTGAAGAAGCCTACAAGAATTGTCAAGTCCAGGTCAATGGCTGGCATTGCCAAGTGAAGAGGGAAGGCCCTAGTTTCTTGGTGCACAAAGACAAGACCTTCTACTGGCACCTTGCTCCTATTATTTCTAGCCAGAGGATTCTATACTGTGTCCCATAGAACCCCAGGGTTCCACTGAGTCATAACTAGCACTAGCATTTTAGTAGCTTGTGTGGATATTTGACTTTAAGAAAATAAGAATAAAAGCAAGATCATTTAAGAGCAGTTACAGTCACAGGCAAGAAGTGATGACTTGGAATTGGGCAAGTGTTTGAAATGGTGACAAGTAGATGGATTCAGGAAAGTAAAGCAGTCAGATTTGCTTTTGGATGAGAAATGGATTGTGAGGGGTGAAGTGGTATTAAGTATGACTTCTAGTTTTGGACACCGGGTGCATAAATGTTGATGCCATTTATTGAGATGAGAGCATTGGGAGAGAAACGGGTTTGAGATAAAAAAACATGAATGCTATTTTGAAGACATCATGTTTGAAATACCTATTAGAAGTAAAAATATCAAGTAGCAAATATATATTTGTTTGAGCTCAGGGAGGAGGTCAAGGCTAGAGTATGAAGTTAGGAGTCCTCAGTTACAGTTGTCACTCAACATCATGGGGTTCTGTATGATGACTTAAGATAGTTCTTCTCAACCCTAGCTACATATTAAAATCCCCTGACAAGGTTTGAAGAACTAATACTGTGCTGGGGCCCAACCAGAGTCAAGTAATCAGCATTTTGATCTAAGGCATTGTTTTCATTATTTTTTGTTTGTTTAAGTTCTCCCCATGATTCTAGTAGGCAACCAGGGTTAAGAACCACTGAGTAAGTATTGAAAAGAAAGGACATAGGTCCAAATATGTTTGGTGCAAAGAGGGAACCCTTGTTAGAATAAGGGTAGAAGTTCTCAAGGAAAAAATTTGAAATTTTGCTTGTGATTGCTCAAAGACATAAACAAAAACTCAGAGAATATTTCAAAAATTGAATATTTTAGATTTGGAAAGTGCTTTCTTCCCAGGCTATCCTGCCAACTCCCCTATCTTCCCATGTTTATTACATGGTTCTCTCAAAGCTCTGTCCTCTACCACCTCCCATTCTTACTCCACTCCACAGACAGTCCCTGGCAAGGGCATCCACACTGTTTCAACTATGAAAGGCTGCTGGCTGTTTTCCACATCTGAATCTCTAGGCCAGATTCTTCCTCCAGATCTCTGAAATCACATCTTCAGCTGTGACAAGACTTTGCTGGCTGGCTGTCCTCTAGGACCTCACACTTGGTAGATTGTATCTTTTTTTCTGAAAACCCCCTTTCTCTCCTATGGCTCTGGAATCCAGGTAGCCACCCAAGCCAGAAACCTTGGAATCACGTTAGATCTCTCCCTCTCCCTTACCTGCCATGTCTAATCAATCCAAATGTGATGCTTTTCTTCCCTTAACTCTTCATCTTTTCCATTCCCTTTGTTTCACCCTTGAGTTCAGGTTCTCATCATTTCTCTCTTGCTTATCAATCTTGCTCTAGTCCTATGCCCCTCTACTCCATCCCTGACGAGAATATTCCAAAATAAATATCTGATGCCTTGATCAAAAATTTTCAGTCACATCTCAATGTCTAAGAGACTATATCTAAATACCCAATACCTTAAAAATTACATCAAAACTCCTACATATAGCACCATTTTCCCACTGTCTGGCCTCTGGCTGACTCTTTATTTTTCCTGGTTTTATATTATTCCACCACCTACTTCAGACACACATTTTCAGTGTCAGACATAGTGAATTACTTGTGGTCCTCTGGCAATACCCTCTGCCCCTGCCACACCTCTGAAGCTTAGAATGTAGTTTCCTCTGCCAGAATGGATCTTTCTACATCTAGTCAGGCTCCATTCAGTCTTCATGATCAGCCCTGTGTGAAGCCTTCTGGGTTCCTGCAAGGCGTCCTTTTAACTTGCTATCACATATTTTATGGAGCTCTATCAAAATAATTACCATTTATATTGTATATTATTTCTTCTTTAAGAAGCTCTCCAAATTACATAAGCTTAAAACCTCACAAAACTTGGATCAATCCCTGGCAGCATCCATATTCTTTTCATCTTTGTACCCAAATCAGCTAGCATTGTATCTTGCACATGTTTAATACATGTTTGTTGGATGTTAAATGAATTAGGCAGTCTAAATATCTTATTTTATTGAAAGAGAGAACTCAGTGTAACCTAGTAAAATCATGGGATTTGGAACTAGAGAAATCTGAATTGGGGTGAAGGCTCTGTCACTTCCTAGCTATACAATTTTGAAAAGTTTTATTAGCCTTAGTTGTACATAGGGCTAAAAATAGTACTTAACTCATAGAAATACTCTTAACAATACTCTTGGTATTTTGATTGACACAACTTTAAAAGACTCAATAAATGTTAGAATTTATTTATATTGGAAAACGATAACCAAATATTTTATATCAAATGTTTAGACTTATAGAATGGCCTTAAGTATTATAATATAATATTTCTAGCTAAAAATAACAAATGCTTTTTTTCTGCTTGACTATATAGCAGGACTATGACTTTCTCTGTGTTTTCTCAGGATTAATACCAAAAGTAAAACTTTGCATACCATAAAAAATTAATAAGTACTCACTGATGATTGTGGTAAGGTTAGAAAATAATAGAAAACTGTGGATAAAAACCCCAACATATATAGGTTTATTCCACTATCAACCAATTCATACTACATGTCTTAAATGGATGATTGCATTTAGTAGCAGTTAGTATTTGTTCGGTCATAATTAACTGGACTTTTTATGTTCTACCACAACTAGTATTGGAGTGACATACTAATTCAAACAAATTATTTTCTCTAAACCTAGCAGCTTAGCTTGCCTAATATGTGTGCAACTGTTTATTGGCTACCCAAGAGTCTAAAGACATCAAACTGCATGGAGTAACTGAGTAGACCAGAACCTCTAGCCATTGCTGGTTCAGGGTTACAAGTGTGCTCATATATTGATCCCTTCAGGCCTGCAGTTTAATCTAGGGTACCTTAAATTATCACTTTTTATATGTGCCTTGATATTAACACAGTTAAGAAGCACTTGTGTAGATGAAGGCCTAATTTATCATGGGTTAATGGCTAGGTTTTTACATTTCTGTCTGATCCTCTTTGGCCCCTTAGAGTACCTGTATCCAGGCTGTGTGTCAATGGTTGGCTTCAATGAGTATCTTACTGTATTAGTCCATTCTCATGCTGCTAATAAAGACATACCTGAGACTGGGTAATTTATAAAGAAAAAGAGATTTAGTGGTCTCATAGTTCCACATGGCTGGGGAGACCTCACAATCATAGTGGAAGGCAGAGGAGGAACAAAGGCACGTCTTACATGGTTGCAGGAAAGAGAGAGTGTGCAGGGGAACTCCCCTTTATAAAACCATCAGATCTCGTGAGACTTATTCACTATCACAAGAACAACATGGGAAAAACTCAACCCCATGATTTAATTACTTCCCACCGTCTCCCTCCTACAGCACGTGGGGATTATGGGAGCTACAATTCAAAATGAGATTTGGGTGGAGACACAGCCAAACTATATCACTGACCTTCTTAGCTTCTGAACTAACCCTGTTCTTCTGTATGTGGTGAACTCTGTCTCATGCATTCCAACTTTGAACTTCTAGATCCATTCTTGGCTGTCAAACCAGTTTCTCTTGAACGCTGCACTTTGAAATATTGAGTTCTTGATAACCCCAACTCTAGTTAAATATTTACATTTACACAATTCAGACATTTAACACCTATATTTGTCTTGCAAGAACACAACTTGGGTCATGGTCAGTCCTCGAGAAAGAATCCAAGAAACATCTTATTTATTCATTAATCATATCAGAAACCAGGACAAGGAATAATTTATTTTTTAAAATTCAATCCATGTGTATTATTTTCATACATTCCCCACGTGTCCAGTAATTTATTCCACAAGCATATTTTTTACTACTGTTACATGTCAGACACTGTGCAAGACTTTCGGTGTATAAAAATGAATAACATTTAGTTCTTGCCCCTGAGAAACACTTAAATTTTAAATAATCTTAGAATTATTGAAGATATAGGCATGTATACAAATCACCATATTGCAATAGGAAAATATATACCTGAGTAACTAGTGCTAATTGTTTTCTTCAAGATTTTCATAAGCTAAGTGTGCATTTTTTAAAATAAGGTCACTGCTTCCAATGTTCATTTCTATTTTCTGCCTGTGATAATGCCAGGTGGGACAAGGGGGAACAGGGGAAGCATCCAGACTGGTCATATCCCTGGTAAAATCATCTCATCAACCCTACTGTCCCAGTGGAAAGATTGTGCCATTCTCCAAACTCTTTGTATGATGGGTGTTTTCTTATCTTAGATCTTAATTGCTGTCTCATTTGACATGCACTTCCCTCTCTCCCTTCCCTAACTCCAGCTTACTGAGTCAAACAGCTCTTGCTTTCATGCTTGATGTGCCCCCATCATAGTACTTACCCCATAGAACTCAAGACTATAGCCATGGATCAGGCAGAGGAGTAGGGTGGTTCTTTTAGAATTGGTTCCAAAGGTAGGATTTCTCACTTTTGCACTGGAAACTTTCATGCATTCATTTATTAAATGACCTGGATAAGTTATTCTTGGTACATCAATCCAGTTTTAACTCACTTTCAAATGACATCTCCAAAACTTCAAAGGCACAAGAAGCTACATGGGTCTGCTGAGATAATTCACAATTTAAAATAAATGAAAAGATTGCAAAAAGCCATGCTGCAAGTTTTGGGGGTTGTATCTAAACTAGGCACAGCAAGCTAGCACAAAATTATTGAAACATAATCCCTATTCCTTTGCGACAGATGCCAGTTTCTCTTTTGCAAAAGAAAAGTCAGCTGTCAAGTGCCCTAGCAGCATGAGCATTCTTACTTCAGACAATTCTGGCAAAACAATACAAGTCAAAAAGGTGGAACTGATTTTAGACCATATTAACCATATCAATGGAATTTTCTGCTCTTTGGAAAACATCATACCAAAAATATTTTAGATTCATCATCCATGGGTGTAGGACACCCTAGTGTGTGGTGACTGTGAGTCCATGGCCAGGTGTGTCTTGAAAATTTATGAGTCAGAAAAAAATGGAAAAGATGCAGAAGGGAAAACTCCAGTCTTAAATGGTGGAAACAAGTTCATTTTTTAAATTGAATCTCCACTCAGAATTCACAGACCAGGTTGACTAGGAAATCTGGTGAAATAAATCAGTCCACCAGTTTGCATGGTCTGACAAAAGAGAAAGGATGCTATTGCTCACAAAGCAATGTCCACAGAACTCCAACTGGAGCCCACACAAAATTATTCAGTCAGGCAAATCTTGGCACAGTTACTATGTACAGTATTAGTCATTTATTTAACATTTAAAGAGATCCCACAAACTTCTGTTCAATGTTCTCAGGAGGAATCTGCATGAAGAAAACAGAATAAACAGGTAGAAAGTAGACAGTTTGATGCAGCAGGAAAAGTGCTAGAATAAAGTTAGGGAGCAATGCAGAAGAAACATACAAAGAAAAGGGCAACTAACTCTAGAGGCCCATGGAAAACCTTCAAGGAAAAACAAACATGAGTTTTCTAGGCAGATTAAAGAGAATGAAAAGCTTTGATGTATGTGGTGGTTAATACTGACTGTCAATTTGATTGGATTGAAGGATGCAAGATATTGATCCTGGGTGTGTCTGTGAGCGTGTTACCAAAGGAAACTAACAGTTGAGTCAGTGGGCTGGGAAAGGCAGACCCACCCTTAATCTGAGTGGACACCATCTATTTAGCTGCCAGAGTGGCTAGAATATAAAGCAGGCAGAAAAAAAAAAATGCAAAAAGACTGGACTGGCCTAGCCTCCCAGCCTATATCTTTCTCCTGTGCTGGATGTTTCCTGCCCTCAAACATCAGACTCCATAATCTTCAGTTTTGGGATTCAGACTGTGTCTCCTTGCTCCTCTGCTTGCAGATGGCCTATTGTGGGACCTTGTGCTCATGTGAGTTAATACTTAATATTAACTCCCATATATACATATATATATATCATATAAATATACCATATATATCATAGTTTATTAAGTGCTTATATATAGTATATTATATATATCTCCTATATAATATCTCCTATATATATACTATATATACATATATATATGTATATATCTCCTATTAGTTCCGTTTCTCTAGAGAACCCTGCCTAATACAGTGTAAATTTCTAGTTGCCTGTGGCATAGAAATGATGGGAGATTCAACAGGAGATATTTAAACTATAAGAAATCATTTACAGTCATCCATTTTTTACCTACAATAACTTAGATTCTGAGAATAAAGGCTCTAGTAAGCATGATATTGAATTTGGACTTTATCCTATGGCAAATAGGGAGGAACCCAAGGTTTTTAAGTCAGGGTCACATGTGTGGATTTTTAAAATAAGGTAACTCTGGAGGAAATATAGAGCAGGAACTACAGTAGGAAGAAGCCGATGCCAGGAATATTGGTGAGGAAGCTGTACAAACAGTCCAGGCATGAGGTAGCCACAGCCTGAACAAAGACAGGAGAGAAACAGGAACAAAGGCAGAGATAGCGAGAGACAGAGAGAGAGAGAGAGAGAGAGAGAGAGAGAGAGAGAGAAAGGGAAAGAGAGTGAATAGGGCTCATGTAAGAGTCCCTTCTTCTGCTCTGTTCTGTTTTACATAAACTAACTTTCTTCTTTGGTCTCCATTGCTGACTAGCTTCCATACAAGTTTGACCTAGAAAAGGTGCTGGAGGAAAACAGGAGAGTGAGAGGATGGAGAAAGCCAGGGTTGTTCCATTGTCCTTCCAGCCTTAGGAGTGATAGTGGCTTCCTGCTTTTGCTAATATCCCTTTTCGTTTCTTAGTTCTTCCATAACCTACTTAAGTCAATTTCTTGAATAGTAATTACTTCTCCTCTGTTAGATACACCTGGAGGGGTGGTTATTTTCTTGACTGGACAATAGGAAAGTTGAGAGCATCAATACAAAGTAGAATGTAAGAGAATTAATGACCTTGGATATGGAGGTGAAGAAGAGGATGACAGTGAGAACAACTCAGATTTCAAAGAAATATGGTTAAG
Source organism: Homo sapiens (assembly GCF_000001405.40). Classification (NCBI taxonomy): domain Eukaryota; kingdom Metazoa; phylum Chordata; class Mammalia; order Primates; family Hominidae; genus Homo; species Homo sapiens. The sequence goes on along the minus strand of NC_000001.11, from coordinate 118,323,979 downwards.
AAAAATAATAGAAGCAAATACTCACTGAAAGTTAGAGTGTGCCAGGAACAATTCTAAATGTTTTACATACAGTAACTCATTTAATCCTCGCAACATCTATATGAGGTAGAAACTTAATATTATACAGTTTTACAGGTCAGAAAAACTAAGCCTAGAGAGTTTAAGTAATGTAACCACGGTCACAAATTAGTAAATGACAGCCTAGTGGTCAGTAACCTAGACTGAGGATGGAGAAGGATCAGACAATGAGCTCAGATCTGGACTTGTGGTGTACAAGGTTCTTTCTGAAATCCAGATGTTCTGTAGTTGGAAATGTAGTCCATACCTTAAGAGACGGATTAAGGCTAGAGATATGGAGGTGTGATTCACTGTTATATAACTAAGTGTTGAAACTATAGAATGTCAAGTGGAAAGAGACCAAAAAAAAAGATTTAATACTTTGGCAGTGAATATTATTATATAAATGAGGCAGATGAATTGACCCATTCTCTCTAATGCAGAGGCTATGGACAAGATGACCACCAATAACATGCTTCACAAATTACCATGCTATGCTTTTATGATATAATCCCCAAATTTCCCTGTTGCATCACTAACTTGTCACCACTTAATAAACTAGATTGTGAGTTTCTTGGCAGCACTGACTGTATATATTTCAAACAGTCAATCAAACAACAAGTATTTACTGAGCTCTTGGTATTAGGTCCTGTAGGGGATTTAAAAGAAGCCCAAGATATTCTCTCTTCCCCAAAGTACTTAACACAGGCTGTCCAATATTCGGTACCTCTACTCTGCAACTTCATTTGCACTACATGCTGGGGCTCAGTACATACTCATAGAATAAGTTTTTAATTCAAGACAAGAAGGTAGTGAAATTCTTACTCATTTTTAAAGCCTTTTTAAACAATAATTTAGGGCACTTTGAAGATGTCTATAATTTCCCATATCATCTTAAGGAACTTTTTTGTTGCTAAAGAATGTAAGTCACAAGATGAGATCATTCCTTTAACATTTATTGAACATTCCGTGCGTTAAGACAATGGAATAAATCCTGGGGATACAAAATGGGGCAAAACTTAGTTTCTGCCCTATTGAGATCCCCTGAGAATGACACAGAATAAAAGCAATGATTGTAAAGCAATATATAATGTGCTACAATGGGGCTATTTACTGGCTGCTGCCAGAAGCTGCTCAAAAATGCACCTAACTCAGCCTGGAACTGGGTATCAGGACATGCTTACAAGATAAGGTGGGGCTATAACTGAGTCTTGGCAGACAAATCAGAGTGAACTGGAGAAGAGGGTGAGGACATTATAGAGGTAAGCATCCTCAACTGCATGGAGGTGTCAGAGTACATGGGACATGCACAGGGGCCGTGTGTAAGTCAGAACAGCTGGAAAGAAAGGGCTGTGTTAGGATGTCACAAAAGGGTGAGTCTGCAAAGTTACAGAGAGGTCAGAGCTGAAGGCTCTTGTTAGTCATATGGAGAAGCTTAATTATATCCCCAGAGCAGTGAGAGGAACCACTGAAGGATTTTAATTAGGGGAATGAAACTATTATATTTACTTCTAGGTAAAATCATTTCACTGTTGATGGGTAAGGTATTTGCTACTGGTTGTGTGGGGTCGCGGGAAGTGGAATGTGGGACTGCTAGAGCATTTGGGAGGCAAGTTACCGAAATCCTGGTGAGAAATTATGAGGGTAATGTCTTTCTCAAGTCAGCCAAGAATCCTGTTCACAATGACCTTTGGCTTGGATGTGCAAACAGGAGGAATTTATTTTCCCTATCTTTCTTTTTTAATGATTATTATTTAATGTAGGTTATAACCCTTCCTGGAACCGTTCGCTAAGACCCCCGGAAAGAGGCAGCCATTAAAATTAAGCTGAGTGAGACGGAAAGTGGGGCTGTAAAACCTCCACCACAGCCACCTGGAAACAGCAAACGTTAGGCTTGTGAGTCCTGGCAGGCTTCATGGGAAGGAATCATGTACTTTCAGTTAAAACAGAAGAGACCATGAACTGGATTCTTTTGACTTGAAGTTTTCTTTCTTGTCTTTTTATTTTGCAGTTTTAACCTTAAAGTGAGAGGAGTTACGAGACTATGGAAAGGATCAACCTTTGTCCTTCCTAATTCTGGGACAGACTGTATTCAGTAAAAGCAATTAGGAGTTGGCAAGAAATCTTCAAAGTCAATAATGTTAAAGTATGATTTTTGATAAGGTAAAATCCTGAATCTCAGGCAAACATATTATGAACAAGTGTCAAACATTTTATTTAACTTATTAATTGATGAGGGAACCAGTACGAGCTAAACACTGGTGCTAGGCTCATTTGAGAAACTGAGTGTGCAGAGGCAATTTAATAGATTGATGGGCTAGATACAAAACTGGTTAATGTGCAACAGGTCCATAAGCCTTTAGGTTATATGTTCTACTAGACTGAGGTTATCTACATCCTATTGAACAAAAATTTTTATGGTAACATTTCCTGCAAAAGAGTTGTAAGATCAGCTGGGCTCAGTGGCTCACGCCTGTAATCCCAGCACTTTGGGAGGCCGAGGTGGGTGGATCATGAGGTCAGGAGTTTGAGACCAGCCTGGCCAACATGGTGAAACACGGTCTCTACTAAAAATACAAAAATTAGCTGGGCGTGGTGGTGCCCACCTGTAATCACAGCTGCTTGGGAGGCTGAGGCAAAAGAATCTCTTGAACCCGGGAGGCAGAGGTTGCAGTGAGCCAAGATTGTGCCACTGCACTCTAGCCTGGGCGACAGAGCGATACTCTGTCTCAAAAAAAAAAAAAAAAGAGTTGTAAGATAGAAAATCAGTAGAAAGTCACACCTAGCACTGCCCTGAAAAACACCCTGTAATTAGAGGCCTGTTTCCAATTGTTGGACAATTTTTCTGACAACAGACAGAGCTTTTGGTAAGAGTGGCACTTCACATCTAGCATGCAGAAAACCCAAAATTTTACCAAAAAAAAATCTTATTTTGGCACAAAAATATCGTGTTGCGCTGGTAGAAAAATTGATTAAACATATGAACTGACAAATCAAAAAGAAGAAACTTCACTGAAACAAGGAGTTTAAGACACAGAAACTGTTCACTCTCATAAGGAGTTTAAGAAATCCTCTCAAAAACAGTATCAATTTCCCCTTGCAAGTTAATAAAAACAAGCTTAGATGATGCTCTCCACCATTAGCAAGACTGTGGGGTAAACAAACACTTCCACAATCAGCATATAAGAATATACACAGAGAGCAGCTTTCTGGACCTGGGGCTCATATTCCAGTCCTTCAGGCTCTTGTCCATTGTGTGTTTTACTATACAGACTTGCACAAGAGTAGAAAAATGGCAGGAATAGAACCCAAAGAACCTCCATCTGCCCTAGAACCTGTAGCTTATGCTAGGACCACCATTGTGTTACTTCCAAGTCTAGTAAGGCAGAGAGGTCTCCAAAACATTCATATTCTGCTTCTAATTTAAAATATCATCCAGTCATACCACTCTGAGGAAACCACTATTGAAAAAGACATAGAAGGGGGAAGTTTGCCATGTCTTGAAATCAGGAGGCTAGTGCTATTGCCTGGGTGCCCTTCATTCTTTGTTTTGTGACCTTTTGCCTTATTGTAGCCTCCTCCCCAATTATGTCTCCCTTCTGTCCTCACCCTACTACACACACACACACACACACGTGCACGCGCACACACGCACATCACAGATCTGGTAAACTCATTCACACAATGCTTCTTGATTTGTGTTACTACTTGCAAGGGTATTTCCATTTCAAAGGAAAATTTATATTTATCTCATACTTGGATGATATGTAACCCAAATCTCTGTTGATAGAAGTCAAACCTTCTTTGGATAGAGAAGTAGAAAAAAAAATCAGACTGATGAAGGAGGTAAATTTCTGGAGACCAAGCAACTAAGTGATGTACTTCCAAAAATACAGGGTACAGTGAAGAAATGCAAAGTTGTCTTCTTGTCTTTGGGAGTCTTTGCTCATAGGTACTGACAGATAATAATGTTTTCTTGACCAAATTGTGAAAAAAGTTATTGTCTCAGGAAAACACCATCCTTTAAGCGTACTGACCTAGAAATGAGCTTACTATATTCCAGTTATCATGTTGAGTATGGAGGATACCCAGTTGAATCCTTTGAACTTAGAATTCTAAGAAATTTAGAAATATTATAAGTAAACTAAAAATAATAATAATAAACATTAAAAGCGAACACTTATTAAGTGCTTACTATGTTCTGAATATTCTAAATAATTTTACATAAATTTCTAACACATTCCCAGCTTGGACCAAAGAACAACACTATGACACATATGTTATGACTATTTTCATTTTACAGAAAAGGAAACTAAAACACAGGGAACTTGCTCAAGTCACACAGCTGGTAAATGTCAACACAGTTGACATTTGGAATATATATATGTGTTTTATATATATGTTATATATGTTATAAATATGTTATATTTGTTATATATATAATATAACATATATGTTATATATGTTATATATATGTTATATACATATATGTTATATATACATGTTATATGTATTATATATTACATATTACATATAACGTATACAATATATGTTACATATTACATATAACGTATACAATATATGTTATATATTACATATAACGTATGCAATATATGTTATATATTACATATAACGTATACAATATATGTTATATATTACATATAACGTATACAATATATGTTATATATTACATATAACGTATACAATATATGTTATATATTACATATAACGTATATAATATATATGTTTTATATCATATATAACATATAATTATGTTATATATTATATAAACATGTTATATATTATATATGTTAAACATATGTTATATATTATATAAACATATATAATATCTATGTTATATATAACATACATATATAATATCTATGTTATATATAACATGTATATATAATATCTGTTATATATAACATGTATATATAATATCTATGTTATATATAACATGTATATATAATATCTATGTTATATATATAATATCTATGTTATATATATAACATGTATATATAATATCTATGTTATATATATAACATGTATATATAATATCTATGTTATATATATATAACATGTATATATAATATCTATGTTATATATATATAACATGTATATATATAAGATACATGTTACACACACACACACACACACACACACACTATATTTGAGCTACCAGCACAGACATTCTGGAATTTTCTCTGGGATCTAAACTCAGAGGTCTCCTGGGTTCATTATCATAGGTAGGAGGCATTGGGCTAAGGACTGGAAAAACAGTGATATAACAGAAGTCCCTGGACCCAAATGTTATTACTGTCACTGACAAGAACGTGGCACTTCATTACAAAGCCCCACTGCCTTCCACCATACATTATGCCTTAGGCAACACACGGCCCAGATAGCACAACACAGCCTGGCAAAGCAGAGATGAGCCTTGAGGCTAGAAAGCGCTGGTAGGATGAGGAATTGCATGATCAAGGAGTGGGCCAAGAAAAAGAGCTGAAGTAATTAGTTTCATCCAACAGGTGGTGGGAGGTGTTGCAGTCTCGGTGGTGCAAACAAATCCACAGAGAATAATGCTACACTAATGGTTACAGATAGACTCATAATTCAGACAGAAGCATTTCTCTTTCATTTGTCTTCTTCTCACCCAAATGGTTGGTGCAAATATATTGCCATAGCTATGTGTACTTTGTCTTCTCCTTGCCAACAACTGCAGCTTGGGAGTGAGTACTTCTGGCTTCAGTGACAGTGCCCAGTGACTCTTTGCAAGTGCATGCGTGGCATCACATCTGAGCTGCCTCCACACCTCCAGAGCTCCTGGCATAGCTGAAGAGTGCAAATATCAACAGTCTACCCCCAGGCTCTCCAGAGGCAGCATCTGAAAAGTGTGATCTGGTGGTTGGCAGGCCTCCCATGAGCATCCCAGGAGACTCCCCAGCTGTAAACCATGACCTTCTGACAAGTCGGATGCCTGCCAGACTGTCTGGGAGTGGGGAGAAACAGATACCACTTACTCTTTCAGACTGGAAAGGGGGAAAGTCTGATTCATTGGTAGATAGGGTTTGCAAAGAGAGGACTGGTTATGGTGGTTGATGCTTTCTGGTGTCCTGTATTGTAAATGGATCTGTTTCTAGAATTAGGAATCACATTAAGCAACGCGAGCACACACGCGCGCATACACACACAAACACACAAATGTGGATTTCTACTGATTCCAAAGTCCAGAACTGTGGAAGAACAATTTGTACAAGGAGAGCATTGAAACTTGCTTCTCTTCCAGGAAGGAAGGAAGGAAAGCAGGGAGGAAGGAAGCAGGTAGGCAGGTAGGCGGGGAAATGGAAGGAAAAAAAGAAAGAAAAGAAACAATCTTTTCAGGAGCAGCTTGCTGCAAATTTTCAAGAAAACAGCTAGCTTAGCCTGTGAATGTTTTAATTCTTAAAAGTTTTGACAATGGAGGGAAAAGTAAAAGGAAGAGACAGAGAAATGTGGTAATTCTATGAATGTGTTTTAATTCCAATCAGGTTAAAAGAGATAGCATTACTTTCAGAATCTTTTAAAAATGCAGTTTAATTCCTATGAAGATATTGTGCTTCTGTTTGCCTTATCCACCAAGCACTCAATGAAGTGAGAGATAATTAAGATACCAGAGAGAGTGTCTTGTTGAACAACATCAACAAAATTCTGATCTGGATAGTAGAGTGGACCAAAGAAAGAGATTTTACATTCTTTATAAATCATCAAAAAAGAGCATCATCCATCCTAAATGATTTGGACATTTATTTGGATCATATTTTTCTCTCCAGATATACTCCAAGGTTTTTATTCTGCAATTACAAGTCTCTCATTTTCTAATTGTTTCTTTCTTCTCTGTAGCAAAACTCTGTACCTTCTAGTTTTTTTCTCTTGTCCACATCAAAACTGTAACTTTAAGTAGCAGAATAACTTCACATTTCACATCTACCATTTTACCCCTTACATAATTATATTCCTGAAGTTTTATCCTCTGCATTTCCTGTGAACTTGCCAGAAAGGAGAAAGAAGTATGGGCTTTCTCTAGGCTTAGTATCCTATGAATTCACCTTTTTTTAAACAAAATGAGAGCTGGGCATGGTGGCATGTGCCTATAGTTCCAGCTACTCAGGAGGCTGACATGGGAGGATCTCTTGAGGCCAGGGGCTTGAAACCAGCCAAGATATTGTTTCTTAAAAACAAGCAAACAAAACAACATAAGAAACAATACAGTGGCCACAATTTTGTTTTGTTTTTCTACTATTTGCTTCCCTTAAAAGAAGAGACCTTGGATTAAGCAAGTAATACAAAGTCTGAAGCTATTCTGTAGTATACTTAAGAAATGCACCTAATGATAATGGTGAAGACTCCTAAATATATTATCAAATTAATAAAATTTAAGACCACATTTCTTATCTACTAACATTAGCATTTGATATCATGTTCAAAAATTAAATTTTTATAGTAAATGCCCTGTTTTACAGAGTTATTATAGAGCAAAGTGTTCTTAACCATGCTTGAAATATATTGCCTTACACAATTATAGATCACTAATTTTCAGGAAATTGCAATATAAGAAAATAATCTTAATATCAACACTGTATTAAAATTTTTAACTTTTATTATTGTTATTGCAAAGGTAATTTGGAATCTTGTGGATCTCAAAGTGATTATTATGAATTTTAGTTACCATCTGTGTGGCTAGTAGAGCACCATTTCATCAGTCAGAAGACTAGAGTTCTAGACCTATCTTGGCCAACAAGCAATATGATCTAAGTAAACCACTCCTCTGGGCCTTCCTTTCCTGAGCTGTAAAACAAGATTATTAAGCTAGATAATCCTTAGGGCCACTTTGGTTCTAACAGTCTACATCTATGTTATCACATAAAGGGAGAAGTTATGGTTTAATCTATTTCTAGCTAATGCAATGCCATATTACTTACATTTTACTTGAATTCCAAAGATCATAACACATGTAATTGCTTGAAAAATTAATAATTAACAACAGTGGTAAAAAAAACTAGGTATTTGAAAGGCAGAATATTTTTTGAATCAAAGACTATGTCTACACAATATCCAGACTTTTGTTTCGAAAAAAAAATAAATGAATACATTCTGGCCAACATCAACTCTCTGTTTTCCCAGTTGCAAATTAGATTCATTGGAATACACAGAAAACTGGGTTACAAGCATGCTATTGAGAGAAGCTGTTATGGTCACTGGTGGAGAGGTAGATCAGTTATGATGTTGAGCAAAAGACTGAAGCATGTTAAACCTGAAGAGGACCCTAGAGAGAAGCCCAGTCCTGCCTTCAACAGATTCAATGAGTAAAGTCTAAAAAGGTACAGTTTTAATTTATTTCATTTAATACTTAAATAATAAGCACCATTCTAGAGCTTTACAAATAGTGACTCATTATTACATTCAACCTGTACAACAGATACTACTATTATCTCCATTGTACAGAAAGTTCAAGAAACTTGTCCAAGGTCACATAGCTAGTAAGGGGCATAGCCAGGATTTGAACCCTGTACTGGAGTTTAGCTTATAATCATGGGTACTGCATTTTGATAGAGAGAAAATAAAGAGTCTGCAGTAAGCTTCCAAAATCCTTCAGTACAAAGAGGCTATGAAAATGCCATAAGCCTTTTGGTGTCCATGACCTTTACCGGGGAGTGAAAAGCATATCAGCTGACCGACTGTGTGAATTGACTGTTATTAGCCAAAACACACAGTGGATAAGTAAAATGGGTGCCATTATCTTAGAAACATTATGTATAAAAGATAGTAACTAATTGAGATTATTGAAAAGGTAAGTTTTGAAACAGGAAAAAAATAATGAGTCAGAAAGAATGGTTCTAGCAGGTTGGAAAGGGCAGTACAGACATTGCAGACATTGATATAATGTATCATAGAAATAGACTTTATTATTATTATTATACTTTAAGTTCTAGGGTACAGGTGCACAACTTGCAGGTTTGTTACATATGTATACATGTGCCATGCTGGTGTGCCGCACCCATTAACTCGTCATTTACATTAGGTATATCTCTTAATGCTATCCCTCCCCGCCTCCTCCCACCCCACAACAGGCCCCGGTGTATGATGTTCTGCTTCCTGTGTCCAAGTGTTCTCATTGTTCAATTCCCACCTATGAGTGAAAACATGCGGTGTTTGGTTTTCTGTCCTTGCAATAGTTTGCTGAGAATGATGGTTTCCAGCTTCATCCATGTCCCTACAAAAGACATGAACTCATCCTTTGTTATGGCTGCATAGTATTCCATGGTGTATATGTGCCACGTTTTCTTAATCCAGTCTATCATTGATGGACATTTGGGTTGGTTCCAAGTCTTTGCTATTGTGAATGGTGCTGCAATAAACATATGTGTGCATGTGTCTTTATGGCAGCATGATTAATAATCCTTTGGGTATATACCCAGTAATGGGATGGCTGGGTCAAATGGTATTTCTAGTTCTAGATCCTTGAGGAATTGCCACACTGTCTTCCACAATGATTGAACTAGTTTACAGTCCCAGCAACAGTGTAAAAGTGTTCCTATTTCTCCACATCCTCTCCAGCACCTGTTGTTTCCTGACTTTTTAATGATCGCCATTCTAACTGGTGTGAGATGGTATCTCATTGTGGTTTTGATTTGCATTTCTCTGTTGGCCAGTGATGATGAGCATTTTTTCATGTGTCTGTTGCCTGCATAAATGTCTTCTTTTGAGAAGTGTCTGTTCATATCCTTTGCCCACTTTTTGATGGGGTTGCTTGTTTTTTTCTTGTAAGTTTTTTTGAGTTCTTTGTAGATTCTGGATATTAGCCCTTTGTCAGATGAGTAGATTGCAAAAATTTTCTCCCATTCTGTAGGTTGCCTGTTCACTCTGATGGTAGTTTCTTTTGCTGTGCAGAAGCTCTTTAGTTTAATTAGATCCCATGTGTCAATTTTGGCTTTTGTTGCCATTACTTTTGGTGTTTTAGACATGAAGTCCTTGCCCATGCCTATGTCCTGAATGGTATTGCCTAGGTTTTCTTCTAGGGTTTTTATGGTTTTATGTCTAACATTTAAGTTGTTAATCCATCTTGAATTCATTTTTGTATAAGGTGTAAGGAAGGGATCCAGTTTCAGCTTTCTACATATGGCTAGCCAGTTTTCCCAGCACCATTTGTTAAATAGGGAATCCTTTCCCCATTTCTTGTTTTTTTCAGGTTTGTCAAAGATCAGATGGTTGTAGGTGTGTGGTATTATTTCTGAGGGCTCTGTTCTGTTCCATTGATCTATATCTCTGTTTTGGTGTACCATGCTGTTTTGGTTACTGTAGCTGTGTAGTATAGTTTGAAGTCAGGTAGTGTGATGCCTCCAGCTTTGCTCTTTTGGCTTAGGATTGACTTGGCGATGCGGGCTCTTTTTTGGTTCCATATGAACTTTAAAGTAGTTTTTTCCAATTCTGTGAAGAAAGTCATTGGTAGCTTGCTGGGGATGGCATTGAATCTATAAATTTACCTTGGGCAGTATGGTCATTTTCACGATATTGATTCTTCCTATCCATGAGCATGGAATGTTCTTCCGTTTGTTTGTGTCCTCTTTTATTTTATTGAGCAGTGGTTTGTAGTTCTCCTTGAAGAGGTCCTTCACATCCCTTGTAAGTTGGATTCCTAGGTATTTTATTCTCTTTGAAGCAATTGTGAATGGGAGTTCACTCATGATTTGGCTCTCTGTTTGTCAAAACAAACTGTTTTTTAATCGCAGACTTGGTCTGTACAAGAGCAGCACAGAGGGCCAGGCGCGGTGGCTTATGCCTGTAATCCCAGCACTTTGGGAGGCCAAGGCGGGTGGATCATGAGGTAAGGAGATTGAGACCATCCTGGCTAACACAGTGAAACCCCGTCTCTACTAAAAATACAAAAAATTAGCCAGGCGTAGTGGCGGGCAACTGTAGTCTGAACTACTTTGGAGGCTGAGGTGGGAGAATCGTATGAACCCGGAAGGCCAAGCTTGCAGTGAGCCGAGATCATGCCACTGCACTCCAGCCTGGGCAACAGAGCGAGACTCTGTCAAAAAAAAAAAAAAAAAAAAAAAAAAAAAAGGGGCAACACAGAAAACAAAGGCAAAAGTGGCATAATCTTACATTGGAAACAGCACTGGATGAAAAAAGCACCACAGGTTAACTTCCAGCTCTGCCTCTTCTTGTAATGGTGGGTCCTTATATAAGTCACCTGAGCCCTCTGGACCTGTGTCTTCACAGCTGTATATTCTGAAGACAATGGTATTTATAATACTTCCATCAGAAGTTATTCTGAAGCTTTAGTCCTCATCTGCAAATTGGATCAGAAATAATTTACAAAATGTCTAGCACATTGACAGTTATTTGATCAATAAGTTTTATGCCAACATGAGATAATGACAATATTAAAATGGATGTTTTTTCCCAAGCTAAAACAGCTTCAAAATACCTAAAGATGTTGGATCATAGTAAAATAGCTATTACCTTCAGCCAGCTTTACAGGATATTCTACCTTACCTAGCCTTTTCCTGACCTTTAAGGAGGGATAAAGCACAGGTATGACTGCCAAGCTTCCATCTTTCCCATACCTACCTTCCTGTCTTCAGAATACTTCAGTGTTGCCTGGGCTATTATTGCTACCAGGAGTGGCCAAGTTTCCATGCTGCTCTGCTGCTTTGAAGTGCCAACCCATCCCTGATATTTCATTGCTTTAGGTTCTGGGTGGAATCATGGTTTCCTTAGCATGGACCACAGCTGGGCTCTTCCCCAGGGTCTCCTGAGCACACAAACTGCACTCATTTGCCCAGCTACATCTCTCCTTCACTCCGCTCGTTGTTTTACTACCTCTCCCTACATTCACTAGTGGAACTTTTTCCCAAATAATGTTAACAAACATTCCTTTCCTGGTTTTAGTTTGCATGTCACTACATGATAACCCTAATCATGTCAACATGATGTGAAAGGATCCTCTCCAATCACACAGCCGAAGAAATATCTTCACCAGACCATTCTCTTCTTTCCCCACACTGATAAAGCCATTTGAATGCTAAAGTAAGTTCAAAACAAATAATCATATACTTTCACGGCTACATAATTCAAAGTGATTGCCCAAAGAGTCTGAATATGCGGCATATCAATTTAATTTAATAGCACATTTGTATAGTGTTTTACAATGAAAATAAACAGAATTTTTGAATGTATGATTTTGTTCTAATAACATACAAATTAAAAAAAATACGTATTTTTCACCCATTTTTACCTTTAAGAAATGTAGTGTCCATAAAAATTAAGTGATTTGTCAGACTTCTCATCAGTCAGTCAGACAGAGATATTTTTAAAAAATCCTCACCTATGTTGAATGCATAAAAATTTCTCTCTCCCCAAATATAGCAAGGATAACTAAATACAGAGCCAAGCTTGACAATGAAAATACCTAGGAACCCAAAAGGATGAGAGAATTCCTTGGTTTTATTAAATCAAAGAAGTAAGTGATACTAATTCTGAGGGGCTCACCGGGAAGTTGGAGAGCTACAGTTTTAATGCCCACACAGAAGGAGAGTCCCAAGAGTCTGTCCCAGACAAGACAGAGGGAGGAGGTGAGCAGCAAGAAAGTTAAGAATCTGCCTGGAGTTGTAAATGGAAAATGTATGAGAACTAGAAATTCAGTCTCGTGTAGTATGTGGATGTGAGCTTCATGTACTCATATGGTTAGAGTTCCCACAATTGGAAAATTAATTTGAAAACTAAAGTGAGTCCAGGGAACTCAAAGGGCTCCTACAGAATACCAAATACAGGAATGTTCCTCCAACCCCAGACATACAAAACTCCAAAAGAAAAGAAAGTATTTTTTGCTGAAGATGATGTTGCAAGTACATTAATTACAAATCTTATGATCAAATGAATCAACATTTGGAGTGACAGCAGATGCTTACTACAAGAGGGAAAATCTGCACGCCAAGAACCAGAGATGACAGAATAATCTGAATTAAACTATAAGTATGTCTAAAATGGTCACAGATATAAAGAAATGAATATAACATAAAATAGAAACAGGATGATTTTTTAAAGAAAGTAAAGGTAGATTTGAAAATTTAGTAAGTAGAATTGTAGAAATAATCATTGATATGAAAAGCTCAATATATGGCTAAAATAACAACTAGATACAACTGAAGATAGAATTAGCAAGTTAAAATGAAAAATGTAAGGGAATCACACAGAAATTCAACAAGAAAAAAATAACAGGATGGAAAATATAAAAGAGAAGTTAAGAGACAAAAAAGAAAGAAATGAAATTTGTTTTGTCCATCTGAATTCCAGAAGGAAAGATGAAAGAGAATAAAGAATGAACTTTTGAAAATATCATGGATATGGTTTTCCAGAATTAAAGAAAAATGTGACCTCAATGAAAAAGCACACTTAGTTTGTAGCAGGATAAATAAATTTAAGTCCACGTTTAGACAGGCTGTAGTGAAAGTACAGAGCATCAAAAATTCGAAAAGCCATCAGAGAGAAGCAACAGGTTACTCTCAAGGGGATGGCAATTAGAATGGCAACGGAATTCTCATCAGCAACAACAGATACAGGTTTAAAGAAAAATAAGAATATTTAAAGGGCTGAGGAAAAATAACTGTCCATCTAGAATTCTATAAGCAGCTAAAACATTGTTAAAGAATGCAAACAAAAATTGCATTTTCAGACATAAAAAGACGGCATTTACTACCCCCAGTTCTTTGCTAAAAGGATTATAAAAGATTATACCTTACCAAAAGGAAATTTTAATCTGAAAGGAAAAAAAGAGTTGGAAAACAAGGTGTGCAAGTAGCATAGAAATTGGTAAACAACTTACTAAATCTAAATACTTTGTATCTGTTAAAAAATGATAATGACCAAGGGGAATGGATTTAAACAAATGTGGAACTAAAATTTTAGGCTGTAATAATATGAAAGACGTATGCTGTCCTCAATCCTTATATTATTTAGGAATAGATAAAGATATTGGTTAACTTTAAACTCTAATTCTGCATGTTAAAATGTGAAGTCATGAGTGTACCACAGTGTATATATATATGGTCCCTGACTTATGATAGTTTGACTTATGATTTTTCAACTTTACAATGGTGTAAAAGTGATATGCATTTAGTAGAAATGATACTTTAAGTACCTTATAACCATTCAATAAATTACATGAGATATTTGACACTTTATTATAAAATAGGCTTTGTATTATATGATTTTGCCCAATTGTAGGCTAATGTAAGTGTCCCAAGCACACTTAAGGTGGGCTAAGCTAAGCTTTGATGTTTGGTAGGTTAAGCGTGTTAAATGCCTTTTTGACTTGATATTTTCAGTTTACAAGTCAATCCAATGTAACCCCATCCTAAGCATCTCCATATCCATTCTACTGTTTTTGCTTTGTTTTTTTGAAACGGTATCTCGCCCTGTCACCCAGGCTGGAGTGCAGTGGTGTGGTCATGGCTCGGCTCACTGCAGCCTCAACCTCCTAGGCTCAAGCAATCCTCCCACCTCAGCCCCCTGAGTTGCTGGGACTGCTAGGCATGCCACCACATCTGTCTAATTTTTGTATTTTTTTTTATGCAGACAGGGTTTCACCATGCTGCCCAGGATGCTCTCCAACTCCTAGGCTCAAGCGATCCACTTGCCTCGGCCTCCCAAAATGCTGAGATTACAGGTATGAGCTGCCACACCCAGCTCCATTTTACTGTTGATAGACATTTAAGTTGCTTCCGCTTTGGACTTATTATGAATAGTATTATATTGCTATAAACATTTGTGTGCATGTCTTTGGGTGAACATATGACACTCTATGGCAAAGGAAATGAATGCAAAACAGCAATTCACAACAACATAAGTTAATCTTGGAAGAAGGAATATATACTTAAATAACTTTTTTTTTTTTTTAATTTGAGACAGGGTTTCTGTCGCCCAGGCTGGAGTGCAGTGGCACAATCTCAGCTCATTGTAACCTCCACCTCCCAGGCTCAAAGCAATCTATGATTCCACTTTTTTTAAGGTGCTAAAACTAGAAGTCATGATAGTGGTACCTTGGAAAGGAGGAACTGACAGGGAGGGGTACTGGGGACTTTATGGAGTATAAGTAATATTCTATTTTTTGACATGGATGGTGGTTACATGTCTGTATTTATTTTATGATAATTCATATAGCTGTATAAATCTAATGTACATTTTTCTGTATGTGTATTATATACACTTCAAAAGACTTTTTTAAAGTCTGTATGTGTATTATACACACTTCAAAAGACTTTGAAAGATGGTGGTTACATGTCTGTATTTATTTTATGACAATTCATATAGCTGTATAACTCTGATGTACATTTTCCTATATGTGTATTATACACACTTCAAAAGACTTTGTTTTTTAATGTAAGATTGTCATCAAAATAATGTAAATAAATTGTATAACTTTAAAACCTAGTAGAGGAAAAGGAAGAAAAAATGTGATTAAACAACAAAAGGTAGAAAAGAGGAAATAAAATAGACTTTAAAAAGCAATACTATGGCACAAATAGTTTAAGCTCAAGAACTGCAGAAATGTGAACAGGTTACATATCTACCAAGAGACAGAAAGTGGTGAAATTAATTTTAAGAAACTAGCTAAATGCTGTTTATAAGAGACACAATTAATATGCAAAGAATATTTCAAAATGAAGAATGTTATGATATATATATTAGTTATCTTTGCTGCTGTAACAAATTACCACCAATTTAGTGGTTTAAACAAAACGAAAGTGTTACCTTCCTAGTGTGTAGGTTAGAAGTCCAAAATGGGTTGCACTGAGCTGAAATCAAGACACTGGTCAGCAAGACTGCTTTCCTTTCTCAAGGCTCCTCACTTTTTCCAGCTTCTAAAGGGCCTCCCACATTCCTTGGCTTGTGATCTCCCTTCCCCATCATCAAAGACAGCAACGTGGGTTAAGTCCTTATCATATCACACAATCCTGAACTTACTTCTGTCATTACATCTATTTCTCTGACTCTGTTCTTCTGCCTCCCTCTTCTACTTTTAAGGGTCCTTGTGAATGCATACCCAGAATAATCTCCCTATTTTAAGGAGAAATCTTGATTCCATCTGCTACCTTGATTTCCCTTTGCCATATACTATAACATATTCACAGGTCCTGGGGATTAGAATGTGGACATCTTTAGGAAGTCATTGTTCTGCCTACCACAGATATATTGGGCAAATAGTTACCAAAGACAGCTGGTATAGTAGTAGTACTATCTGGAAAAATTGTGTTTAAATCAAAATATATTAGTAAGAAAAGGGAGAAACTACAAAATGATAAAATCTACCAAGAAGATATACAATGTGATTGTCAATAAGAAGTAAAGCCAAGACTTGGACCTAGGTTTGTGTCTACTGGTCCAATGTTCCTACGAACAAAAACCTCTAAAAAACACAGACTAATAAAAACTTCTACTTGAAGCCCACTGTGCAAGTACTGGGAAATTTCTTGCCAAAAATGAAAATAATAATTATAACCTACACCATAGGGCTGTTGTAAAAAATACCTTAGGATTGAGGCACACTGCAGCTATCATATAAATGTTAAATAAAAATAATGTTTCCTGTATCCTTAGTAGGGTTGGGCAAATCCAGATGTATATTATACTTTTCACATATTTCAAAATATTTTCAAATGTTTTGGTTCGGGTTCAATAAAAACCTCAAGTACATTTTGCCAAGTGCTTTTTCCATTAATTATTCAATCCATTTGTATTTCAAGGGAAATTCAGTCCACATGTTTCTAATTCATTTAGCACTAACTCATCAAAATATTGTTTTTCTCAGTGCTATTTTCTGTCCAAAAGGCTTTTCGAGCCTTCTCTTCCTATTTTTATTTCTTAGAAACAAAAAGATAAAGCTTGCCAAGGGCAAACCCTAGTAAACTAACAAAAGATTTACTAAACACTGCCTCTAGAATTCATTGAGTTTGAAAAGACTTCTATCAATCCACCCTGGTCCATATCACTTCTCTCAGCGACTCCCCGGCTTCCTTGCCTTTTCCTTTCCTTTGACCAAGTTCTGTTTTGCTCATATTGTCCCATTACAGATTTCAGGTTTTCTATCACCCAGCATCCACAGGCCTAAAGACACCTTAATCCTCTTCCCAAATCCCTTCCCTTTAATAAAAACCATCCTAGGCTGGGGCCAGTGAAATAATCAATTTGTATCTCTTTCCAGAATATTCTCATGGGATCCATGGCCAGGCTTAAAAATAGATAACTTTTTTTTTTTAAAGTCTGATATTTTTATGTGTGTACTTTGTATGTGTGTGTCTGTGTGAGAGAGAGAAAGAGAGACAGAGAGATACCTTATGTGTGATTGATGTCTTAACTGTGCATAAAGGGCGCAGAAGTTGATGGTATCTTCATTCTGAATGCTCCAAAAACAGCACAAGCTGTACTTATGGTTCCCACATCATTTATGGAGTATTCTTGCCAAAAAGGTTTAACCTGAACTGAATCATAAGGAGATTGTGGAACATGCTACAAGATAACTTGTCTGAACTCTCCAAAAATGTGATGTCGTGAATGACAAAAGCCATCAGGGAATTCTTCTAAATTAAAGGAAACTAAAAAGACAATATAACTAATTGTAATATGTTATCCTTAATTGAATTCTGTATTTTAGAAAAATAGTTATAAAAGGCATTCTTGAGACAATTGGAGAAATTTTAATATGTTACATTTCTTAAGTATAATAATGATATTGTGATTACATAGAAGTGGGTCATTTGCTTAGAAAGTAGAGTTTGAAATATTTAGGGGTGAAGTGTCATGCTGTCTACAACTTTAAAGTTGACTGTTTCACCACATAATGCCAAGTACGATATGCATAAATGTTAGTTATGTTAATTACAAATAGTTTAGAAAATACATATATGTATAAATGTATATACATTTGTATATTTATGAAGAGAGAGTAAGTAAATATGAAAAAAATGTTAACAGTTGGTAAATCCACATATACCTACTCGCACGAACATACACCTACACCCACAACTATACACACACACATACAAAGGAAATGTGGTTGTAGACTTCTAACAGCAAATTTGTAAAATTCATCTCAAATCAGAAGTCAATTTGCCTTTTAAAAAAATTGAAATATTTAGATTTTCGAGGTTGACTGATTCACCATCTAATGGTTACTTGTAATATGCATAAATGTTAGGGTTTTAAAATTTATTTTGATGATAATATTGCAAATGAGTGTTGTTGCTGTATGTGCAAGTAGACATTATGAAACAGGTCATGTCAATGATTAATGGAGTGATGGGCTCCTAAAAGTTAAAGGACCACGTGGAAATATGTGTATATACATTTTTCCTGGTAGACTATACATAAAATTTACAAATGTACAAAGGAAACTAAGAAATGTTCAAACTGCTTTAAGTATCTAAATGGGTATTCTTTTTATTAAGAGAAATCTCACAAAAACCCCCAATTTGTCATTGCTAATAATGCTTGTGGCACTTTATAGCAAGGAGTTCACAGAAGCTAGTAGAAGCCCTTTAGTAAAACTGAAGCCCTTTCACCAGTTACACCCAATAGGTGTCAACATGTGTAGAAACTGCTTCTTGAGAGGCTCAACACATTGGAAAGATATTTAAATGATCACTTTAGGAGCCAGGAAAAAAGGAAAGGGAGATAGTGGGAAAATTAGTCAGCCAAGAGGTTGAGCTTGTGCCTTTGAAAGATTGCAGCATGCAGCCCCCCAGAGTATGAAAGGAGAACTGACTGTGCCTTCTAATTAGAACACGGCGAACCTTTGCAATGTGACTTTTCTTTTGGAAGGGGATTTGGGACATCACTGGTTTATGTGACACAATGTACACCAGGTGGTCCTAGTTAGGTGAGGGGTTTAATGTAAAAATAATCCTTCTTTGGCTTTATTCAGTACAATAAAACCACTAAGACGTTTTCCCATATGAAGTATTTCTACAGGCACATTCAAAATGTTAATCCCCTTTTTTATATGCATTTTTCATGACTCCTAAGACATTTACCAGGTTGGGAAATCTGCAAAAACTGGTCCCTTGACAAAGTCATGGATGCTTTTTACCACAACAGGTTTGTTTTGTTTTCATGTGAGTCCAACGTACTTTCATAACATCTTTGACTATGGATGTCACAAATAGGATCAAATATTATTATCCTAACCTTACTACTGAAGGCAAGGGTCTCACAGTGACTCATAAAGGCTATCAAATTCTGAGTTAGTATTGCACCTTCATACCGAAGAGAGCAGTCTAGAATTTGCCCATGCTGAACATTTTTGTAGCATAAATTTCTTCTAATGAAACCAGTAATGAACAGTTTTGTTCTACAAATATAAAATAATACAATATGTATTGTTCATATAGGTATATATGTGAACATATCTATGATACAATATTTGATATTTGGGTCAATCATCTGAGGTCCTGAGCATTTCTGGAGTGTTTATAGAATCTTCACTGAAAGATAAAAGAATAGTCAGGAGGGATTTACTTTTACATGCTGAGTAGAGTGAAAGTGATTCAGACCTAGATTTTAATTTTGAAGCCGTCATTATTATTATGTGACCTTGAGAAAAGTTATTCAGTCTCTTTGAGCTTTTTCTGTTTCCTCATCAGTAAAATGCCAAACACTGTGACCTCATTGTATTTTTATGAGAACTGAGTGAGACATCTTTTGATTACTGTCATTTAATTAGATTACTCAATTAATTCTTTTCCCAACATCCTTCATAGCAGAGTTCACCTGCATATCCCGGCCATTTAAAATAAAAATACATACTCTCTTTTCTATTTCAAGTGCCAATCATCCATATGAGTACATATGGGTATTTTAGGCACAGCAAAAAGAATGAAACTACAGCTTTTGTTCATGTCCTATACCACATTAGTAAAAGTGTCAGGAAACAGTACATATGATTAATGCTGCTGAAATGGGCAGGAAATTATTCAGGTGGATTCAATCAACCCAGCCAAACATATAGGTAGCTTATTAAAATTTAGACAAAAGTCTACAGGCACTTAATACATAACGATGACTCTAGATCTAAATTAAGAGCGCTCCCCACCCCCATACACCCCAGCCCTTGCAACTCACTTCCTGGAAGCAGCCACTCTTCTTATAACTAGAGTTATTGACCTGCTTTTCAACTTTTTTTTCCCTCTCTGAAAGAAAGACACGTGACCTTTCCTAAACCCTAACCCAAACCCGCTGCTGAAACACTGTGCCATTGAGCTGGCCCTTGAGGCTGTCTCTTACCATAGCAAAGGCAACATGAAATTGATGTGCTGCTTATTTTCAACTACACCTTCAGACCTGTGCTCTCCTCGATGTGGATGAGAATTTTGAAGAAAAAGAGGCACAGTATAGATTTAATGGAAAAAGATAGTTATCCTGGAAAAAAAAACAAACAAACATAGTTTTCTGGATAAGGGTTCTTGCACTTAGCTCACTGGATGTGCCTTAGATATTTAAAGCAGTCATTTCAGATACACAAGGTAAAGTGCTTTTCAAAGTTAAAGGTCTTGTGTTTACTATTACTGCAGCAGGAGGCAAGGGCTTTTCCCTTCCTGCTCCTTAGATCACTTCACCTAGTCTCAGGAGAGACAGGCCTCCTCCACTGGCCAGCCCCCAGCCTGAAATTCCCTTAATCATCACTAAAGAGTTCACTCCTTTTAAAATCAGTCAAGAAAGACAGCTTCACATGGCAGTAAAAGTCCAGTTCTGTGATTTACCAGGAATAGGACCTTAATAATAATAAAATGACCTGTCTGTATAAAGTGCCTCCCATTCAAAGAACAACAAATACATTTGTGCTGTGTGGGTCATTTGAGAATGCAAGAAGAGTAATGATTTTTAAATAGAAAATTAAATACAAGACTAATGGTTACAGTGTTAATTGACACATCAGTTGTAGACTCTGAGTAACTGTGAGGGTTAGATATGATCAAGAGCTGTGGAAAGTCTAATAGATCAGGTTTTAGTTCTAGTTCTTGCATTCACAAACTAGGTGCTCTTGAGAAACTTATTCAACCTCCCAAGGTCTCCATTTTTCTCATCTGTAAAAGGAGGGTATCAGCTTGGATCAGCATATACTAAAGTGTGTTCCCGGGAGCATGCATTCTACAAATTTTGCCTCCCTACCCTTACTTCCACCCCCATAAACATAAACAATCTTTTGTGACATCCATTTGTTATACAAACTTATGTTGTAAACATCCAAAAGAGGTATTTATGTTCAACATTTTCTAAAATTATTTTCCTACAAAATCATTTTTTGAACCAGGAAGGCAACAAAGTATTTAGCTGGCAGCATACCTATATCTGTACTAGTGAGGCTTTTAAAATTTGTTTTATTATAGTATTATTTGGTTGCCAGATATACTGAAAACAGAAAATGGGCAGTTTCAGCCTACTGCATTAGTTATTTTCTCCTCAGTTAATAGCAATTTTGATTCCTCCAAGCTGCCACTTGGCTTTGGAAGGTCTTCCTGAGTCATTCACCAATTGTCTCAGTTAAAAATAGTCCCCTGTCATGTGGGAGCCATCATGACCAACAGCAAGCATGACCTTATTTAACATTACACACGCAGCCCATGAGCTTCTTTCTCTTAGATGTCTTTGAAAAGACCAGCAAAATCTAAAAATTAACCTGGGTAGTGCAGATATAAGCCATTTTCAAGTAAGGCAGGAAAAGACTTTTCAAAAACAAAAAACACTCCTGACATAAGACCCTTGAAAATGGTGGGGGGCGGGGCAGGGGTAAGGTTGTAGAGGGAATTTTTTCTTGTTAATTTGGTTTTCCTGTTTTGTTTCATTTTGTCCTTAAACACTGAAATAATTTGTGTAACAAAAAGCAAATGCCGTTCTTTGATAGAATGGTATGGTGGTGGTTTCTGAGGGATGAAGGAAGGGGGAGTGTACTCTGCTGGCATGCATCTCTAGATTCTTGCCGAAATTTTACCACTTGCTCATTGTGGCTATGACCCAATCACCTGCCTTAGTGTGTATGTGTGAGTGTGAGTGTATTTTAATGATTTTTAAATTTTAAAGTATTAAAGTACTACAAACTCAACTCACAAACTTCAGGAAAAAGAGGAAAGACTCACTCTTAATACCACTATCTAAACACAGGAATTATGTTTGTGCATGTCCCTCAAGTCTTTTAAAATATGCTTATTATTTACATGGTTGTAATTCTAATGCATGTGAAATTTTCCATTTAACATTCCACTTACATTATATCTTATTTCATTTACGTTATGTCATACGCTTTTTCCTAAGATGGCACCCAAACCTCACAGCTATCATTTTATAAGGGCTATCTAAAATGGCATCAATTTACATTCTTGGCTATTCCTTTATTGTGGGACTTTTCATCTGCATCAAGGTTATAAATTACTATGCAATTAACATATTTGTGCGGTTGCCTTTTGTATATTTTTGGGTAATTTTTAGGATATATTTATGGGCATGAAATCACTGGGTCAAATGAAATGAACTATTTAGGGGTCTTGGTATAAAATACCAAATTGCCTTCCAAATTAGTTGGGTTATTTTAATTTTGCCACAGTGTTAATAGCCTTAGTTGTTAATGTTTAATTTTTTTTTTACTAACTTGAAAGCATCTTTGTTTTTACTTGCATTTCTTTGATTATTAACATGGGTATATTAACATTGAAAAGCAGGTCCTCACCCTATCACTGTAAAAATGGAGTTCCCTGGTAATGCTTGCCTTCTCCTTAACAGTATTTTAATAATTTGCAAGTCAGTAAACCCAGTGCTCTGACCCTCAGGCCAAAGTCAGGCCTCAAGTTACAGGGCAATCAATCAAGAGAAGCTCTAAGCTAGGCTTCCAGCCCTGCCCCCTGCCAGAACAGACTAAGAAATTGTTCTTTTCAAAGATTGCCCTGGGTTTGCAGCAAGGCACTATGCAGCTAATATTTTCCTAAAGTTTGATGTTTTTCTCTGCTCTTATTATGACATTTTAGTTCTATGTACTAAATACTCATGAAAATCTATTTTGGGCCAAATAGTGTGATAGGCCCTGTAGAGTAAAAAATGAATAAGACCTAGTCTTCCTCAACAAGATTAAAATCTAGTACAGTGGTTCTCAAATGTGGCTAAAAACAGAATCATCTGGGGGAACGTTCAAAAAAGTACAGTTTCCTGCATTCATTTCAGACCTGCCAAATCAGAAGCTTCAGTCTTCTGTATTTCTAACAAGCCACACTGAGGTACAGAGAGGCTCAGGATCCAATGACCTAGAGTCTGCTTCTTGGTATTGTTTTCCAGATAGCAATTCTAAAGCAAAAATATAAGCAGGCAACTATCTGTGGGAGGATGTGTGAAGGGAAGAAGGGAAAAATCAGCTTAATCCTGGAGGAATGATTGATCCTAACAGAATAAAGAGCAATTGCACAATGCCTATTAACTGTTTCCTTTGGAAAAGACCCTTTCAAACCAAAGGTAATAATTATTATTCTGTTGTAATAGAAAGAGTCCTAGACCTACCTTTTGCCTGGGCAGTTGAAATTATGTCTTTATTTTCTTTCCTCCATTGATAATCCAGCCTCCTTGCCACTAGAGTAATCCTCCAAAGCACAGATGGGATCCCCATTGCTAACCCAATAAACCTTCACCTTCTTAACCTGACAATCTAGGTTCTTCATTAGCTCTTCCCAAACTACCTGTCTTTCTTACAAGGATAAACTCAGTTGTACTATTATTGGATAAGTTTTGCTTAGAGGGCAACCTGTGAGCCCTCCATTTCAGCCCCTCAGTCTAAGTCTCAATTTCTGAAGATGCTCAGCACCCTCTCATCCCTCTGCACACCATTGATAAGGCCATCCTTGTCACCTTGAACGCCCTCTTCCCATATCTAGTCCAGCTCATATCTCACCTCCTTCCAAAGCTCTACATCATCCCACCAAGTACCTCTATACAAGTCCCTCCTTTTATTTTATCCACCATTGTTAGCTACCATTTGTTGAGTATTTATTCTGTTATGCACTCTACTAAAAGTTTTACACATACTAGTTCACAAACTTACCATGAGTTAGGTATGCCCATTTTTCAGATAAGGGAAAATAAAATCCAGAGACATTAAATGCAGTATATAAGTTTAACCTGCTACTAAATGACAGCATAGACTCAAACCCAAATCTAACAACAAAGCCTACACTATAATAATATTCCCTCTCTGCCATCCCAATCTCCTAGGACCTCCCATTGCTCTTTATTTATTTGAGAAGCATCACATCCACCTTATGTTAGAGTTAAGTTTAAATGAATTGGGCTCCATTTATGCATAGCAGTCTCTCAAGGGCAGGGAACTGAACAGGTGGTTAATGCTTAATATTTTCTAGAATGCTTATGTTTTGCATTTCAAGAAGTTCTTGGTGAATATATGCAAAATGAATATAGTCATACTTCCACCAATAAAATTTTGCTGTGAAATACACAAATTAACTACTTTTCTCTCAAATCCATTATTATTTGTCTTGTTTATTACACTGACTCAGGGATTCTTAATATATTTGTCCTTAAAATACAACAAAGCCAAAAGGCACAGTCTGAGACCAGAGTCAGTTTATAAGCAGTTATTACTCTTATCCTTCAACACCAGCATTATAAAAGGTCCCACTGGATTAGCACCTAAAATGTCATGCATTTAAATCACTGTAATATTTTTTCAAAGAGGCCTTGGCTATGATACCACATATATTCTGATTAATAAATAGAAAAAAAATAAAACGCTTATGTGAATAGTATCTACTATGAAATCTGAAATGAAATTTAACAAAATAAATTCTGTTCTCTCTTCCACAATTGAGGGCCCATATCGCATCTTCCATGGGTCTAATGTGCCGATGAAGGTGCAAGATTATAGAATCCCAGGGCATTACAGTCATCTCACTGTCAAAGTGACCACTTACTCTATGTTTTCCCAAACACAATGGTTTGAAATGCTTTCAAATTGTGTAAACTGTGTTTCTGAACCTTAAATGTTTCTTTGCCATTATAAGAAAATGTACAAAAGGGTCTGCTTATAAAAAAGAGAAAGAGAGAGAGAGAATGAGAGAGAGAGCCAACTCTCAAAGGCCAAGAGAATGCCATCAAGACAAGGGTTTCTTACAAAGGGAATAGTGTTGAGGCCAAGAATGGGTTAACCCTGAGTCACTCTCCTCCCACCTCTTCTTCTTTCAGCCTGGCAGATACCATACAGCTGTTGAAAAGTATCTGTCAACAAAACTATTACTGTCTTTCCTGGGATCAACACTATGTCCTGGACCCTCAAGGTCAGCAGAGCCGCCTTACGAACAAGGGCGGGCGAAAAGCAGAACGCTCACAAGACCAGTGAAACCCAAGCAATGCTGGCAGGTGGAGGGCCTTCCCCAAATGCTGCAAATTCTAAAGGAAAAGGTAGGGCTCAAAGGGCAGAGGCTACCCAATAAAAGAAAGACATATTTCCCCACCCTAAAAACTCTTTTCGGGAACAGCCCAAGTTCTTGGTTACCTTTTTTCCCTTCTCCCTTCTTGCTCCAGCTATTGCTTCCATTTACAGTTAAGAAAAAGAGTTGTTGCTAGAAATAAATAACTAGAATAGTACAGTAAAAATATTGGCTAGTGGTTAAAAGGCAGTTACTCTGTGTTCTGTGCCATGTTAAGCCCTTCCTATAAATCATCTTCACGCACACACAAAACCACGCACACAGACAAATGACAACAGCAAAAAATAAACCCATTGAGGTAGATTCGGTATTTTTACAGATGAGAAAACCAGTTTGAAGAGTTTAAGTAACTTGCCTGGGGTTTCTGAATTAATAGATTGTGGAGTTAGAATTTGGTTCAGTTCGCACAAAGAATTGATCCAAAGTCCATGCATTTAATAAGTATATTTCTGCCTTTCCTTAATTCTCTTCCACTGTGGGAGCAGGAGATGTCCCAGAGAGGGTTTAACATAGGAAACCCCAACCTCCCAGAATTTCTTGGGTAGCAATTTATGCCACCAGAAAGCTGTGATCCAGAGAGGACTCTCAAAGTCATAACATAACTACTGGTAAGATATAAATCATACAATCTTTCTAAAAGGCAATGTCCCAATAGTCATCAAAAATCCTGAATAATGTGATACCCCTTGACTCAGCAATTTATCTAAATAAAGTGAGAATATTCACAAAAGTTTAGGTAGAGTCATCCATTGATGCTGTTTATATTAAAAATCAAGGGGGAAAATCCCACTGTTAAAAATCAAGGTACTGGCAAGGCATGGTGTATCACATCTGTAATCCCAGTACTTTGGGAAGCCAAGGCAGTCAGATTGTTTGAGCTCAGGAGTTTGAGACCAGCCTGGGCAACATAGTGAAACCCCATCTCTACAAAACATTCAAAAATTAGCCCGGTGTTGTGGCATGTGACTGTGGTCCCAGCTACTTGGGAGGCTGAGGTAGGAGGATCGCTGGAGCCCAGGAGTTTAAGGCTGCAGTGAGCTTTGATCGCACTAATGCACTCCAGCCTGGGTGACAGAGTGAGACCCTGTCTGAAAAAAAAAAGAAAAAAATTAGGGTACTAGTTAAAGAATACATTGAAATACAATACTGTAAACTCATTTAAAAAAAAAGTTCTGGAAAAAAATAGATTGGCATGGAAATACATTTATAATAGATTGTGGTGATTAAAATAATTTATAAACAGCATATAAGTATGATTCTATTTAAATGTGTATGTGTATATATAATGAAGAATATATATATGCATATTCTAAACAGCATAAGTATAATTCTACCTTTAAATAGAATCATACTTATATACTGTTTAGAATGTATATGCTACATTATACACTAAGCCAACAACAAATATGGGTGGGTCCAGAGTTTATTATTATAGAATCAGAAAATCCCAGTTTTGGAAGATCTCTTAGACGTGTTTTAGTCCAGGAGTGCCCATCCCAGCATCCGTGACAGATAATACCCAGCATCTGACCAAGGGCTTCTACTGTCACAGAACTTATTAACACCTCCTTTGCCCAGTTCCAATGAATGATTATACAGCACATGTGGTTTACAAAATCTGTCTGTGCAGAACAGACCTACGTCAACATGCTTCAGTAGAAAAAGGAGGTGGCAAATGTGATCCTTAGAAATGATTAGCTGCTAAAAAGCCATTTTCTTCCATAACTTTCTCTTCACAGAAAAAATGTGGTATAAATCCAACTAAGTAAAGCTAATAAAACAATTTGAGCTTCTTCAGTCACCAGCAATAACAGTTCCAACATTTATAACCACGTTTGAATCTGTAACTGTTCTGATAACTGCCTCCAAAAGTCTTTATTTGTTTACATTAGTGATACTTCTGGAAAATTCTTCCAATAAAAACCAGGCCCCAACAAGAGAAAAAAAGGGCAAAAATAAGAAGCTTGCATTATTGAAAACCAAGAGCTGAACTAGTTCTTCAGGGTATGTGAGAATGTTCTTGAATTTTTAAATTTGTGTTCTTGCTTTATATTCAATGTATATCACCAAGCTCTGCAGCACAGCTGTAGCCAAAGTTCAACAGATTGTTCTGAAACTGGACATCTATGTCATAACAGAGAATTGTTTAATTTGGAGTGGCAAGGTAGGCATAGAATGACTGTGTGTTGTGGGAGGGAAGGTGGCATTGGCTCATGTAATTCATTCATTCATCCATTCATTCATCCATCTTTTTATGTGCCAGGCATTCATCTAGTCACTAAGAAATAAGGCAGGTGACCAACATTTTCTCACTTTGGGCAGTTTCCAATCTAATATAAGTGCTATGATGGCTAATCCCTGAAGGATGGAATGATAACATCCAGGAAAAGAGAAGCAAGTGTAGTATTTCAGGAAGAGGAAAACGTATCATCAAAGATCAGTAAACCAAAGTAATCATTGAATAGCCAGAAGAAATTTGGTGTTGCTGTGGAGAGAGAAGGTACCAGGTAAGCAAAGATCAGACCATGAATATTCTTGTAGGCCCAGGTCAAAGTCTAAATTTATGCTCAGGTTAATGGGAAGTCACTGGTGAAACAGTGTAGCATAGTGAGAGTCACAATTTTGGAATCAATTCCTGAGTTTGAAAACAATCTCTGCCCTTACTATCATCTTAAACCATATGAAATTGATAATATTTGGCCACTTCTTACTTACAAAAATGGCAATATTATAGTTCAAACAAATAAAAAAAAAAAGAAGAAGAATCAATTCCCATCTATGAAGTATTCAACTGAAGCCTGCTGAGGTCTCATTCATTACAGCAAGGAGTGGGAGAGCCCATCAGAAGTCCAGCCAAAAGGGCCAGGCAGGTCTGCTGACTCCTCTCAGAAAATGACACCCGCCTTTGCTGGTGGCACAGGGAGGCTATGCTTATGCCCGGGGAAGGCACTGATCTCAGCCTTCACTCAGTATCCTCGGAGCCCACCTTCCCTGCAGTGCCTGTGCCTGCTTCTCCTGTCCCTGTTTTGGGTCAGAAAATGTATAACTCTGCAGAGCCTGCTGCTTGTGTCATCCCCCAGCTATCTGATCCTGCTGGAGGAATTCCTGGCAAACAAGGCCCCATGCACACACAGGCCTCTATTTTTCTTTCTCTTGCTCATTCACTTTTTTTTTGGCTCAGGAATCTGCCTTCTCTGGTAAGGCAGGGATGAGCTTTCTGAATTGTGTTTATTTGCTGGCGCTCTGGTGTGAAAGCACTCCCCGTCAACTGCATATTAATCTTGTCATCAGTCTGTATCTATTTTCCTCTGCCTCCCTCCATTGGCCTAATTTATGACTTTCCCTTCCCTTACTTTCTATTGTCACAATGACAAGGAGAGCTCTGTTACGGGTGCTCAGGCCTAGGACAGCCACAAGACCTGTCCTAATAAGATGAGAGGCAGAGTGATGCAAAATCCTGCAATTTGTGTTGCTGGGCTGAATTTAGACCAGGCCTTCTCTAGTTGATTGTGTGCCACTGAGCCAAGTATTTATTGATGTCCCATAACATGCTACACACTTTGTTTAGTGCTATCAGCAAATAAAGAACTAGGAAATCTGGCCCCATCTTCTAGTGGAGAAGGCATCTGGAACAACACAAACAACACAATCAGAATGTGTATTTTAATTGCAGAACCACAGACATTAACACCACAGACTTGAGTTGTTTCAACAAAATGGGTCTAAGTTCCAGTTCTAACACTTTCCATGTGTGTGACTATTTTTGTGTCCATTTGTGATAAACGTGTTAATTATCCTTCTTTAAACCTCAGTTTCCCCATCTCCAAAATCCATGAAATAATATCGATGCCATAGAGCAGTTATGAGAATTACATGACAGAATGTAGTCTTAGCTCTTGTTTTAACGTGTTGCAAATACTAAGCACCCAATATATGTGATAATTATTATTTAAAAAGAAGAATGAGAAAAAAAGAGAAAGGGAAAGAATTACTGCTATAATTAGGAAATAGTTAATGTTTTTGAAGCCCTGCCAATTAACCGTGAGCCTTATGTTAATATGGAGTTTTTTATATAATTAGAACCTTAACAACAAACTGTGTGTTTGAAATCTTGACAAAATCTCAAGTTGGGCAGCGTCATCCTGTCACTGCCCCTGGAATTAGACTGGGGCTCAGACATTTAGTGTGCCTAAATCCTTGAGTGCTGTCTTCAAGGACTATGTATCTTGAACTGGGACTTCTTTATGACTCGTGGCTAAAATGAGTCCTCATGAGCTAAGTCAGATTCCATGTCCAAATCAGTGCTGCTCTTAGTATCAAGGTCAACTCGTGGCTATTTTTCTAGTCATCTTCTGTGACAAAGGTCATAGTCACTGTGACAGTTAATACTGAGTGCCAACTTGATTGGATTGAAGGATACAAAGTATCGATCCTGGGTGTGTCTGTGAGGGTGTTGCCAAAGGAGATTAACATTTGAGTCAGTGGACTGGGGAAGACAGACCCACCCTTAATATGGTGGGCACAATCTAATCAGCTGCCAGCGAATATAAAGTATGCAGAAAACCGTGAAAAGGCCAGACTGACCTAGCCTTCCAGCCTACATCTTGCTCCCATGCTGGATGCTTCCTGCCCTCAAACAGCAGACTCCAAGTTCCTCAGTTTTGAGACTCAGACTGGCTCTCCTTGCTCCTCAAGCTTGCAGACAGCCTATTGTGGGACCCTGTGATCATGTAAGTTCATACTTATTAAACTCATATATATATATATATATAAAGAATATGTGTATATATGTATAAAGAATATATATATATATATCCTTTCAGTTCTGCTCCTCTAGGGAACTCTGACTAATACAGCCCTGAATTAGACTAGCCCAACATGCTGTGAGGACTTAGCTTGGATTGCAGAAAAAGGGGACCCCAGTGAGTTCCAGAAGAAAGCTTCGGCACACAATATCTCCCTTGATGGGCCCTAAGCCCGTTTCCAAAGACCTGGTGTCCCATTCCTCCCAAGTGGCAATTTCAAACTGAGGTGTATGATTTCTCTGTGGAATCACCCTTTGTCTGAATGTTTTTGTGAAATTCTGAGAGACCATAGGAATTTGGATAGTCTCTGGATTCTGATAGTCTTTAATTTAAAATTTAAAAGCAATCCCGAAACTCACTCTGACACACTCATGTACGAGGAGGACAGAGGGAATGAGACAGACGGCTAAGCTATGCAAAGCTTGCCTATCTCTCTGGCCTTTCACAGAATATCCCTCTTGCTTTTCACATGTTCCACCCCGACCTGGCTGATGCTAACTCATCCTTCAGGTCACAGCACAGAAGTATTTTGGTTGAGGAAGCCTTTGCTGACCCTTCATACCTGCCCACCTGAGTGCACTCCACTTTCCCCCACATCAGTGCATTTATCGCACTACATCTGAATTCCTTGTTTGTTTTCCCCGCCATGCTGTAAACTCAGTGATAGCCAGGACCCTGCTTGTCATTCATAGGCATTATTTGCTGCTGCTCCTTAGTGTGGAGCCTGGCATTAGATGTATATATATTGAAGAAAGGAAGAAGGTGGGGAAAGGAGGCAGCATTATTGGATACATAGTGATCAGGCCTCAATGAGAGCAAAGCATCAACTTCTTCAATTCTGGGCCTGTGATGCTGACACCAGAGGATGGTCCCTACATGTCAGAAAAGCACCAGAATCAAAGGGTCTGAGCATGGACTTCCCTGGACATGATTGAAGTGAGGAACTATTGCAGTTTGTTTGTCTGCATATTGTACCTTTAGCACTAATCTCAGGTTGCTGCTAACTTGTATGCGAGTTTTTCTGTCATCCTGAGAAGTCTCATTCTGATTTCTAGTTGAAATTTTGAAAAGTATAATTATTTTTCAGTCCACTTTCCGCTCATGGCTAGGACTCACTTTTGACAAAGACAATTAAGAGGTGAGATATATGATTTTCTGGATGTTGATGGAAAAAAGCATTTGAGAAATAAGCAACACCCAAATTCAAAAGTAAATCGCTGTTCAAAAAAGATCTTTTAGTAACAGATCTGTCTCTCTCTCTGTGTGTCTCTCTCATATGCACAAAAACAACACACACACACAGAGTGGCAAATTAGAAGCTGAAAGACATCACAGAAAAAGTAGACAGACATCTAGATCCAAACTTACTAATTTTATGCCCCTAAGCAAGTGATTTGATCATGCTGTTTCTCAATCCCATCACCTATAAAATTAGGATAATCATGCCTATCTGATAGGATCGTTAAGAAGATTAAAAATAATATCTGTAAAGCACCTCACACACAGTAGGCACTCAATAAAAGGCAATGATGATGAGGAGGATGTCTGACACTCACAGGGAAGAAGCAGAAGGAACACTGAGTAACCTGGCAAAACAAACCCATTACAGCCTACAGGGAAATCCCAGGCTGGGACATGAGGTAAGTGAAAGCTCTGGATTCCTGAGACGGTAACGTGCAAACACCATGGAGACATCTGATTACATGACTTAGCACTGATTTGTGGGACTTGCAGACTGTCCAGAACTCGGGGGCCTTCTCTAGTCCTGGTCATAGCTGGCTGCGAGTGTTGGCGGAAGCCTCTGCACAGTGACACTTCAGAAGGCAAACTGGCCCTGGCTACTTCTTTGTAAGTAGTAATTCAGACATTCCCAAGGGGTTCGCAGCTCCAACCAAATACTTTAGTATACTCCATTTTGTCCATTTGTGTTTATAAAACTGGTGGCTTCCTAGCTGAGGATGTAGCAACACTTTCTCCTTCAAACCATCAACCCTGTAAGTTGTTGGCCTGCAGAAGTCCTAACCCACAAAGACAGACAGTCTCTGCCCTTTTCCTCCCCTCAGCTGAGATCCCTAGAGTCCTCAGATAGGATCATTCTATGTCTGAGATCTTCTCTCTCAGTTTCTTGTGACCTCCAGGAGTAACTCAGGCCCAGCTAATTTTCCTCTATCCTACTGCATATTTTACCTATATAAATATTGACAGAATTGAAATCAGAGTATATGTACAAATTTCCATCCTGCTTTTTTCATTTAACATGTTAGTGACCATCTTGCATCTTTTAAAACTTTTGGTACGTGTTATTTTTAGGACAGCATAATATCTCATCACACGAAGGATCAAAATCTACTCAACGTTTCTCTCCTATTGAATATCTAGGTTGCCACTCCTCCTCCTTTTCTCGCTAATATATTTAACAAAGTTTCTGCAGGGTCATGAAATACATGCAGATGTGTAAGCACCGAACGGGAGAGGATTTCTTTAAGGAAGATAATGGAAAGTATTGAGTGCCCTGATTTCACCGCCCTGTTATAAGAACTGGGGGTCATTTCATGAAGTAAAAGGACTCAAGTAATTAAAATAATTAAATAAGTCAAGTTAGTGTGAGTCAGTTGGTGTGATTTGCTCTCACCAGGGAAGTTCAAGTCAAGCACTGTACTAGAGTTTAAAAACAACGGAGTCATTTAAAGACCATTCCTTGCATTCATCTCAGGTCAACAGAGGATAAAGATCAGAGTAATCAGGGCTGAGGTTTCAGAACATGATGTGATTACGATGGTGTTCACCCTGTCATGTAGAGCCTTCCCAGCTGGCATTGGGTGTTACGAAATTCCCTTCCTCGGGCATGTGGAACCTTCACCACATGAGAGATTGGTGGGGACATCCCTAAGGCCTGACCTGTTACTGTGTTCTCTTAAAAGCATCATGGAGTTCAATGATCTCTTTTCCATCGAGAGAAGGAAAGCCTTTCCCCGCTGTGCCCCTGCCAAGGGCCACAAGGGACTTGATGGGGTAAAACACAAGGTCTGGTGTACGGTTTAGAAGAGGCTTGTGCCAAATTCCTTAAAACAAATTTGGAGTGATTCTAGCCCAGAACTCTCCTGCCAGGAGTAAAGGGAGACAATAAAAAAATCAAGTCTGCTAATCCTACCTAGAACTGCCCAAGACTACTTTGGGCTGGGGACACACATGCTCAGCCTTCAGAGATGCATATGGGTGCATTTTGTTAATCCCCATCACTGCGTGTCAGGGATAACTGATCTATGACTAAAAATAGTGTGAGGACAGCAATACCAACCATTTGGGGCTGAACTGAGGACACAGTGGAAAACTTGACAGCAACACAGTAGAATCTTCCTGGCCCCAGGCCACAGGCTCAAGGGCAAGAGTCCGGGTTCATCTGCTGGAGAGCGTGATTAACAGGCTCACCTTACAAGGGCAGGCTGATCTTCTAACACTACCGGGCACCTCTGAGTGTAGGGTAAAGTGATAGGAACTGGGCATGGCATGGTGTAAGACATAGTTCTCTGGAAAAATCCTACAACTGAGTGACACTTAAGAAGGATACAGAAAATAAAATAAAAATGATTCTGCTTCATTTCACTGATTTCAGTGTGAAACTTTGTCTCCACCACCTACGTGAACAGGGAAAGAAATCCAGACTGTAAGAGCAGAGGTCCATGCCCATTCTTGGCCCTGGTATAATTCTTTGGGTGGGAGGGAGGGACCTTGGTCAGAAAGAAGCCTCAAGGTCACATTTGCCAATCTGTTCAGATTAGTTACGCGTACTTAGTGCCAAAATTTACTGGCAATGTTTTCTGTATAATTATAGCATCATTGAATCTCAGTGTTTTTCCACTACATAATTATGACATGTCTATTGATATAGGTTGGATGTTGTCCCTCCAAGTCTCAAGATGAGACATAATCCCCAGTGTTGGAGGTAAGGCCTGATAGGAGGTGTTTGGATCATGGTGTGGATCCCTCATGAATGGTTTAGTGCCATCCCCTTGGTGCTGCCCTTGTGATAGTGAGTGAGTTCTCGAGAGATCTAATTGTTTAAAAGTATGTGGTACCTCCTCTCCCACTCTCTATTGTCCCTGCTTCTGCCGTGTGAGATGCCTGCTGCCTCTTTGCCTTCCACCATGATTGTTAAGCTTCCAAGGCCTCCTCAGAATCTGAGCAGGTGCGAGCACCATGCTTCCTATAAAGCCTGCAGAACCATGAACCAATTAAACCTTTTTTCTTTATAAATTACCAAGTCTCAGGTGTTTCTTTATAGTAACGCAAGAACATCCTCACACACCTACTATGTGCCAGTTATGGTGCAAAGAACATTTTTAAGATTGCCTTAAACCCTTGTTACAGTGATCTTACCCAAACTGTATTTAATAAAAGAATAGTTCTTAGGAAAACTGCTAGGTATTCTCAAGAAAGAGCCTCATGCCATATTCCCTCAGAATGGCAATTGGTGGCAATAATACAAAGTCACATCGAGACATCCCTTATCCTCCTCAGAGTTCCAGACATAATTGATAGTGACAAAGACACTCATTTTACTTCCCAGAATATAAAATCCTAAATGCTGTTGAACAAGGCATTCAATGGAGCTTTTACCTTCCTTGATGGCCTCAGGCCGCAGGCCTCGTAGAGTTACATAATAGCTTACTTAAACAAGTTCAAATTCAATTAAATAAAAAAAGTCATATTTCAATCATCAGTCAAACATTAGTGATTAATTATAACAAAGAGTATAGCTCCATTTTTTTATTCGACGATTGACAGCTTTTAAGCTTTTAAGCATCACCCCTGGTGTCTATTATCTGGGCAAGCAGAAAAAAAAGCTTGGGTGCTTCCTCCTTTCAGCACCCATGGGAGGTTCAAACTAGACAAGCCCCTACTTGAATGCAGGGACCCTTCTCTGGGCCCCACCCCATCACCCACCCGTTTTACCTATGAGAGTTTACCTACAAAGGCACTTAACACAGCTCCTAGCCCACAGTACAGTAAGTGGTATATAGGCGTCAGTCGCCGTGATTATTGTGATTGCTGTCGTTGTTGATGGTTTTATTGTGAGAGAAAAGGACTGGCTATCCCCTGACTTGTGGCTTTCACTTCAACTTTGTGCCATTCCTGGAAAGCATACAACATGATTTACTTTCCCAACTTCTGCTTTTCCCTGAAGATTAATCCCTTATATTAGATATGGCTGGTTATTCAATCTTCTAGTGGACAATAAATTCTTAAATCTCTTGGGGGAAAAGGCCTAACTTCACATCAGCCTCTCTGTGAAGCTTTTCCTAACTTTTCCTTGTGGAGTTCATCACAAGCACCTCCTTCAATATGGTCCCATGACCCTGCTCTATCAGAACATTTGCCACTCTGTGCTGGAGTCTTTATGTACTGGTCTCTTGTCCCCACCAACCTGTGAGCTCCTTAGGGAAGGAACTATGCTGGCTTATCTCTGAATGCTTTTCCATTTTTTTCACTGTGGAGAAAAGCAAAGGGAACAAAGCAAAAATGTCACTTTTATGCATGCTGAAATTGAAAGTTTTGAGATCTCTCACTCTCCTCTGTGTGTGTGTGTGTGTGTGTGTGTCTGTGTGTGTGTGTGTGTGTATTTCCTGATGAAAATATTCATCGAGCAATTAAATCAGGCTGGGGTTTGGAAACAGGTCAGGGCTAGAGATAACAATTTAAGGGTCATTTTTACACATTGCTTTTAGAAATGTTAGGAGTAGAAAACGTCACCGGTGATGAGATTTTAGAGAGAGAAGAGGAGGAGGAGAGGGTAAGAAAAGAAACCTAAGGAATCTGGAGTTTCCAAATGTTTGCCCCTTATCTCTACAGATAGAGAAAATTGCTCCTTCTTTGAATCTCTAACAGATTCAAGCCCTCTCTAAGCTCTGGGGCCAATTTTGACCTTAGGGAAATTTAAGAAACTCTGAATCCTTTCTAACCATTCATTCATCTCTGCAGCTAATCCCGGATATGAACCAGTCCTGGGAAGTGTGTCTCTCTTGCCTTGTTCTCCAGGGTCTCATTATGTATGATAATCTCTCTAGAATCTTAATTCGACTTTGTCTTGGCCATGAGGTGCAAGCTAGTCATGATAAGTGTGCAGGGTTGAGATAAGAGTGATTAAATGGGACCGGGGTGGACTGGTGATCCAAAACAAAAATAAAATATGAACAGGATGCCAAAGCTTCATACATTAATCAAAAACAAAGGAATGAGTATGGAAAGCAAAGGCTAATATTAGTTCCTGAGCTGTCACAACAAAAGGAACAGAGCACATATATAGCACGTGTGGGAGCTCCTAAAGTCAAGAGCCAGAAGAATTTGCCAGTATCAATACAACGTGAGAAACAAGGCACTCATATACCCTGCTAGAGGAAATGGTATCAACCATCTTGGATAGAAATAGGAAATAAATTGGGAGATATATTCTATATATTTTTTTAAATATATATATATATGTTTTAAATATATATATATATATATTTTAAAACATATATATATTTTTAATTATATATCAGAGAGAGATGGGTTCTGGCTCTGTCACCCAGGCTGGAGTGCAGTGGCATAATCTCGGCTCACTGCAGCCTTCACCTCCCGGGCTCATTCTCCTGCCTCAGCCTCCTGAGTAGCTGGGATTACAGGTACCACCACACCTGGCTGATTTTTGTATTTTTTTTTAATTATACTTTAAGTTTTAGGGTACATGTGCACATTGTGCAGGTTAGTTACATATGTATACATGTGCCATGCTGGTGCGCTGCACCCACTACCTTGTCATCTAGCATTAGGTATATCTCCCAATGCTATCCCTCCCCCCTCCCCCCACCCCAAAACAGTCCCCAGAGTGTGATATTCCCCTTCTTGTGTCCATGTGATCTCATTGTTCAATTCCCACCTATGAGTGAGAATATGCGGTGTTTGGTTTTTTGTTCTTGCGATAGTTTACTGAGAATGATGATTTCCAATTTCATCCATGTCCCCACAAAGGACATGAACTCATCATTTTTTATGGCTGCATAGTATTCCATGGTGTATATGTGCCACATTTTCTTAATCCAGTCTATCATTGTTGGACATTTGGGTTGGTTCCAAGTCTTTGCTATTGTGAATAGTGCCGCAATAAACATACGTGTGCATGTGTCTTTATAGCAGCATGATTTATAGTCCTTTGGGTATATACCCAGTAATGGGATGACTGGGTCAAATGGTATTTCCAGTTCTAGATCCCTGAGGAATCGCCACACTGACTTCCACAATGGTTGAACTAGCTTACAGTCCCATCAACAGTGTAAAAGTGTTCCTATTTCTCCACATCCTCTCCAGCACCTGTTGTTTCCTGACTTTTTAATGATTGCCATTCTAACTGGTGTGAGATGATATCTCATTGTGGTTTTGATTTGCATTTCTCTGATGGCCAGTGATGATGAGCATTTCTTCATGTTTTTTTTGGCTGCATAAATGTCTTCTTTTGAGAAGTGTCTGTTCATGTCCTTCACCCACTTTTTGATGGGGTTGTTTTTTTCTTGTAAATTGGTTTGAGTTCATTGCAGATTCTGGATATTAGCCCTTTGTCAGATGAGTAGGTTGCAAAAATTTTCTCCCATTTTGTAGGTTGCCTGTTCATTCTGATGGTAGTTTCTTTTGCTGTGCAGAAGCTCTTTAGTTTAATTAGATCCCATTTGTCAATTTTGCCTTTTGTTGCCATTGCTTTTGGTGTTTTAGACATGAAGTCCTTGCCCATGCCTATGTCCTGAATGGTAATGCCTAGGTTTTCTTCTAGGGTTTTTATGGTTTTAGGTCTAACGTTTAAGTCTTTAATCCATCTTGAATTGATTTTTGTATAAGGTGTAAGGAAGGGATCCAGTTTCAGCTTTCTACTTGTGGCTAGCCAGTTTTCCCAGCACCATTTATTAAATAGGGAATCCTTTCCCCATGTCTTGTTTTTCTCAGGTTTGTCAAAGATCAGATAGTTGTAGATATGTGGCATTATTTCTGAGGGCTCTGTTCTGTTCCATTGATCTATATCTCTGTTTTGGTGCCAGTACCATGCTGTTTTGGTTACTGTAGCCTTGTAGTATAGTTTGAAGTCAAG
Organism: Homo sapiens; assembly: GCF_000001405.40. NCBI lineage: Eukaryota > Metazoa > Chordata > Mammalia > Primates > Hominidae > Homo > Homo sapiens. Next base: position 118,285,487 of record NC_000001.11, on the reverse strand, counting down.
TAGTGTGATGCCTCCAGCTTTGTTCTTTTGGCTTAGGATTGACTTGGCGATGCGGGCTCTTTTTTGGTTCCATATGAACTTTAAAGTAGTTTTTTCCAATTCTGTGAAGAAATGCCTTGGTAGCTTGCTGGGGATGGCATTGAATCTGTAAATTACCTTGGGCAGTATGGCCATTTTCACGATATTGATTCTTCCTACCCATGAGCATGGAATGTTCTTCCATTTGTTTGTATCCTCTTTTTTATTTCCTTGAGCAGTGGTTTGTAGTTCTCCTTGAAGAGGTCCTTCACATCCCTTGTAAGTTGGATTCCTAGGTATTTTATTCTCTTTGAAGCAATTGTGAATGGGAGTTCACTCATGATTTGGCTCTCTGTTTGTTGTTGGTGTATAAGAATGCTTGTGATTTTTGTACATTGATTTTGTATCCTGAGACTTTGCTGAAGTTGTTTATCAGCTTAAGGAGATTTTGGGCTGAGACGATGGGGTTTTCTAGATATACAATCATGTCATCTGCAAACAGGGACAATTTGACTTCCTCTTTTCCTAATTGAATACCTTTTATTTGCTTCTCGTGCCTAATTGCCCTGGCCAGAACTTCCAACACTATGTTGAATAGGAGTGGTGAGAGAGGGCATCCCTGTCTTGTGCCAGTTTTCAAAGGGAATGCTTCCAGTTTTTGCCCATTCAGTATGATATTGGCTGTGGGTTTGTCATAGATAGCTCTTATTATTTTGAAATACGTCCCATCAATACCTGATTTATTGAGAGTTTTTAGCATGAAGGGTTGTTGAATTTTGTCAAAGGCTTTTTCTGCATCTATTGAGATAATAATGTGGTTTTTGTCTTTGGCTCTGTTTATATGCTGGATTACATTTATTGATTTGCGTATATTGAACCAGCCTTGCATCCCAGGGATGAAGCCCACTTGATCATGGTGGATAAGCTTTTTGATGTGCTGCTGGATTCGTTTTGCCAGTATTTTATTGAGGATTTTTTCATCAATGTTCATCAAGGATATTGGTCTAAAATTCTCTTTTTTTTGTTGTGTCTCTGCGTGGCTTTGGTATCAGAATGATGCTGGCCTCATAAAAAGAGTTAGGGAGGGTTCCCTCTTTTTCTATTGATTGGAATAGTTTCACAAGGAATGGTACCAGTTCCTCCTTGTAGCTCTGGTAGAATTCGGCTGTGAATCCATCTGGTCCTGGACTCTTTTTGGTTGGTAAGCTATTGATTATTGCCACAATTTCAGATCCTGTTATTGGTCTATTCAGAGATTCAACTTCTTCCTGGTTTAGTCTTGGGAGAGTGTATGTGTCGAGGAATTTATCCATTTCTTCTAGATTTTCTAGTTTATTTGTGTAGAGGTGTTTGTAGTATTCTCTGATGGTAGTTTGTATTTCTGTGGGATCGGTGGTGATATCCCCTTTATCATTTTTTATTGTGTCTGTTTGATTCTTCTCTCTTTTTTTCCTTTATTAGTCTTGCTAGCGGTCTATCAATTTTGTTGATCCTTTCAAAAAACCAGCTCCTGGATTCATTAATTTTTTGAAGGGTTTTTTGTGTCTCTATTTCCTTCAGTTCTGCTCTGATTTTAGTTATTTCTTGCCTTCTGCTAGCTTTTGAATGTGTTTGCTCTTGCTTTTCTAGTTCTTTTAATTGTGATGTTAGGGTGTCAATTTTGGATCTTTCCTGCTTTCTCTTGTGGGCATTTAGTGCTATAAATTTCCCTCTACACACTGCTTTGAATGCGTCCCAGAGATTCTGGTATGTTGTGTCTTTGTTCTCGTTGGTTTCAATGAACATCTTTATTTCTGCCTTCATTTCATTATGTACCCAGTAGTCATTCAGGAGCAGGTTGCTCAGTTTCCATGTAGTTGAGTGGTTTTGAGTGAGATTCTTAATCCTGAGTTCTAGTTTGATTGCACTGTGGTCTGAGAGATAGTTTGTTATAATTTCTGTTCTTTTACATTTGTTGAGGAGAGCTTTACTTCCAAGTATGTGGTCAATTTTGGAATAGGTGTGGTGTGGTGCTGAAAAAAATGTATATTCTGTTGATTTGGGGTGGAGAGTTCTGTAGATGTCTATTAGGTCCACTTGGTGCAGAGCTGAGTTCAATTCCTGGGTATCCTTGTTGACTTTCTGTCTCGTTGATCTGTCTAATGTGGACAGTGGGGTGTTAAAGTCTCCCATTATTAATGTGTGGGAGTCTAAGTCTCTTTGTAGGTCACTCAGGACTTGCCTTATGAATCTGGGTGCTCCTGTATTGGGTGCATATATATTTAGGATAGTTAGCTCTTCTTGTTGAATTGATCCCTTTACCATTATGTAATGGCCTTCTTTGTCTCTTTTGATCTTTGTTGGTTTAAAGTCTGTTTTATCAGAGACTAGGATTGCAACCCCTGTCTTTTTTTGTTTTCCATTTGCTTGGTAGGTCTTCCTCCATCCTTTTATTTTGCGCCTATGTGTGTCTCTGCATGTGAGATGGGTTTCCTGAATACAGCACACTGATGGGTCTTGACCCTTTATCCAATTTGCCAGTCTGTGTCTTTTAATTGGAGCATTTAGTCCATTTACATTTAAAGTTAATATTGTTATGTGTGAATTTGATCCTGTCATTATGATGTTAGCTGGTTATTTTGCTCATTAGTTGATGCAGTTTCTTCCTAGTCTTGACGGTCTTTACATTTTGGCATGATTTTGCAGTGGCTGGTACCGGTTGTTCCTTTCCATGTTTAGCGCTTCCTTCAGGAGCTCTTTTAGGGCAGGCCTGGTGGTGACAAAATCTCTCAGCATTTGCTTGACTGTAAAGTATTTTATTTCTCCTTCACTTATGAAGCTTAGTTTGGCTGGATATGAAATTCTGGGTTGAAAATTCTTTTCTTTAAGAATGTTGAATATTGGCCCCCACTCTCTTCTGGCTTGTAGGGTTTCTGCCCAGAGATCCGCTGTTAGTCTGATGGGCTTCCCTTTGTGGGTAACCCGACCTTTCTCTCTGGCTGCCCTTAACATTTTTTCCTTCATTTCAACTTTGGTGAATCTGACAATTATGTGTCTTGGAGTTGCTCTTCTCAAGGAGTATCTTTGTTGCGTTCTCTGTATTTCCTGAATCTGAACATTGGCCTGCCTTGCTAGATTGGGGAAGTTCTCCTGGATAATATCCTGCAGAGTGTTTTCCAACTTGGTTCCATTCTCCCCATCACTTTCAGGTACACCAATCAGACGTAGATTTGGTCTTTTCACATAGTCCCATATTTCTTGGAGGCTTTGCTCATTTTTTTTTATTCTTTTTTCTCTAAACTTCCCTTCTCGCTTCATTTCATTCATTTCATCTTCCATCGCTGATACCCTTTCTTCCAGTTGATCGCATCGGCTCCTGAGGCTTCTGCATTCTTCATGTAGTTCTCAAGCCTTGGTTTTCAGCTCTATCAGCTCCTTTAAGCACTTCTCTGTATTGGTTATTCTAGTTATACATTCTTCTAAATTTTTTTCAAAGTTTTCAACTTCTTTGCCTTTGGTTTGAATGTCCTCCCGTAGCTCAGAGTAATTTGATCGTCTGAAGCCTTCTTCTCTCAACTCGTCAAAGTCATTTTCCATCCAGCTTTGTTCTGTTGCTGGTGAGGAACTGCGTTCCTTTGGAGGAGGAGAGGTGCTCTGCTTTTTAGAGTTTCCAGTTTTTCTGTTCTGTTTTTTCCCCATCTTTGTGGTTTTATCTACTTTTGGTCTTTGATGATGGTGATGTACAGATGGGTTTTTGGTGTGGATGTCCTTTCTGTTTGTTAGTTTTCCTTCTAACAGACAGGACCCTCAGCTGCAGGTCTGTTGGAATACCCTGCCAACAGGGTGAGGTGTCAGTGTGCCCCTGCTGGGGGGTGCCTCCCAGTTAGGCTGCTCGGGGGTCAGGGGTCAGGGACCCACTTGAGGAGGCAGTCTGCCCGTTCTCAGATCTCCAGCTGCATGCTGGGAGAACCACTGCTCTCTTCAAAGCTGTCAGACAGGGACATTTAAGTCTGCAGAGGTTACTGCTGTCTTTTCGTTTGTCTGTGCCCTGCCCCCAGAGGTGGAGCCTACAGAGGCAGGCAGGCCTCCTTGAGCTGTGGTGGGCTCCACCCAGTTCGAGCTTCCTGGCTGCTTTGTTTACCTAAGCAAGCCTGGGCAATGGCGGGTGCCCCTCCCCCAGCCTCGCTGCCACCTTGCAGTTTGATCTCAGACTGCTGTGCTAGCAATCAGGGAGACTCCGTGGGCGTAGGACCCTCTGAGCCAGGTGCAGGATATAATCTCGTGGTGCGCCGTTTTTTAAGCCGGTTGGAAAAGCGCAGTATTCGGGTGGGAGTGACCCGATTTTCCAGGTGCGTCCGTCACCCCTTTCTTTGACTCAGAAAGGGAACTCCCTGACCCCTTGCACTTCCCAAGTGAGGCAATGCCTTGCCCTGCTTCAGCTCGCGCACAGTGCACGCACCCACTGACCTGCGCCCACTGTTTGGCACTCCCTAGTGAGATGAACCTGGTACCTCAGATGGAAATGCAGAAATCACCGTCTTCTGCATCGCTCACGCTGGGAGCTGTAGACCGGAGCTGTTCCTATTCGGCCATCTTGGCTCCTGTCCTGATTTTTGTATTTTTAGTAGAGACGGGGTTTCATCATGTTGGCCAGGCTGGTCTCAAACTCCTGACCTCAAGTAATCTGCCTGCCTTGGCCTCCCAAGGTGTTGTGTTGGGATTACAGGAATGAGCCTCTGTGCCCAGCCAGGAAATATATTTCAAAAGACCTGAAGATGTATATCCTCCTTAATTTTGTTATTCCACATCTAACCACTTAATGTAAGAAAATAATCTTTAGCATGGATGTTAATTTATAGGAGTGTTCATAGAAGATAGAATGGAGAAGAAAATGAAGTCAATTGCTAAATTATGTAAGAAGATAGCTGGGTCACTAGATAATATTAAGGAGCTTGGAACATTCCTCTTGAACATATCCTCATGCCTTTTTTCCTTGCCTCCTTTACGTCTGCTGAAATATGTCTCCCTTTCAATGTGGCCTTCCCTAAACACTCTCACCTCCCATCCCTCCACCCTATTCCTCTTTTCTATTTCATTTTTCTCTATAGCACTTATAGAACACTTTCTGTAGCACTTTCAAACACACTATAGAAACTATTTTGTCTCTCTGTCTGAATGGTAATCTCTACAAGAAAAAGGCCTCTTGGTCTGTTTTATTCACTGCTGCATTCCCAAAGCCTGTGAGAGTAAGGGCACGCAGGGCATTTCCAAGGTTCTTTGGGGGGCAAATGTGGAAAAGAAAAGTCTGCCTCCTGGGCAGCATTTATGAGTACAGGCAGTCTCACAGTTTTGGAGGTGGGGAAGACGGGGAGGGAATGGGGTGAGAAAAGTTTGCCCACCAGTGGCTCTGTAAAAGGGACTGGGCCTTGTTTCTGCCTCAACAACCCAAACACACAAACAATAGCCATGTTTGCAAGGGTTTGGCAGATGAGTGACTGTTACCTGAGTAACCTGAGGTTGGGAGTTCGAGACCATCCTAACCAACATGGTGAAACCCCATCTCTACTAAATACAAAGATTTTGCTAGTGTCTCCTGTCACACTTCTCCCCTCAGTCTCCAACTTTTTCACCTATAAGTCCCTCTCCCAACTCTTTTCAGCTTTTGCTGCTTATTCCTCTATCTCACGGGTTTTGCACAGAACCAAGAGGCAGTCTCTCCACTGGTAAGTTTCCCAAATCATATGCACATGCAAATTACGATTCCAAGGCTAAAGTTTTGCTAAAATCTTGGTAAAAAACTACTGGGTTTCTGTAGAAGAAATTTCATCAACACATGTAGGGAAATAATCCCCATGTAGGGGAAGCTTAGTTGGTTGATTATTCAGTCTTATCTTTTATTTTTCCTATTTGGTATGGAGGCAAGAATAGCTGGGAGGTAAGTGTTGGCAGCTTTGATAGAAACAGAGGTCCATAGGGTCCAATTATTCTTGGATGCCAAGAAAACTAAGGTGTTAACATTCCAGAAGGATCTAACAGAGCCCTGGTTAATCCATCTCATTCCGGCATCAGGCGAGTGAAATAACCAGACCTTAAACCATGTGTCAGCCATCTCACCAGTAAACTTAGATCAACCATTCAAGCACCCATGGCTTTGTGATTGTTCATCACAGAATGCCTGTGAAGTAATGTAATTTACACTTCTGGGTTCAATTAAATCAGGCATACCATAACTGCACGGACAGGTTAAGTTTCCAGGATAGTGACATCAATGATACAACTCCCAAATTCAGTTTACCTATTGTCCTTCTAAAATATTAAAAGGCACAGAGGAGCCAAGATGGTCAGTTTGGTGTGCAAATTGCCTGGACAAAAGTGGAATTTTACAGCTATGGATAATGTCATATTGTGTTTTCCTGTCATCAAAATTGGTCCCAGAGAACAGCACATCAGGATGTGTCAGTACTGTATGTAAGATGACTGCCAGCTGCCCAAAGTTTAAAAAATAAGATGAAAAATTTTTCTAAGAATAGTGCTTTATACCTTCTTCAGGCTTTCCATCAGGAAAAATCTCAAAACATTTGACTAAGTTATTTATCTTTAATTCTGTTTTTGTACCAGATTTCATAAAAAAAATGAACATTTATTGACTCTTGCAATTATGGAGGCTGAGAAATCCCAAAATGTGCTGTCTGCAAGCTACAGACCCAGAAAAGCCAGTGGTGTAGCTCAGAGAACCAGAGGCCCAATAGTGTAAGTCTCAGTCAAGGGCAGGAGAATACTGATGTCCTAGCTCAGCAGTTGGAAAAAGAACAAATTCTCCTTTCCTCTGACTTTTTGTTTTATTCGGGCCCTCAAAGAATTAAATGATGCCCAGCATATTAAGAAGGGCCATCTGCTTTGCTTAGTCCACCAATTGAAATGCTGATCTCATCCAGAAACATCCTTATAAACACACCCAGAAATAATGTTGAATCTGGGCATCCTGTCAAGTTGACACAAAAAGTTAACCATCAGAAACATCAAGAAAAAACTGATTCCATAAATTTGCACAACTTTCAAAGGAAATGATCAAAATCTCATACAGAACTCACGCACTTGCATGAGGGACATAAAAAGTCAAGAGGTATATATTTGAAGAAAATTTATTTGGAGAGAGCTGTGCTATGTGTCTCCCATCCCACTCCTCCACAGGAGAGATAGGTGAAGGTACCACTTCCTAAGCCCAGATCTGAAGAGAGGGGTTTTTAAGAGACCAATGTGAGATCTTAACAGAAGTCCTTGGAACTTAGGGGGATAGATATAATGGTTTGGTGTTTGAGCCACATCTGAGGAGTATAAATAAAAAAAAAGCTGGCTGAAACTGAATAGAGGGCTCTAGCATGAGAATCGACTACACTCCTAGAGTCAAGAGGAAAGAATTGTGCATTTTCTGTGAACCAGATGATTGGAGAGGACTGCTTGGAGAGAACATTAGACCTCAGCAGGAGGGAAGCTGGAGGTAGATTACTGGATACCTGGATATTATGCAAGAAGGCAAATAATAATACATGCCAGACAAACTTTAGGTGAGGGAACCCTAGTGATAGCCGAGGGTGGGGTCATCAAAGAATTTCCAAAAGCATCCAGGTAAGGAAGAATCAGGTCCCCAGAGTACCAACTTGGGGCCACATCATAATTCCTAATCCTCTCACCTCTGCCTTCTTCCCTCTGCTCTAACCCTGGGGAAACCAGAAGCACTAGTTGGAGAAGAAGGCTAGCTACATGAGGAAAGAAAACCAGCCAATTGTACCTGCCTTCAGGAACTGACTGCTTACTTCCTGCTCAAAGAGGACCTAGAGGCAGGAGGGTAGAAGCATCAAGTTTAAATAAATTTCTACAATTTTAATTCCTGAATTGAAACTGTATTTGTGATTCTAAAGGATGTAGCATATGTACTACCTACGAGTGATGAGAGAAGTAATGAGATCTGGAAGGCTGAATAATGGCCTCCTAAAGATGTCCACATCTTAATCCTTGGAACCTGTGAATATGTTACTTGAATGGCAAAAGAGACTTTGTAGATACAATGTAGTCAAGAATTTTGACTTGGAGAAATTATCCTGGATTAACAAGCATGGCCCAATATAATTGCTGGGGTCCTTATGAAAGTTATGTAGGAGGGTCATAGACACAAAAGGCAATGTGATTGCAGAAGAAGAGGGACAGCAAGAGGTGGAAAGATGCTATGCTGCTGGATTTGAAGATGGAGGATGGGACCACAAGCCAAGGAATTTATGCAGCCTCTAGACTCTAGAAAAGGGCAAGAAAACAGATTTTCTCCTAGAACATCCAAAAGGAACACACCCCTGCAGACCTGTTTTAGGACTTCTGACCTCCAGAACTGTAAGATAGTATATATGTGTGGTTTTAAGCCACCATATGTTTGGTAAGTTTTTAAAGCAGCAATAGTAAACTAATACATGCGATTTGCTCAAGTTTTCATGAAGATGCAAGGGAAAAGCCTTATTGACTAAAATTAAATGAACAGGAGGAAACAAAGGGAAAAAGGCTATTTTGTGATTTTGTATCTCACAAGGCAAGTTTGTTTAATGTAATAGGTGCACTTTGTCATCTCCATTAGTATTCACAATAACTTTGTGATTAGCTATTACAGTTCTCATTTTAAAATGGAGAAACTGAACATCAGAAGTTAAGAAACTTGCCTAAGGTGACACAGTCGGCAAGTGAGACCAAAATAGGGAAAGAACCTGCACTACTGGTGGTGCCCCTGCTGGTACAAGCACTCTCTCATCAACCTGGCTCCAAAGCCCATCCCTTTGTCATTGCACTATGCCATCTTTTAGGTGTTATATCCCAGTAAACCCATTGTTAAGTTGAAAATATTGTAAGTCAAAACTGCATTTAATATACCTAACCTTCTGAACATCATATCTTAGCCTAGCCTACCTTAAATGTGCTCAAAACATTTATATTACCCTACAGTTGGGCAAAACCTTATAACACAAAGCATATTTTATAATAAAATGTTAAATATTGCATGTAATTTATTGAATACTACACTGAAAGTGAAAAACAGAATAGTAATATGGGTACTCAAGTATAGTTTCTGTGAGTAACGCTTCTGCACCATTGTAAAGTTGAAAAATAGTCAAAGCATTGTCGAGTCTAGCACTGTCTGTTTATGTAATGTGGGTACAAGGAAACTCTGGGGAACGCTGGATATGCTCATGATCTTGATTGCAGTGATGGGTTGCTGGCTGTATACATGATTGAAACATTTCAAATTGAACATTTTAAATGTGTACATCTTATTATATGTCAATTATACCTCAATAAAGCTGAAATAGGAGAAAAAGATATATTCAAAGATATGTTCAACAATAGTCCTTCTGTCTCCTCCTTTCCCTGCCCTATGGTCTCTCCCTCAGCCACCCCATCTCTGGATTGACAGCCCAGTCTGAGCTGTGTACTGGCTCTCTTCCCAGTCTTTTCCCCGTAGGGGATCCCTGTCTTAGTAACTGTCTCCCTTCAGCTACAGCAGCAGGGACCTTGCCAGAGACAAATTGAACATTCTTCAGCATGCTGCTATGAATACAAAATGAAAATCGATCGTAAAATCTTCACAAAAGATGACGTTGTTTCAAAAGTTGTTACAAAGTACTATAAGCATCATAAATCATTTCGAAAAGACAAGTCAGGCTGGTGAATTAGCATTTCTGTGAATTAGCCATTTAAAAAATTGGTTTTCAGGGAACCGTCTTTTGTTAAATTAACTAGAGCTCCCCGGCATCAATATCCTTCTTTTACTGAGGGAAATAGATGGACTAAAAAGAGTATTGATCTTACATGAATTACCATAAGAATCTGTATGACCCTCCTAGAAGACAGATTTTGCATTTGCAAAAGAATCGAATATGTTATTATTTGCAAGATTCTCTTGCCTGAAATTTATATTTTATTGATTTATAAGGTTTTTATCTTTCAAGTTGTAGCTGGAGAGCCAGGTAAAGTACTAGAAGAATTCATAATTCAATGGAATGCTACTAGAGTTATTACCAGAGCTAACTGGTAAAGGCACCAACACATATTTAGAATTGTGACTAGAGCTGATCGAGATGATGAGAAGTGAAAATTCAAATATGCATTAAAGAAATAAATTCATTGAAAGCAGTCTGAATGGTGGTTTTTATAATTCTATCCACCTCAATTGGGTGAAAAACTTTGAATATGTTTGCGGAAGAACTAGAGAGAAGGGTACATTAAACATAGGGATAAAAGATGTGACATCTATCCCAACAAGGGATACACATTTAGTCTTTGTTGACGTAGGAACCATAAAGTAGGCTCAACAGGCCATCAGCACCTCTGGCAGCATCATCTTACATGATGTAGTACTACAGAGGTTCTATGTACTGGTCTGCCTAAAAAATAAACTGCAACTTGGCCTCATATATTTCCATTCAGTAATTGCAAATCTCCCAAGATGGTAAAACATCTGAAAGTGTGTTATTGATCATCTGTGGCACCAACAGAATTATCTTAGATATTTAAAACCCCATATCTCATATTCTTCTCTTGGATTCTTAACCTCTGCTTGAATGAGACCTCTGCTTGCTTAAGATAGAAAAATCATTCCTCATCATAATGAAAGTGCCTTTCAATCCTGAGAAAGATTAGAATTTAATATAATAATGAAGTAAATCAACACATACTACAGTATTTTTAAATGTTTTTAGGAATAATAATACATATGTTTGGTATTTAATATGTCTTTAATGTCCAAGAAAGTCTGACATATTAGCCAAACAAAAATCCAGTTACATGGTAAAGGAGTAGTGCCTTTCATAATAACTGTTCACACTGCTTTAGACAGTTTGCAAAAGGAAGCACAAGTCTTTTCTAACTTCTGATAGAATGGTAGATTAAAGATGGTTTGTGCTATGTTATTGCTTTATTCTTCTGCCAGGAGATTTTTGGGTCTCACACAGCTAACAGCATAGTAAACCTAATTGAAGAAATAGTGATAGATTGGAAAAATGTCATACAATTGTTGTTGTCAATGGAACTATCAAGATGAGGCAAATTAAGAATCACAAGCATAAGACATTTATTCACACCTTTCAACAGAGGGTTCAAAAGAAATTACAGCATAGCACAATATAGCAGAATCACAGGCTGACCCAGAAAAACAGCCACTATCATCAGTCAATTGAGTTTATAAGCATCTTGTAATATAAACAATGTTTAGAGAAGATGAAATCATAGCTAGTTCAAGTTAAAAAACGGTTCCAACAATGACAACAACAAATAGCCTGAACCTCATAATTTGTAGGTGGCAAGAGTAGATAGTAGAACTTAGCAAAAACAATAATTGCTAAAAGAAAGTAGTTTACTGAAACCTGCTGCAAAGTAATCAATCAAAATGCCCTGAGCATTCAGTGTTTCTTTCATGAATGCTGCAGTAAAGAACGTCCTATTGCTCAATTGCATTGATGATTTTAACATTACCTGCCTGCAAAGAAAACAGGTAGAGAGGAAAAGGCAGAGGTAATTCAGTTATCTTGAAACCCAGTGATATAGCTTCATTGCTACATTTCTAGATCAAAAGAAAAAAATCTCAAGCAATTGAGAAAAGCAGAAAGTGATTGCAAAAGTGTTAGAAATAAATTATAACTAAAATAATCATTTAAGTCTACTTCTGAAAATGTCCAGAAAGAATCTTTAAGTAGTACACAAAGCTTCCATTTTATTGAAGTAGTGCACAAAGCTTTCCCTCTTATTGAGGGATTTCTTCAATAAGACTGTCATAATCATTGGCCAAATCTTCAAGTTTAGAAGATAAAGAAAAGTTACATTTTTATTTTAGTTACTATTATAGAGATAAAAAAATCTTTGTAACTTGACCCTGCCAAAAAAAATTTTGCTTCTCCACTGATCTTAGTTAATAGTGGTTATCTCTATGGTGTCACAAATGAGTGGTATTTACCTTGGGAGTAATCTAACAACTAACATCTCCAGAAACAAACGGTTTCTACATTATGATGTCAAACTTTTCAATTTAACTAGTAACATTTTTTTTCTCATCATTTGGAATGTTGATACTTCAAAAAAAACTATCTTAGAGTAAGTTAGACATAGTTATCACATTCATCTTGTGCATATATGAAAGGAAAATATAAAGAAAATACATTGTCACCTATGACTTTCTGAGTCCAACTCATCTAACTCACTTTTTGTCCATATTTTGCCCGACAATATCACCTTCTGTACCATGGAGAATATATATAACGCAGTATTTCTTAAAAGAATGCTCCGTGATGCCCTTCTATTTGGTCAGCAGGGAGTTTCTGACACATTGATGTTTGATGCTTCAAGAACAGTCCTGCTCCACCCATGAAACGATTACATCATTCATCCTTATCTTGTTGCTTTGAATTTTCTATAATTTTTTCTAAGGATTTGGAGACTTCCCCTGCTTCAGTTCAATTGCTTGGAGAATAATAGGCAATCTTTTTGCACATACCTTTCCAACAAATATCACTCTCCTTTCATCTTGTGGGTATGCACGAATGATATTTTAAATAATAAATTACACTTTTTGAAAATGTCTAGTTTATTCTTATTCCAAAGTCACATTTGACTTAGGCCTTGATTTTAGTCAGATATTAATTTTAACTCCTAGCCATTTGGCATTCTGTCAAAATGTATATTTGGTACAACTCTGCCTTTTATGAACCCTCTTCTTTGCCATCTCAGCTTTCATTCTCCCACACTCTTTTTTTTATTTCAAACAGAATATCACTAAGTTGAGGTCTTCCCCTCTCTCATGCTGCTCATAAGACCCAGGGGAGGCAGTCTCCACCCTCAGCTTCAAGGGCGGGCCTAATTGGTCTTAGAAAAATCCGATTCCCCTTGTCAGTGATTGATTCAGAAATTAACAAATTACCTAAATCTAGCCAATGAGATGTGAGAAGGGATTTGCTGGAGGTTTGGGGAAATGTTTTTCTTCTGTCTAAAAGAAAGCCAAGGGCCAGGCACAATGGTGCATGCCTGTAATCCCAGCACTTTGGGAGGCCGAGGTGGGTGGATCACCTGAGGTCGGGAGTTCGAGACCATCCTAACCAACATGGTGAAACCCCATCTCTACTAAATACAAAAAATTAGCCAGCCGTGGTGACGTATGCCTGTAATCTCAACTAGTTGGGAGGCTGAGGCAGGAGAATCGCTTGAACCCGGGAGGTGCAGGTTGCAGTGAGCCAAGATTGAGCCTCCATCAAAAAAAAAAAAAAAAAAAAAAGCCAAAGGAGGCCTTTCTCCCTCTGCAGCTAGATATAAAAAGGAAAGTAGCCTCAACTGCTACCAGCAGCCATCCCATTGCCATGAGAGAAACATGACTTAAAATGAAACTGACATGGCTAGCAGCACAGCAAAAGAGAATGAACAGAACCATTGATGACAACATTCAGTCATTAGATGACCCGACTCCAAAGTCTGTCCTATCTTTGATCTTTCATTTATGTGAGCTAATCTGTTTCCTTAAACATCACACAGGTATTAAGATGCTTGTGGTTGAACCCATTCTAATTGATATAAACTCATTCTTTTTGGTTGATCAGAATGATACTTTAGGCTAAGTCCCTTCAATGATTTCTATACAATAGGGGATCTGAAATTATTAGCAAGGCAAATCAGAAATTTATCTGATGCTTTTTCTGATTTTAGCAAGATGAGATCTAGCAAGACATCTGGACTGCTGAATTCTGCCATCAATATTTTAACTTGGCTCTACCAATTAGATGATCTGACTCAATAAATGGCAAATTAGTCACTTAGGGTGATGGAGATAGGCCTGGTCTAAACATGCTTTGAATTTGAGAAGTTTACTTTATCTTCACCTCGGTGAACCGTTGTTTGCATTATGCTTCAAGTTGTTGTGACTTTGAGTCTAGTGATGTCTACATGTAGCTTAAATAGTTGTGTGAGGTGATGCTGACTTATCAACTTTCAAATCCAAAAACATTATATCTTTGTTTACAGTACATGCAAAGTCATATTTTACTTTCTGATTAAATTTGAATGACTTTTTGGTTCTCTAGTTTCTTCTTCCATGATTTTTTTCTCTTTTCTAACTCTTGCATAGAGCAAATATTTACTGATTTTCTGCTATGTGTCAGATATTCAGATTCAAAGATGAAGAAGATGATAAAGACCCACACCAGCCCTCAAAGCCTTATGGCCCAGAGCAAACCCAGAGATGCCACGAGAAAAGCACAGTGAAAAAGTGTAAGCCAGAGGCTGTAGAGAAGGAGGGGGCAAATTATCTCCCTGCGCCCATGTATATATATTTTCTGTAAATCCTTTGACTTCTGCCATAATGTGTTTTTTAATTTGACCAAGGATTTATTTAAATATTGATTATCTTCCCACCCTTGACTGCTCCCTCACCATATCTATTGAACAGAGGACAGTTTCTTCTAGACAGTTTCAAAAACAGCACAAACACTTAATAAAGATTGCATTCCATGCCTATCTTTCTCTCTTGGGCCTTCTTCTGGAGCTTTGGGGTGAGAACTGGTAAGAGAGTAGAAAGTGGGCTAAGAACCCTCTGACTATGAATCTTTAGTGTTTCTCAGACATAACTCATAGAAATGTACCTCTCTGCTTGGTGGACATGTCATACACTTTTCCCTTTTTTCTTCTTTAAGATGAAAACTATGAGAAGACCATCCATCCTCTCCATTAATATAGGTAAATCCAGTGTGTAGTTTTCTTCTGCTCTATTTTCAAAATTTCAATCACAGAAATAAAGGTACAGCATCTCAGTTTCTGCTCTATCTAAAAGAGCATGAAAGTAAGTTACCCTTCCTATAAGTAAAATTTTGTTATTCTGACAATCGTCATGGAGAGAAAAGACTCTTATTTTAATGGGGACTGTGTACCCTGACCAAGTAAAGGGCCTAGACTTCAAAATCCTTTGAGTGCTAACATTAACTCTTTCTTACTTGCCCCTTTAAAGTGAGTCCTATGCTTTAAAATGCTACTTCATTTGCTATTATGTGTTCCTGTTCTTACTTGCAAAAATATTTCCTTAGTTGCCTTAACCAGGCATGAGCGGTGTTGGGGAGACAGTAATGTCAGTGTCCACCACATTCAATGGGACCCTTTCCTACTTTAGAAAGTCTTGGGATCAAGCATGAGCAAGCTTTGTAGTAGGAAAAAAGGAGCAACCATGGGTTGGAAATTGCCCTGGTGGGTACAGACAACCAGATGAAGAAGGGGCTCTGGATGCTGGAAAGTGTATCAATATAATTACTGACAGCCCTGGAACTAAGGTTATCTTCTTAACTGAAAGAAAAGCATGAGTACCCCTAACTGCAAACAAGGGGAGAGAAAAAATAATGCAGCTATCAATAATGAATTCCACACTATGTGACAAGCACAGTGCTAGTCTGTTTCATGTATTTATTAATCTTCAAGTGCTCCAAGGGCTCCAAAATGCCTCCTAGCTAGTGACTGGCAGAACCAGGAATCAATCCAGCACCATCTGATGCCAAACTTACCTTTAAATTATCCTTTCTAAAGTACACCTCTCTGTGTGTTTATCCTTTTCCTGAACCTCAGGCAGCCATGTTTATCCAGCCCCTGCAAGTGTAAAATTGATGACATAATCATGTGATGGTGTCTATGGGACTATTACAGGAGGATTAGGCTATTATCAACAAATCAGGGACTAGTATTGTTTTATCAGCACGGGAGTGTTTTCAATTAATTTGTAATTAAATAAGGGAAGCAATTTACTGGGTCTTGGAGGAGTCAGGGCTGTGGAAGGTTTATCTCATCAGTCTCAGCTGTGCATTCCTCCTGCACCGGCTCATTGTTTAGGTCACAGCAGTGATACATGATCTGACCTATAGAAGTAATTCAATCAAACATCAATATTTTTCTTCCTTTAACCCATGGTGCTATGACGACTTGAGAAATCTGCGTTGAATAGCCTCCACCATGAGTCCGTCAAGAGCTATACCTCTAGCCTTACTGCTCTCTCAAGCTATTCCTGCCAAAGAACCTGGCCGTGTTAGGAATGACCAAACTCGTTTTGTCTAGGGTAGAAAACAAATAAGCTTCATGGGTTCAGACTTGTTTTAAATGTCTTTGCACCTAAATTTCCTAGGCAGTTTTAGCCTCTTTACACCCAAGATCCGATGCAATTCCCTCTTAATCATCTTGCAAAGTAGGCACTATTATCCCCATTGTATTCTATGAGCAAGTTTAGGTTAGTTGATGGCTAAGCCCGGGATAGTACCTAGTTCTGTAGCCCTCTCAGGGCCCAGAGCTTTTCCTGTTTGGTTCAGGCATACACAGACCATGAAGAGTGAAAATATGGCTGGTCCTCCCCAAGAACCAGAGGATATTGTCATCATTTCTTGGTGAACCCTTCTGTTATTTATACTATCTTAATCATTATCTAGTTATTCACAGGACTTGGCACAAATATTTCAGTAAATTTATGCAAAATAATAATAATCACTATAATAACAATAGTGATGAAAACAACAAATGCAAACCTGACTGTTTACTAGGTTCTAAGGACAATTCTAACTGCTTTACATATATTAACTCATTAAATCCTCATAAAAGTTTTATAAGTTAGATGCCTATTATTATACCCACTTTACAGATAAAGGACATAGTGACAAAGGAGTTAATCAATTTACCTAAGGTTACGCTCTTACTTGTGGTGAAATTGGGTCTCAAAACCAGGAAGACTTGTGGTGAAATTGGGTCTCAAAACCAGGAAGATAAGAATTGTCTATGGTAGAGGTCTTCAAAGTGAAACATTACTAAAAAGTATTAAAATGTATCATTATATTTACTATTTATGGTAAAGTTATTATATTTATTATTTATCTTTAAAATATCCACTCATAGTTAAAATACTGTTTGTATCAGTATCCTTGCTCAATCTGAATGTCTGGTAGTCAAACTTAATATGCAAGAAGCTATAAGGAAAGAATGCTAATCCCCCACACACACCTGAGTGAAGTGATATATACCCTCACTATACTGTCAGCTGACTGTAGTTTACTTGGACTTGGTTTAGTTGCATACACAAATTACAATATCTGCATTGATCTCAACCAATTCTCCTAAGGTGGACAAGTAGCCTTAAAAAAAAAAATGACTCCTCCAAGGAAACTTGGGTTTGAAGATAGTTCCCTTAATGCAAGCATAAGGAAACAAGAAGAAAATGGCAGAGTTGACACTTTTTCACTCCAGAGAGATAGCCACATTACAAAACACATCTAATCATATCTAATATGCTATGGTTTATTTTTGGCACATATAGATTGCAAAAAATGATTGAATCTTTTTGCACAAGAAGATTCAGAAACAAACATGAGTGACATTCATTTAGAAAATATATCATTTAATCTAAGTTAAAGTTCATGCTTCACAGAGTACTATATAATTGTACTCTGCAAAACTTAACTTATTAAATCATAAGGCCACAGTCTTCTTAAAATAACAACAAACTTTTGAGGGAGATGCTGATGTTTCTTAAGCAGATTGGAGTTTTCTGGTTTTATTTGGTTGCCATTCCCCACAGTGGACAGTAACTGTTTACAAACTTTTTTTTTTTGCAATTTCCACATTCGTCATCATCTTTCTTGAGATACAAATTTACTTCTTAATATTTCATTAAACTTACACTCCCATTTTTAACTTTCTGCTTCTCAAAAGGTTTACTGCAAAAAAAAAAAAAAAAAAAAGTCTTGCGGAACAATAACATAGTTGGAGACTTATACCACACAAATAAATGACAAAATCACTATAACAAAGAAACTTCAGATTGTTCTCCCTGTACTCTCTGACAAAGCTATTAGGTTATATTTTGTGCAGTTATTGCAGGGACACCTAACCAACGATTTTCCATGTTTCCACTTACTGTAAATGACTCTCTTTCATTGTCTAGTAGCTTTGAGCATCTCTTAAGTCATGGTATAGTCCATGGCATAACTAGCTGGTACACAAAGTAACTAGCAGCACCAGTGGCAATGAAAACTTCTTCCCCCACCACCAGACCAAAGGTGACCTTGGCCACATGAGCCACTCATATCCAAGAGCTCTGTGACTTATCAATAAGCAGCTTGAATGCTGTCCTGGGAAAGGTGATTTTGTTACATTGCACCAAGAAGGGTTAGGAAAAGAGAAACAGATTATTGCTAGTATCCTTCCAATTTTATCATATGTTAAAGTGAGAATTCTGTTTATTAATCAAGCTTCTCATGTACTAGTAAATGAGACTAACTGTGGTAGAATGTGGGAAGGCTGGGGGTGGTGGTTCACACCTGTAATCTCAGCACTTTGGGAGGCCGAGGTGGGGGGGATCACGAGGTCAGAAGTTTGAGACCAGCCTGGCCAATATGGTGAAACCCCATTCTACTAAAAATACAAAAATTAGCTGGGCGTGGGGCTCACTCCTGTAGTCCTAGCTGCTCCAAAGGCTGAGGCAGGAGAATCACTTGAAGCCAGGAGGCAGAGGTTGCAGTGAGCCGAGATCGCGCCACTGCACTCCAGCCCGGGTGATGGAGCAAGACTCTGCCTCGAAAAAAAAAAAAAAAGTAGAGGTCTACCAAACCCACCTTAGCCTACTTTAATAAAATTAAAATATGTCATTGAAAGAAAACAAATCTGGAATAAATGCTAAACCTGACAGGATGCCAGAACAACAGATGTCAACTGGGATTGTGCCAGGTAAACCAGGATATATAGTCACATTCTTTTTAAGGTCCCTTTCAAGCCTCAGCGACTGCAATCCGATGATAACTAGGAGTCAAACAACTACTCACCTCACTGGAATTCTGAGACCAGATGAGTCCCGAAATGACCTGAGTCTTCCCCATTAGTAGTCAACTTCCACCTATTCTTTCAAAACTTATTAAGCACCTGATTAGTAAGAGACACTAGACTAGTTTCCTGACCTCAGAGAACTCACAGCACAACAGGGAAATTAGAAAAGAAAGCCAGCAGTTCAAGTTCAGCTCACTGTTTTGCCCCATCTTGGATCTTATCACCATTTTTTGGTTTGTTTGTTTTCTTTACATTTTAAAATTAGGTTCTTTATTATTGAGAAATTCAAATCAAAATCACAATGAGATACCATTTCACACAAGACAGAATGGCTGTTATTAAAAAGTCAAAAAATAACAGATGCTCGTGTGGTTGTTGACATATTTTAAAAGTTAAGCATAAAAGTATTATGTCACAGATATCACAAATATATTTTCCAGTCTGACTTTGTATAGTCTTTGCTCAAAAAATTTGTTTTTCATTTTATGTAATTGTTATTCTATTCTTTATATTTTTCCAGTTTTTATTTTAGGTTGAGGGAGTACATGTGCAGGTTTGTTACATGGATAGATTTTGTGTTGCAGGGGTTTGGTAGCACACATTATTTTGTCATACAAGTAGTAAGCATAGCACCCAATAGGTAGTTTTTTTATCCTCACTCTCTTCCCATTCTCCACCCTCAAGTAAGTGCTGGTGTCTATTGTTCCCTTCTTAGTGTCCATATGTACCCAGTGTTTTGCTCCCATTTACAAATGGCAGCATGCTGTATTTGGTTTTTTGTTCCTGTGTTAATTGGTTTATGATAATGGCTCCAGCTGTATCCAAATTGCTGCAAAGGACATGATTTCATTATGTTTTATGGGTGTATAGTATTCTGTTATGTATATGTACCACATTTTATTTATTCAGTCGATGGGCATCTAGGTTGATTCTATGTCTTTGCTATCGTGAACAGTGCCGCGAAGAATATACATGTGCATGTGTCTTTATGGCAAAACAATTTTTATTTCTTTGGGTATAAATGGGATTGCCGTCCATTTTTGTTTTTGTTGCAATTGCTTTTGGAGTCTTGGTCATGAAACTTTGCTATGGCCTATGTCTGGAATGATATTTCCTAGGTTTTCTTCTAGAGTTTTTATAGTCTTAGGCTTTATCCATTCTGAGTTGATTTTTGTATATGGTGAAAGGAAGGGGTCCAGTTTCAATCATCTGCATATGGTTAGGTAGTTATCCCAGAACCACTGATTGAATAGGGGGTCCTTTCCCTATTGCTTGTTATTGTTGACTTCGTCAAAAAATGAGATGGTTGTGGGTGTGCAGCTTCATTTCTGACTTCTCTAACCTGTTACATTGGTCTATGTGTTTGTTTCTGTACTAGTACCATGCTGTTTTTGTTACCGTAGCCTCATATTATAGCTTGAAGTTGGGTAGTGTGATGCCTTTGGCTTTGATCTTTTTGCATGTATTGCTTTGGCCATTCAGGCTCTTTTTTGATTCCATATGAATTTTAGAATATATTTTTCTAATTCTGTGAAATATATTGTTGGTAGTTTGATAGGAATAATACTGAATGTGGAAATCACTTTGGGTAGTATGGCCATTTTAACACTATTGATTCTTCCTATCCATTAGCACAGAATGTTTTTCCACTTGTTTGTGTCATATCTGATTTCTTTCAGCAGTCATCCCCACTTTTTAATAGGTTGTGCTACCCATACACATTTACCTGGCAGAGTCTTTGTCTGTCTCGTTACCTCTGATGTATGCAGAACCCAGAATAGTACCTGGTGTACGGTTAATTATTCAATAATATCAATTTAAGGAATGAACGAATGGAGTTCTGACAGAGATAAACCCAGGTGACTTGGAACAGGCATCTAACTGAGGTAGGAAGTCAAGGAAGTAATGGGTGAGCTGAACGTACAGGGCAAGGAGGATTCAGCAAGTTAGGAAGGGCAGGAAAGTGCTTTCCAGGCATTGAGGAATAACATGTGTAAATGCCTTGACATAGCAGACAGTGTATGCTTGGGGAACTGCAAGTTATTCTGGATGACTGGGAAATAGGGTGGAGGCATAGTAGGAAATGAAGCTATGGGCGGGACCAGGTAAAGCTTAGGAATCTGGAATGGCCTTAGTAATGAGGAAATAAGCCTACAGTCATAACACCCTGAAAGCGCTCAATATCATCTCATCTCAGAAACTAAGTAGGGTTGGGCCTGGTTAGTACTTGGATGGGAATAATGAGGAAATAAGAGGTGATTTGGGATACCACTCAGAGATGTAAGCTGGTTTTCTGAAGATATGAAGTTCCAATTATACCCCAAGACTCCCTGGTCATGCAGAACAGTGATGCAATAAATAGAGGAATCTAGAGTAAATTTAGCTATTAACTCTTGGAAGGAAAAGGAATCAGACCCATCCCAAGTTCAACAGTAGCGGACCTTTTATGGAAAGACCCAAAGCCACATTTGTCTCAGTGCCGTGTGTTACATTTGGGTCAGGAATGGTGGAGGGTCTGCTTTCAGGCACTCAGCCTCTGTCTACAGAGAAGTAAATAGCTGAAGTAATTAAGTGACTAATTAAATTAAAGAGTGATGAAACTGATCTGAATTCTTCAGATTTTCTTTTCCCAGCATGTTCTTTGCCTAATTGCCTTGATTTTCCAGTGAATTGCCACCCTCTATGGAAGAAACCTTGACAACGTGAGTACAACTAAGCAACAGGAATTTTTTGCAAGTTTGAGTGAAAGGTGTCTGGGGGAGGAAGAGACAGAGAGAAGGTGCAGAAAGCAGAAACAGGAAATGTCTGTTCTTTTGACTGCATCTTTGTCTATACTATTTCAGAAATATCTCCAGCATTTTTTCCTAGTGTTATCTCTTGCTTAGAATAACATGAGAGTTTCCTTGTTAGAATTTTCTCTCCAGTGTCTAACCATTGCAATAGGGTTAGTTCTCAGAAAGCACAATTCCACTAATTGCATCCAGCTTCATCTCCCACCATCTCTTACTTTCACCCAACTCTCCGTGAGCCAGCCTGACCTAATTAGCATTCTCCAAACATACTCTGCACTTAAACACTTCCATATATTTGCTTTTACCACTCCATCTCCCTGCAATATCGAAATTTTGCCCACTTCAGAATGTGGTTTAAATTCTTTGAAAGTTTCTCTGATCTTTTAGCTAAAGGGGACCCATTCCTCTTCTCAACTTCCATGGCAGCTTACCTATACTTTTTCTCAGCACTTAACACTTCACTTATATTCAGGCTGTGTATATAACAGGTTTATTTCACTTACCTTTCCTTAAACTCTGTGCCTTACCCATGTTTGTATTTCTTAGACTTTTCTATCCCAGTGCCTGACTCATGTGGGAAGCCAATAAATGAATGAATGAGCCCAGGTGTCTGGAGACCTCCCTCTACCAAAGAGGTGTTTAAAGCTGATGGCATTTTTTAACAGAGATAGTCCAGCCACAGTGCATCTCTCCCCCAGCTGCTGGCTTATGTGGTACTAAAGTCCCCAGCTGCGCACAGCTGTGCCAGTTGGGGACCATCTGAGCATCTAGCTACATCTGCAAAATGAAAATACCCAGGCAGGGGTGGGGCTTGTCTTACTGATTACTATTTTTGCTTTAAATAGTTGCATCCCTGGGAAGTCTATCCACATTTCTCGCTTCTGGGTGGGCTTCTGAGCATTAGTACCACTTGTTAGCTACAGTCTGAAGAAGTGCTTTGGTCTTTTTTTTCTTTGTTCCCTCCATAAGAGAAATCCTAAGTCTCTGGGCCAGTGAATTTTCTGGATTCTCTGCAGATAGTGGCTGGTGTCATGATGTGCATAGTGAGAACACCTGTTATAGCGAAGGATTATTACTTAAACTGTGTCTTATTTTGAAAGAATTTTGTAAAAGTTACAAAAAAGACATGTAGTACAAAGGGAGGTAAGTGAGAAAATTAATGGAAAATAAAAATAAGTGTAGAACACTAAGGTGATTAATGATTAATATAGGAATGATTGATGTAAAACATGAAGGCCACAGGATCCTGTATATTTGCTGCAGGTAGACTGCAGATCTCACTCCAAGATTCTTAGAAACCAAAAATAAAATAGGGAAAGAAAAGAATTATATTATTGTCTATACCTTATCTCATAAACACTGTGATTATTAGAATAACAGTGTCCGTAAGATAAGAACAAATCAAGTGCTCAAGGGGAGCACCTCCTTCCCCGTACCCAAAGAAAACGTTATTTTGTGAAGTCACCTACATGATGCAGAAAACATTGTCCTTAGTAACACAACATAAAAATGTGAAAAACACCACAGCTGAGTCCCTGGGCCAGATTGAAATCTAATGATAAGGAACTGCTGTAGAGATCAGTGGTTTTCTCCTGCTCCTTACAATTTCAGCCCAACAAACATTTTTAGAGCTGCTACTCAGTGTCAGCCAGGAATAAAGGTTGCCAAGAGCCAGAGAACAGCAGAATATGCCAAAACCATCTGCATTTCCTCTTTTTTAGGAGGAATGGGTTTGTGGTAATCCAGTAACTCTCTTTCACTCTGATTCCTGGTGCCTCGTGGTCCCTATGGCATGAAACCAGGTGATGTCCAGAGGACAAGACAAAGATAACTGTCCCACATGTGGACAGAATCTGCATCTACCAAGGGTGGGCAGAATGGGGCAGTGTTTTATATAACAATAAAGTTATTATAGCTCTTAGGTTGTGCATGAACTGGGGAAGGGGGGTAATGGTACACAGATGAACCAGGTGCACACATCATTCTTAGAAAGCTCACAGTCTAGTAGGAACAGTGGAGAAATAGCCAAAGACACCAGTGTCATGTAGGTGTCGGAGGGGAGCCCTTGGCTAGACATGAGCTTTCCCACCACAGCTCTTTCAAACACTCACACAATGCTCCTCCACACCCAAGGATCTCCTTCTTGTTAGCAAATCCCACTTCCCCAGCTCAAGGAGAATAAGAGAACAGAAAGTACAAAAGCTCTAGCAAGACCTTTAAGGCTGAAGTAGAGTGAGTGAGAAAGAATACTAAGAAATGAGGCCAGAGAGATTTCTGGGGCCAGGCCGCAGGGGCCTTGCAGGCAGTTGTAAGGACTTACACTCTGAATGACATGGGAAGCCATTGGGGGATTTTGAACACAGCAAAAATATCTAGATTGTATTACTAAAGAATGCCTCTGGCTACTGTTTTAAGTATTCACTGTAGGCACGCAAGGGTAGAAGCAGGGAAAATAAGTAGGAGGTGATTTGGGATCATTCAAAGGAGACATGAGAGAGGTTAGAGTGGCAATGGTAAAGTGGAGTGAGAAGATAGAGCACACAGGACTGGGGAAATGAAAATCACCAAAATTGGGCTTCAAGAAAATTTATCTGACAGCGGGGAAAGAGGAAAGAATGTGTTGATAATGGGAAGAAATTGGAAGTCCTGAGAGACAGTATGTCTCAAAAGTGGTCCATAAATCGCCTATATTCAAATCACCTGCAGAGCTTAATATACAGATTTCTGGGTCTCCACCCAGAGCTACAGAATTATAATAATGATGCAGGAATCTTTGTGAGGGCCTCACTAGGTATTCTTTTCCATGCCAAAGTTTGGGAACCGCTGAAGTCCTTAAAACTAAAAATCAACACGGTGTTAATTGATTAAATTTCAAGTTCAAAGAAAATATTTTGTAACAGATGGATATTGAAGCTTTTTTCTTCTTCTTCTTCTCCAAAATAACATTTGTCCTAGTCAGTTTTGGTCACTATAACAAAATGCCACAGACTGGGTCACTTATAAACAATAAAAATTTATTTCTCACTGTTCTGGAGGCTGGGAAGTCCAAGATCGAAGTGTCAGCAGATTCAATGTCTTGTGAAAGCCCATTTCTCATAGATGGCTGCCTTCTCACTGTAACCTCACATGGTAGAAGGGGCTGGAGAGCAATCTGGTCTATGAAAGAACTAATCCCATTTGTGAGAGCTCCACCGTTATTACCTAATCACCTCCTAAAGGCCCTACCTCCTCATAGCATCACCTGGTTAGTGAGGGGATGTTATAATTTTAACATGTGAATTTGGAGGAGATATAAACATTTAGTCTATTGCAACACTACTTAATAGTCATACTGGAAGTTTGGTATATATACTATGTGCTAGATGCAGTCCTATATAAATTACCTAAGTACCGGGGAAAAATTGTGACAACCTCATCCCCACTTCCATCCCACCTATCTAAGACAAGTGGATGCTAAGAAGAGTCCTTTGCTTGCTGAGTGGAGTCATGGGTTTTGAACTACTGATTAGAGGCTGAGAGGGTGCAACAATGCTCTGCATAAGAAAAAGGGTAGAGAGAAATTCTGGGATGATCTGGGTTGGAGCCAGAGCCTCAGCAGAGCATGGGAGCCAGGGAAGAAATGAAGACCTAAAGGCTGGCCCTGAGGAGAGCTGGAGAGGGAGGAAAGATGAAGTGGCAAGGACCCAGAGAGGAGCTCATGGGAATTAGCGGAGATATTTAAACAGGATACAAAGCTTTAGGAACTAATTGTTTCAGTGAAATAAGTGCTCTTCCCCACCACCTCCTATCAAATTCTTATCAATATTACCTGTTAGATCTGTTTGAGGGATGCAATGACGTGCTTGGTTCTGCTATGAGGTGATACAGGCCAAGAACAGAGGCTGCCCATTTACCTTCAGTTTGCACCCCACCCACTCATTCAAGCTAATCCAACTCCACGGAGGTTGCCCACTTCACCCACATGAGACTGTCCTGCTCACCTCCACGTTCCCGCCCATTGAGCCCCTTGTGGCATTCCCGGAGTCTGTGTGTTAACTTTATTTATTGCCTCAGTGTTTTCCAGGTCGAGAATCTGGAATTAGCATAACCTTTAACCCACAGCAGCTGCTGATTTATCACAAAATCTGTTAGAGTCTCTTCCAGATGTTGATGTTTCTGATATTAAGCCATTTAATTTGAAATTGGCTCAGCTGCAAAATTAGGTTAAAGATTTTTATAGTCACAGTCTAAGGCAGAAATTTTACACTTTTTATAAATCCAAGGTGCAAGGGGTACAAAGCACAATTCAAAGACGATTAAATTCCGGACCACTCAATGTTACAGTGTATCTGGAAGAAGGCTAAAGGGTGGGAGGCAAATGGATTGTTCTTGCCTGGGGAGTCACGACTGAGCTTCAAGGATGGCTGCCAGATCTGTAAAGAGACTGCAGGTGTGTGGTGGCCTCGAGGTAGCTCAGATGAGAAGGGGCAATCCCCCACACAAAGAAGGAACATATACATTTTTTGTTCTCAACTCTATCCTGAACTCCTGGAATCACTGCTCGTGCTTAACTGCATGCCAAATTAAACTTTCCATCGTTAGGTTGTCCTGGGTACCTGTCCGAGTCTCTAACCTACTTAGTGTTATGTAAAAGTTCCAGAACCCCCACCCGTCCTGGAGCCCTGCCAGGAGAAGGTGAGTGGTAGTGGCTGTGGCTGTGAGGAGCAGTGAAGTGTGTTGGAAGGAGGCCTTACTCAAGTTTCATCAGAGAAGTGGGCATTTGAGGTAAGGATGATGAACATACCGATGAAGCAAAGACCAGGGTGGAAAGCGTCTCAATCTGGCCCCCGAGTGCCCCTCCTGCCTTGATATTTCGCTGCTAGCATCCAGGCAGAATCAGAAGCTCAGGGGAGGTGAGCCCAGAGAAGGCACAACCCTCTTTGTATTTAGGGCTTTAAGAGAAACATGAGCAAAATGGAACACATTTGGGGACAGAGGTGTCTGGAAGAGAGAAGTCTTGCCTGAAATTTCAAGAGAAGTGGACTGTAAGGGGTAAACTATGTGACAAATTTTTAAAAACATCAATACCAATACTTTTTACCAATGTGAAAAGACAACGTGACTTGTTCTGTGAGCGACAGAAGATTTCAGGGTTCAGCAAATGGCAGATACAGAAAAGTGAATCCTTAGGTAAATTAAAAAAAAAAAAAAAAAGCCATCTCTATCTCTGGAACTTCCAGAACTGCCTGGATAACCACTCAACAAATGTACCAGATGGGGAGCAGGCTGAGGCATTGGATGGGGATTTTCTTTAAAGGACCTTAGAGGTTCTTCAAATCTATGATCCTAGACTCAGGTCTACTCTTCTAATGTTTTCTACATTTTATGTGAAACTAAGCCTCTGGTTATCTGGTCATTTGATAAAAAAGTAAAACTCTTCACTCTAGAATATTGAGAATATGCGAAAGGTACTATATGGTTAGTGTTTTGAATCTTTCAGAATGACAATTAGTTCCTAAATGCAAAATATGTGTTTTTCATTTAATTATATTAGGGGACATGTTAGGCAAATTATGCAGACTGAAAGAATTAGATAGTGTGGATATTTTAAAATATTTGCCACAGCTCTTCTGCCAAGGAGGAGTCAGGTTTCTAATTCTTTCCCCTTTGAATGTTTTGCATCTGGATTTATTTATGCTGGGATAAATGCTCACTTCCTGACCCACAATTCTTCATGGTAACAATGAAGCATCCACCCAGGACAAGCATCTTCACCTCAACTTTGGTCAAACTCATGACTCAAAGGTTCTTTTAATGCAAGGGTTGAATCTACAAGACTCTACCATTCTTATAGACTGCACACAGTCAGACTATGGGAACTATTTTTTTAATTAAAGCAGTGTGATGAAAGTGTTGATTGTAGGGGGAGTCACTCATTATCCAGAAGTATTATCTGCACTGCCAAACATCTGGATTTGGTGAAGAAACATCTAAGTGGTTCAAGTGAATTTTTCTTTTTCGTTTGGGTGTTTTGGTGTCATGTAGACTCAGTCTCAGTCAAGACTTGGAGGAAAAACCTGGCAGAAAAAAAACAGAATGACTTAATGCTAGCATAACAATCTTAAAAGAAGAAAGATTTTTTGTTTATGATTGCCATGATGCAGGAGACACTGGAAGAGAGCCATTCTTCTAAATAAGTCAGAGAGTAATAACCAGGTCACAGAAGATAATGAACTATACCCCTAGACCTCTTTCTCAATTCTGGCAAATGAGTGGTAAAGTGGTATCGATGGTACAAAGTAGGATAAACTGTAAATCAGGTTAGCAGATATTTGGAAATCCTGAATGCATAAAGTTTAACCAAAAAAAAATACCTACAATCTTGAGCATAAATAGAACACATATGAAAGAAACCACTTACAGCCTTTCTGAAGACTAGCGAGGAATGGACAAAAATCCCAGGAATTGGGCTAAAAATAAATACTATTAGACCAAGCCGGGAAAGGAGGAAAGTGATTCTGAACATTATTCTTCGTTAAAAAAAGAACTCTTTAACTGTTGAAGATGGATAATCCCCACACTCCTGTAGGCCTCTTAGAGGCTCAAGAAAAGGGATAGAACTAGGCATGTGCACTGTGGATGCATTTCCATCAGGATGAGACTCTCAAGGTTAGAAAATTCAACTGGTACTGCAGTTGTGCAGCTTTATCAAAGCAAGGAAATTTATATTATTATTCCCTTTTCATTCATTCCCCATTCCTTGTCTTTTCCATACCATCTGCAGGTTAACACAGCTCTCTGTGTAACCTCTCCACTCATGATCTGGAAGGCCAGGACCTTGGGTGCTGGTTAGTCCCATACCCTGCCCTGCCAATTGCACATAACTTCTTGAGGCCTGTTTCTTCACCTTTAAAATGGGGATGTTAAATAATATTACTTTAATCATAGCATCCAGAAACAATAGGCTAGTATCCATAAGAACTAAGAAATTATTAAAGAAGCAACATTTGGAATATTTAAATGCATTTGCAATGTGATATTTCTGACCAAGAGGCAAGGGCAACTCAGAATCTAAGTACCATCACTGAGGCCCAGCATTGGTCTATAAGGTAATAGGTAAGGAGACATGAAGGAACATACTAGACCCAGTGTTCTTTAAAAAATATTAATGGGACATGTAGATTATACCAAGCTAGAAGAAGCAGACCCCAGTGTGGGCATGCAGTAAACACATGAATGATATTAAGAGATTATAGAAATGTGGGTGGGAAAGAATGAAATAGAATTCAACTTGGAAAAATGCAAAGTAATGTATTTGGGAGCAAATAACCAGAAACACATGAGTTTGCAGTGTTTTATGGCAACAGAATTAGCTGGAGACAGAATCATCCTGCCAGTGAATGGAAGATGGATGATCTCTGCACCCCTAGGGGAGGCCACACTTGGAATTCTGAGTTCAAATCTTCCCCTTCAAAAGTAAGAAATGAGAAAGAAAAATAAAAAAGAGGTCAGGAGAATGCCAAACTAATAATTAGGGAATTAAAGATGGTTGATTTAAGATGAGTTTTTAAATTTCACACCGGATGGGCTGGCAGGTATCAGGCTGTGACAAGAACATAGAGCATTGTAGATCAAGTTTAAAAACTGGTGTGAAATTGGGGAATATTAGAGAAGGAGGTGGTCTTAGAAACCTACTCCACCACCCCCACTCCATGTTACAAATGAAGCCAAGATTCAAAGAGTTCAGAAAAGGATGTCATTTATTAAAGTGATTTCTTAAACAATAGAACTGAATAGGAAACCTCAGGGCCTCTTGGTTATTGCACCCCTAGCCCAGTAATTGCACCCCTAGCCCAGTAATCTCTGAATGTGGCATCACTTTGATGTGTTCTTGCCTTTGAACATGAATTTATTCTGCCCTTGTGCTGGTTCCTATCCCCCAGGGCCCTCTCCCTGGTCCTCTGTTTTCTAAAGATTACCCTCCCAGGGCCCACACCATCACCTATAACATGAGCTCCTTCTTCACCACACAGGGAAGGTTCATGCACACAGCCTGGCTGCTGGTGAGGAAGCTTGTTTTAAACACGTCTCTCCTTCAATCAGAATTAGTTTTCCCTCCTGACTGTCCTCTTAGGCCTTTTCCATTTCCACTAAAGCAATGATCACACTGGGTTACAAATCTGTTCATGCTTCCACACCATGACATCTGAGGGGAGGGGCAGTGTCCCAGTCATCTTCACATCTCCAGCATTTAGCTCAAGGCCTGGCATAAGAAAATGCTTTCTCATGGATGTTAAATGAATGAAATATTCTGTTTTCTTCCCATCACTCACTTGCAAACCTCTGTTTCAAGACAGAGATTTTGGGAGGCTATGTGTAGTGGTGGTGTTAAAATGTGACATTATTCACTACTTTCAGACACTTAACACCATCAGAGCAGAAGTCTTTTCCAGAAATCAAACCTAATCAACCCATCAAAATGTATTCGCCCTCCCACCAGCACAACTGATTAGGCAATTCCATCATTTTGCTTTTTCTCAAATGTGTTTTCTATTTCACAATGTATTTCTCCACTAAAGGCAGATTCCATAGTGAAATAAATCAGAAACATTTGGTTAAACAGAAGTAACTTGCTTTTCTTTACCGTCCTGCATATTACGGATCTCAAAGCTAGGGGTTACCCAGTTTGATCTCAGAACCCTTTTCTCATCTGTTAATATATTAGCTTCAGGGAGTCATGTTTTGTGGAAAACATTTTGAAATATGTTGAGCTTTCTGGGCAGGTGACCATGTCACATGTTCTTGTAGTCGTATAAATAGCCAATGCTTACTGTGTGTCAGACCCTGATGCAATACTTTATGTGTATTAACTCATTTAATTCTCATAACCTTATAGGAACAGCTATTACTCTTACTTTATAGATGAAAAAACTGAGGTATAGGGAGGTGAAGAAATTTGCACACCATCACATAGCTAACAAGTGGCAGAAGCAGAATTTGATCCCAAAACTTTGGACTCTAGTGCCCAGTACTTTAAGCTAAAACCCCATTCCCTATAATTATCATCCCAAGTTGACCCCTGGGCACTGTGGAATGATTCCCAGCCCTTATGGCATGCAACCCATTTAAATATTTGAAATATTTCTGTGGCCTCTCTTCTCTGAATCTTCAACTACAATCTACAATCATTCCTCAAATGACAAAGTCTGAAATTCTTCTACCTTCTTGATGATTGGCCTCTGACACATAGAATAGATTCTATGTCCTCAGTAATTTTAGGTCTCAGAAGTAATCCAGCCAGCCTGATGTGGTTTAACTAACACTAAGAACAGTAAATAATTGCCTCTCTCTAGAAACACATTAGGTTTGGGGAGTCTTATTTGTATGTTTGTCTGTTTGGGGTATCCAAATTATAATACTGGCTCATGTTTAGCTAAATAGTAACTAAAACCCCAGGTCAGCAAAGCATGCATTTGAAAATATTTCACAAAAATTTTCACTTTTGTAAATGACAAAAACAATTAATGAGCAAAGACTGCCCCCAGCTAAATGTCCCCACTTAGGCAAATCTGCAAGTATCACATAGGCCTCACTTGGGACAATTCCTGTCTCCCATTTGCACAATTATGACCGTCAGTAACCAGCTGGCAGATGTTACCAGCCCTTTCTGAAGGGAATCATGAGGATACCAGTTATGGCCTGGGAAATGGTTATGTAAGAGGAACTGCTTTTAATGAGGCTCCCACTGACTTAATATTAGAAGCAGTGTGGGAGAGAGGATGAAAGAAGGAAATTAATAATTTTTAAAATTATTAATTAAATTATACAGATACAAAGAAACGTGGGTACAGCTCAATGGACACTCAGAAACATAGCTCCCTCTCTTGTTCCTCTAGAATCACTTAGTTCAGAAAAGCAGATTGTGAGTGGTCCATCACCTACGTAGAATGGTCAGCCCTCCACTTGAATGGGAATTTCCTCACTTGGCAGATGGGGATTGAGTGTCTGTTGGCTAACATTTTTCCTCTAATTACTAATTATACCAGAGAAAGGGGCTTTATGAACAGAGTCCTGGAAATGTGAAATTTGATCAGTAGAGATTTGCAGTAAAGACGGAAGATTGATGTGTGACGTCAGACAGCTGGCCAGGAGGCCCATCGGGCAAGGAAGCTAGCAGCTGCTTACAGCGGATTTGAGAGGGTGGAGGGAGAATCCAGGAAGGGGGGATCAAAACTGGATCTTGGAGAGGAAAGATAAGGAGAACCATGTTAACAATTTTGCTTCCCCCCCTCCCCTTTGTGTCCTTTCAGATAAGAATACATTAATCCTCTGAGTTTGAGGCTATGTCCAACAGGTGGCAAGGCCTATTCCTGCACAGGAGACAGCTGCTGGGACTAAGGGAAGATGCCAGAAAAAGGGAGCTTCAGGTGGGAATCCGCACAGAGCAATTAACCTTCACCCTGAAACACACCGGACTCCACTTCCACCACTCACAAAGGAGAGCACAACACTGAAGGCCAAACACTCAAAGCATTTCCTAGGGCAAGGATGCTGAAAGGGTCATCCAGGGACCAGCTGCAGCAGAATCCCACGCTCTTCTGTTTGACAATGCGGATTCCTGAACCCCAGCCCAGGCCTCCAGAGTCTGAATATCTGTAGGTGGAGTAGTCGCTGCTGCCAGTCACTTTCTCTTACATCATCCCATGTATTTTCTTCTTCACAACTAAACCATTATCTAAAATGATATCATTCATTTACTTGTTTTCTGCCTTCTCCACGTTAGTGTATGCTCCCAAGGAGCAGGAACAACCTGCTCAGAACAGTATCTAGCACAGAGGAGGAGCTTAATAAATAAATCAATAATAGGTGAATTGAAGGGAAAGAGGGAGGAAGGGAGGAAGTTCAGAATGGCTTCCCTAATTAATAATAAAGCTGAGCTGAGCCCAATTCCTATGCCCTGGGGATCTTCAGGGAGCAGAAATCAGGGCAACAGCCAAGAGAAAAGGAGGTTGCTGCCCATCAGGCGTTAAAAACATCAACATAAAAGACTGAGGATTTTATATGAGTAATGAGCCCTTAATGTTCCCACATGCACCCACACACACCACAGACTCCTGCAGGGAAACATATCACCACAGCCAAACACAAAGACCCCACCGCAGCCAGGCAGTGTGCATGGACCAGCCCCTTGCACCTTTGTCTCCGGAAAGCCTTTAGTGCACACCTGTCATTATTCTGAAGTTGCCCTTAAGGCATCAATATGAGGCAAACATTGACCCCTTTAATTTTATTTAGTTTTGTAAAATATTTTTAATTTTAATTTTTCTGGGTACATAGTAGGTATGTATAATTATGAGGTCCGTGAGATGTTTTAATATGGGCATGGCATGCACAATAATCACATCACGGAGAATGGAGTATCCATCCCCTCAGCGTTTATCCTTTGTGTTACAAACAATCCAATTATACTCTTGTAGTTCTTTTAAGCCACCCCGAATTTTAGAACAACAGAAATTAAGGCACTAAAAGTAATGATAGTTTGCACAAAGACAGAAAGTGGGGAAAAGTCTAAAACCTGGCTTTCTTGCCTCATAAACCAACTGTCTCTTCCAACCTTACTGCTTCCTGCATTTTCTCTGATGCTTATTCTTGAAACAGCTACATGCTGTTTGAGGCTTACTTTTGTAACTGGCAAGAAGGGAGGAGGATGTTAGCGTCATACCATGCTCAGTAACACACATTAAATTTAATCTTCCTGTGAACCTTTTTTCCTACTTTTATACAATCAGGTTGATAATATTGATAATACTATCTAAGGAGATGACTAAAGCACTCACAAACACAAGCTAGTGCTCACAAATACGGTGTATTAAAATGTAGCACCTTTCTTATATATACATATAATGCTTTCTTATACTCCTATTCTATTAAATCAGTTTTTCAGATCCCCATCCCCTTGTAATAAACGTAGCCTTCTCCTGATTTGAGTCTCCCATAAATGGGAGGCTCAAGCATCAAGGGCTCTAGGATCTGGCAGGGCTCTGAAGAACCATACAAGCTAAGTCCTCCCCTCCACACTGTCCTGGACAAGGCAACAGAGGTCCAGACACTTCACATGGCATGGGAAACGACATGGCCAGTTCCTGTTTTTTGCATCCAGGACTTCCCATAGGAACCCCAGTGTCTGGCATAATAACTTGGAACACTGAGGCAGGACTTGGTGACACACCTGATATTTGTCCTCTTTATTACTGACTGATTAGACACTAAATCCCTATAACCCCGAGGCTTTAGACATCTTTAGAAATGTCTGCATGTTCTTTTGTCACTACACATATTCCTTCATCCTTAGGGGAGCTATACCCATGTAGAAGCAACCAGAGTCATGGTGGTTATGAACACAAGGGAGTTGTAGGGGACCCTTACTGGGACAGATGTGGAGAGCTGAGTGGCTGAGTTTGCTCTTGCTCCTCCTAAGAAGCTGTGTAAGAAAGACCTCCCTCTCTAATGGGTCGGAGAAGGAAATTTGAAGCCTTGCTCCTGGGAAGGTGACGCTCACTCCTCAGACGCTGCACTATCCTCTTCCACAGCAGCTCTGAGAGGCATCATTGTCACAGCTGTATCAGCCCAGCATCAGCACAAACCAGGAGAGGATAAAGAAGCAGGCCATAAGCAGGTCCTCTCCTCTCATTTGCCAAGGGAAGAAAACTGACAGGCATTCCCTGGTGCAGGACAAAGGAGGCATCAGAAGGCCAGGAGCAAGTGGCTCACTCCTGTAATCCCAGCAGTTTTGGAGGCTGAGGCAGGAGGATCACTTACACCCAGGAGTTCGAGACCAGCCTCAGCAAGACCCCATCTCTACAAAAAATAAAAATAAAAAATAGCCAGGAATGGTGGCACATGCCTGTAGTCCCAGCCACTCAGGAGGCTAAGGTGAGAAGGATCCCTTGAGCCCAAGTTCAAGGCTGCAGTGAGTCACGATTGTGCCACTACACTCCAGCCCAGGCAACAGAGTGAGGCCCTAACTTAAAAAAAAAACAACGACAATAAAAAAGTTATAAGTCTAATGTAGCACCATTCTTCCATTGAGCTGGAGAGCTTTGATAGTCATGGAGCTGGGCTACCAAGTTTGTTGTGTTTTATGTATCTGCTCTCAAAATATTTTTGAGAGCTAAGCAGGATTCAAAATTATTATCTTTTTTTGAGGATAAAACAACTAGGAGTGTCTTTCCCCCTTCTCCACTCAGGAAATTCCTCTTAATTCCTTACAATTCAGCTCATTGTTAAGGACCTCTGGGATGCATTGTCAAATTCCCCTACACAATCTTCTGAAAGGAATGAGTCTCTTTCCTGTGTGCTCCCACGACATTTGGCATACTCCTCAGTGGCAGTGCTGTCCGGTGGGGTGCTAATTATTTGCTTTTCAAGGCTATTTCCTCAAACTGTGCTTCTCTCCAGAGCAGGGGTCAGGTTTCCTTTATCTTCGTAGGCTCTTCCCCTCCTCACCCACCTACCTTTACCTCCCTACCTCCAAGTCTAGTTTTAAAGCCTGGCATATCAAAGGTACTGAAAGAACAGGAGAAAGAAATAAAAGAAGGAAAGTTAAGTAGCTTACCCAAAGTCACACAGAAAGTCAGCATCAGAGTTCTGACATTTACTGCAGCACTCAATTCTAAACTAGGCTGTCATCAGGCTGATTTGATGGTTCACAAAGAGTGATATATTTTTAAGAATGATTTTACTACTAAAGAAATGAAGAACATACAGCCCAGGCCAGTAACTTTTTAAGTATGATTAGATGATGGCTTATGGGCTCCATCTAAGCTTTAAATCAGGATCATTTTCAGGTCTAATGGAAATTACATGGTGGCTTTGGCTTCACAGGGAAGGAACTTGGAGCTAATCAGCCTCGGGAATGCCACCATCTGAGATGCCAGGGCAAAAACAAAGAAATGCCATCGATTAAGAGTCTCCATCAAGAAAGTTCCAAGGCTGCGAGGCTGCTGAGATGAGATGGGACTGGAATCCTAGCCACAGGCTTAATTGCTTTGCAAGAAGCCACAGCTGTTGCTGCAGGGAAGCGCAGGCAAAATCTTGTTTTCTTACTTTCAACTTTCTGCTGACCTTGTTAGAGATTGCTTCTGAACTGCCTGATGCCCATGCCTATCTCGAATGGTATTTCTTCAGTGTCTCGTGTCTTCTCTTTGCTTTTCCTTCTATGCCCAGCACTTAATGTAGTGCCCGAAATGTAATACTCACTTGAGAAATACCTGTTTGATTAATTAAGCACAAGAAGAAGAGTTTTAATACCAAATGACAGTTCCCTGTCACCCAAGAGCAGTACCCCTTTACTTTTTGAACCAAGATTCCTCTTAGTCCTTTCACTAGAATATAGGAACATGAAGAAAGGAGAAATAGCATAAAAAACATTGGAATTTTCTTCAGTCTATGACTGTGTCTGCATCAAAATTTTCCACCCATATTCCATGACCAAATCAACTGTTTTTGAGACTTCTTTCTTTTCCTCTTGTAAATGACAAGCAATCCTTGAATAACAAATGACTTATCCCACATTTGTAAACTCTCTGGCCTTTGAAATAGCTAAAATGACCTAAGGCCTAACAGAAGAGTGGCATGTATGGACTTTACCAGAAGTTGGACCCATGGGGTAAGATCTAGAGAGTTATTGGCTTAAGTGGTGTTAAGCAGCCTATGATTGGAAAATGAAATGAAATAGAATCCCCTCATAGAATCAAGAATAGACAGGCCTCATCCTAAAATAAACAGGCCAAAGAAGCATGGGTGGCAATGGCCTAATCCTCAAACCTGTTCTTCCCCCTTTATTTCACTTAGGTTTCCAAACATT
Organism: Homo sapiens; assembly: GCF_000001405.40. Taxonomy (NCBI): domain Eukaryota; kingdom Metazoa; phylum Chordata; class Mammalia; order Primates; family Hominidae; genus Homo; species Homo sapiens. Next base: position 118,249,001 of record NC_000001.11, on the reverse strand, counting down.
TGTTTCTGCCTTCTATCTGTAGCCTTAGATCCAAACATGTTTTAAGACTCTCTACTCTTAACATTAAGCAATCTGCTGAACTCCTTGTAAAACTCAGTACAGTAGGAAAAAGCTCTGGTTCATAATGAAAATTTTTGATGACTTTGGTTCTTCTGTGTTGTGAAAGGATTTCTACCACTTTATACATTTGGAAATTGGGGTCATCTTTTCCTTGTAGATGAAAAAAATACACTCTTTAGTATATTGCATAAATAATGTTTTTGCATTCACTTCACCAGCAATACAAAAATATTTTCTCTCTCTCCTCTGGAGCAAAGAAAATGATTGGTTTCACCTGGGTCCTCTGAGCGCTACGGGAACTCCAGTGGTTCCCAATGCTTTCCTGGACACGATACAGGGGAAACTTAAATAAAAGAAATATATTCCTCAGAAATATATTCTCCTATAAGTCTACTACATAATAAAAATAGTAATAAATAGCTTACATTAATATAGCACTTTATAATTTACATCATTAATGTTTTGTCAATTGATCCACATCAAAGGAGCTAACTATAAATCATATGGTGTAGACAGATTTTATGGATGACAAAATTTATGTTCTGCAAGCTTAAGCTACTTGCTAGAGATACACAACTAAGCTGAACAAAATTAAAATTCACATTTATTTTGGCCGGGCACAGTGGCTCATACCTCTAATCCCAACACTTTGGGAGGCCGAGGCAGGAGGATCACTTGAGACCAGGTGTTCAAGACCAGCCTGGGCAACATAGGGATACCCTGTATCTACAAAAACTTTAAAAATTAGCTAGGTGTGGTGGCATATACCTATGGTCTCAGCTACTTGGGAGGCTGAGGCAAGAGGATCACTTGAGCCCAGGAGTTTGAGGCTGCAGTGAGCTATGATTGTTCCACTGCACTCCAGCCTGGGTGATAGAGCGAGACCTTGTCTCTAACAACAAGAACAACAAAATTTGTAATTCACATTTATTTTGTTATTCTGGGGATTGTTTCCCTGTTATTTTCCCAACTGTGATAAAGAAACTTAAGAGGATTCATGACGAAACAAGCACATGTTGCCATCAGTGTGTTCTAGGTGAGCAGGGAGTGGGAGGAAGAAAAAGGCTGTATTCCTGAGACAATAGCTCAGATGGTGGTATTGTGTGGCATCATCTGGCCTATTGGTGGCAGCACTGTTTAGAGAGCAAAGTGGATACAGCAGGGCAGGGAAGATACAAAAGGACAGATATTTGCTCCCTGAAATGTTTGATAGTTAGACTTGGCCTAAAAAGCAATGGAAAACTGATACTCAAAGCCTGTCTTTCATCGTGTCTCAAGTCTCTGAGATCAACAATGTCAGGGCTCTGACTTTCTACTTCTAGTTTGGGATATTGCTTCAATATTCGTTTACAGCTGCCACCTCCCGCTGACAGAGCATCACGGATGAAATGAAAAATGAAGACTCCAGCCATTTGTGGTTATTAAAGGCTGTGTAGTACCTTTTACAAGAATTGGGTGATTAACATTCACAATCTTGGCCTATTTCCAACACAGAGGAAAGAACTGTGCTTCCTCATTGCCTGCTTACCCTGCAATTTCCACTGGGTCTATTGCACAGAATCACAGTGGAGGGATGTAGACCCTGGTAGACTGGTCAGGGTAGCGTTGTTGTGAAAAACCCATTCTTACCATGTTTTAATTTAGGACATCTGAGGACCACCTGGATGCAGGAAACCAAATTTACTCCTGCCTTCAAAGGAGGGGAGAATCAAGGCTTTAGGAATAATTTACTTCAATCAATTTCAACTTCACTTCCCTGGGCTGTTTTGTAGAACCAACACCTTTCTCCTCACTGTGAAAGACTCTGACCCTGTACAAGAAGCAGATGCATTTTTCAGAACACCTGGCAATACCTACCTATAGAAGAGGCTTCACTCTAGGCCCTGAATGGCAGTTTTAAGGCTAAAATATTACACCCATATTTTAGTTTCTTTAAAAATAAATCCTCCTAGAATTCCTCTAAATAATAATAAATAGCTTGCCAAACAGCCAGATGACTCTTAGATTATATCTGCAAGTGTAGAGAGAGGGAAAAGAGAAGGAGAAGCAAAAGAGAAATTGTGCCAAGCTTGGGACTCACTCAGATATCATGTGTTTTGAATTTCAAATCTCCTGGTATATCAGTTTGCATATCCTTGGCAAAAAAAAATTGAATCACTCTTAGTATGACATATTAAATGCCTTACTGGACATCAAGCATTACTTATTGAGTGACCTGAGTTGAGTGTAAATGATTCTGAAACAGTGCTAGGTTCAAACTATTCAAGGTTCACAAAGGGAAAACATTATATAGAACATGGGGTTGGGGAACTAAACATATTCCTAGGGATAAAGTAACCCCTTGGCTGTAGTTAGTAAAGTGTTAACAGAAAAGCAGATGCAACCCTAAAAGATTTTGACTTTGGAAAATAAATGTTCACTGGAAGAGATTTTAATTTGTTTCTTTAATAGAAAGACAATAATAAGAATTGATGGTTATTGGTCAAGCAGTTAACTCCCTGGGCTTTTTAATAGCTAATATTTGTGAAATGCATACAGAGTGCAAATTTCTCCTCTAATGATAAAGAAAGTTGTCAAGTCTGTTAATTTTATTGCCATTAATATTATTTTTGAGAAGCAAGCAAATGATGTCAAATTTTCTCAGTAAGTGCTCTGCTTCCTTACTAATTTTTTCCTTTTCATAAACTTCTAACTAAAATATCTTTGTATGCCACTTGGCGGAGTTTTCACCAGGACCACAAAATGATGTCCACTTCAATAATTTTGTTCTGGTCTTGCTCACTTTTACCTGTGCTACTTCCTCCTCTTCCTACCAATGTCTGTTTCTTTTTCCAGTTTGCTTTATGGCATATCTATTAAATACAGGCAACTATCTGCAAAATATTCCCCCTTATCATAGGTTCACAGTAAAGCAAACCCACAAATAACTAAAAAGTAGCGTAGAAAACTTTGAGCACCAAGAAGAGGCCTATGAGACATTATTTGATATTTTTCCCTTTCACTATTGACTAAAAAAAGATGTAAGCACCTTTGGTTGTTTCTTCAATGTCATTAGATTTAGTGTGTAAGGGTTGCTCATAGAGAAGGTCCCGTGTTCTTTTTATATTTCAGAATGATGTTTTTATCAAAGTTGGGCAGTGCATTGGGGGCCATTCTTCCATGCAATGAAGTTCTCAACAGTAATTTTACTGTTCTTAACTAAAATGAGATTGCAGGAAAAAAGTAATCATCTGAAATAAATACATCAAAATTCTTTTTGCTAACAATTAAAATTTTCTTGTCTTTCATTCCTTCAACAATACACATTTTAAAACTGCAATCATAATGGGTCTCTTGAAGCCTGAGTAGAGAGAAGGAAGGAGAGAGGCAGAAGGAACAATTTTAGACATGAAGTACATGGAAGATCTCTCTTCTAAGAAGACAGCTGAAAAGGAAAAACTTAAAGAAATGGGAGAAAAAGCCACAAAGATAATTAGACAAAGAGCATTTGAGGGAGGGGAAATGGCACCTGCAAAGGCCCTGTGGCAAGAATGTTTGTGACACGTTGTAGGAACAGAGGGAGGCCCATGTAACAACAGTTGAGTGGGCAAGGGGAACATAGAAGACTAGAAGGTCAGAGAAGCCTCAAGGGACAGATCACACTGCACCATTAAGTCGGGATAAAGATTTTAGATTTTGAGTGAGATGGAGTGCTAGGTAAGGATTTGAGGAAGAAAGAAGACATGCACGGACAAATTTTAAAAATATCACGTTGGCTACAGAATTGATCATTAGGGAGCAAGGATCGAAACAGGATGAGCATCTAGAAAGATAGCACAAGTCCAAATGACAGAGGACGACGGCTTTGACCAGAAAAAATGCCATGGAGATGCTGAGGTGCAGCTGGAGTCTAGATACCTATGAAGGAAGAACCAGGAGAATTGCTTTGGGTTGGATGTGAGAAGTGCTTGAAAGAGAAAAGACAAGTATGATTCCAAGGTTTTGCCCTGAGAAACTGAAGAAACATTTATGGTATGAGGAAAAATACAAAAAAAACAAGGGTGGAGGCCAATTCAAAGATCAAGGGTTCTATTTTGGGCAAGACAAATTGAAAATGTTTATTGATGTTTAAACAGAGAAATCTATATATAGTTCAGGGGATACATTTGTGAGTCTTCAGTGAAGAGATGGCTTTTAAAGCCATGACACTAGAATGAGACCACCTGAGAGTGACGGTAGTCAGGGAAGAAACCTAAGGACTGAGCCCCAGAAACCCCAACATAAAAGGAGATGCTGAAAATGAGAAGAAACAAGCAAAAAAGAAAGAGTAACCAGACAGAGAATAGAGTGACCAGAACCTAAAAAGGAGTTTCAAAAGCCAAGACAAGTATTTCATCAGAAGCCAGGTCAAATATGCTGACAAGTGAGGAAGATGAGAACTAAGAGGAGCCCGCTTAATTTGGCGACGTGAGGTCACTGCTGAACTTGGAAAAGGCTGTTTTGATGCAGGGGTGGGCCTGAAAGCCATACTGGAGTTGGTTCCAAGGAGTCTGAGAGGGGAATATAAGGAGCAATGAGGAGAGACTACTCACAGTTTCCTGTGAAGGGGAGCAGAGCTGGGCGGTCAACATGAGGTCAAGGCAGCACATTTTTCTAATAATGGAATACAGTATAGCTCATGTGTATGCTAATGTGAATAGTTCAGTAGTGAAGAAAAAATGATGATGTGGGGAAAATGTGAAGGATTTGAGGAGAGATGCTGTATTATTTTGCTGGGCCTGCCATAATAAAGTGCCATAGACTGGATGTCTTAACAACAGAAATTTATTTAATCACAATTTTGGAGGTTGGAAGTTCGAGATCAAAGTGCCAACAGGGTTCATGTCTTCTGAGATTTCTCTGCTTGGCTTGCAGATGTACGTCTCCTTCTGTGAGAAACAAATTCACCTGTCCAAACCAAAGAATGGACTCAGAGACCCCGAGAGCACCGAAAGTGAGACTTTTAGTTACCATCTTGCAAGATCAGGTGTCTGATGGGCAGGCACACCCAGCACAGTTACAACAAGCAATTTATCCCCTAGTGCACAAGTCCCTCCCCCAGTTCCTCATAGGCTGAGTACTATGGGGTTACAATCTTCCCAGATGACACCTATCAGTTGTTGGGTTGGGGCTTTAGGTGTTTTTTGTTTGTTTGTTTGTTTGTTTAGGGTTGTCTTGCTGCATTTTGTTGCAGCCCACAATGCATTGCAATGCTAATCAGCTCAGGAGCTCTTTAAGTATTTGACTTATGACCTAAGCAGCTGAGCAGGTTGATAAGAACAGACAAAGTGAGCTATTTTTCAGGCTAGTAAGTTTTCATCTTAGACTAAACTTTTTTGGTTCGGATGAGGGCAACTCAGGGGGTTGAGGCAGGGGGTGCCTGACAAGCAGGCGTTGGCTATCCAAGCAGGTGCCTAGTATATCCTATTTTTTCTGTAGTTTGCTGACCTAAGCTGATTTAAGTCACTTTGTCTTGGAAAATGACTACTGTACGCATTATTTCCTTCACTTCTGTCTTCACATAATCTTTTTTCTCTGCATGTCTGTGTCCTAATCTCCTTTTCTTATAAAGACACCAGTCATATTGGATTAAGAGCCACCCCAATGACCTCATTTAACTTTAATTACCTTTTTAAAAACGCTTTCTCCAAATATGGTCATATTCTGAGGTATTGGAGGTTAGGACTTTAAGAATATGAGAGTAGATATATGTAGCTTCATAGGTTTGCTAGTGGGAACATATATCTGAAGACAGTCTGATCAGTAGCTGAGAAGAAAATTGGAAGAGACATTAGAGGTTTCAGGAAAAAGAAAAAAAGGTAAAATAGTCACCTGGGATGTGGTGAAGTGACCAATAAAAGGAAATGGAGTGGAATTACTGGGCAGCACCAGGGCTCACCTGAAGTTAGTGGTCACAACTTGAAGGTGAGACCAATCCATAAGGTTGTGTATGTGTGTGTGTCTGTATTCTTCCTCCAGTTATGTTCAGCTGCTTAGGAATGATATGAAGCAGGAAAAGATTTGGGTTGAAGTAGAGTTGTTTTGGTTGAAGCAGAGTTGGATTTTGCTAGATGAATGTGCTGGAAGGAGGGAGGGACAAGTGAGTCGAGTATATATACAAGGTCATAGTTATACCGATAAATCATGGCATCAAAATCAGGAGGAAAAGAGGTGAAGAAGGATAATCAGCAGTGAAAACAGAGTAGGAGCAACAGAGCACAGCTTCCTGTGGAGCAGAGGAACTGTTGGAGACAGAAAACTAGGGAGAGTAGAGAGAATGGGTTAAAACAACAGGACATGCTAGATGTGAAGAGGAGCGATTGAAATGAGGTCTGGAATAGCTGTAGTTATTGATCATGACAACTCTGCACTATAGAAGAATGAGTGGCTTAGTAAGAGTAGGGGAAATCAGAAAACAGATCATTCAGAGCATGCATTGCCCCTAAGGATTTGAAAATGTCATGAATTCTTAGGTGCATAGTTTAAAGAAAGGGGAAAAAATATCCAAGACATAAAGGGGAGTGAGCTATAGATCTGTAGCTGACTCCAACAAGACAGGGTAGTGTTCAGCAGAGCATGACAGCATAAGCTTGCAGTGGGCTGGGCAGGGAGGGCTGGTAGGAGGAAGGAAGGGAGAATGGTCTGGAGGTGCCAATGAAGACTAGTTAGGAAAGAGTAAGGAGGACACCTCAGTCTGCATGGGTGAAGGATAGAAAACAGGCACTGCCTGAGAACAATATAGGGAAAAAGTCCTCAGGGAAAGGCCAGGTTTTGGTAAAGATAAGAAAGTGAAGGCATTGAGAACTGGAAGTTTTTTGCTGAAGACAGTGAGTTTCAGAGGGTGCAGTGAACGTGTCTGGGAGGAGAACTTTGTAAATGGGTCAGTCTAGGGGAAGAGGATCTAGTGACAAGGAATGATCTGAGAGCCTTGGGCCTCCAGTCTGGTTGAGGTACAGGGACATGGGGAGAGAAGACATAAATACTGGCAGTCCCTAATACTGAGATGGAAGGGTTTGTGTTTGGAGTGGAAGGTGGGCAGAGGGTAGTGTGGAGGTTGCTACCTGGCTGCTCCCCTGACACAAATGCCAACTAGGGAGAAGGGGGAAGCAGCAGCATGAGTTAGGTGTCAAGTGCCAAGTGCTGGAATGCAAAGATGTTGCTGCACTTAAGAGCCCAGAGAACCTATGAGAGAAAAAGAGGGAGGAGTCAGGGAATTGTTCAGCCCTGATCCCTATGGAATTACTGTACATTCAACAGTGAGCTGCAGTCCTTCAGAGCATAGATAACAGGTCAAAACAGTGTTGACTCCATCTGTGTGCAGGTGTGACTATAGAGTGGTGAGGATTTTTTTTAATTTTTTTTAATTTTTAATGTTTTATTTCAATAGGTTTTTGGGGAACAGGTAGTATTCAGTTATGTGAATAAGTTCTTTAGTGGTGATTTCTGATATTTTGGTGCACCCAACACCCAAGCAGGGTACACTGCACCCAATGTGTAGTATTTTATCCCTCACCACCCCCCAGGTTTGCCCCCTGAGTCCCCGAAGTCTGGTGTATCATTCTTATGCCTTTGTGTCCTCATAGCTTAGCTCTCACATATGAGTGATAACATATGATGCTTGGTCTTCCATTCCTTAGTTACTTCACTTAGAATAATAGTCTCCAATTCCATCCAGGTTGCTGCAAATGCCATTATTTCATTCCTCTTTATGGCTGAGGGTATTCCTCTTTATGGCTGAGTGTATTCCATGATATATGTTTGTGTGTGTGTGTGTGTATATATATATATATATGTATGTATACATATATACCATATTTTCTTAATCCACTCATTGATTGATAGGCATTTGGGCTGGTTCCATATTTTGCAATTGCAAAATATGTGTTAAACATGTGTGTGCAGGGTATTTTTTTTTACCTAGTAGTGAGATTTCTGTATCAAATGGTAGATATACTTTTAGTTCTTAAGGAACCTCCATACTGTTTTCCATAGTGGTTGGTACTAGTTTACATTCCTACTAGCAGTGTAAAAGTGTTCCCTTTCACCACATTGATGCCAACATCTTTTTTTTTCTTTTGGGCCATTCTTGCAGGAGTGAAGTGGTATCATATTGTGGTTTTGATTGGCATTTCCCTGATAATTAGTGATGTTCAGCATTTTCCCATGTACTTGTTGGCCATTTGTATATATTCTTTTGAGAATTGGCTATTTGTGTCCTTAGCCAACTTTTTTATGGGATTTTTTTTTCTCAGTTTGAGTTATTTGTAGATTCTGGGTATTAGTCCTTTGTTGGATGTGTAGACTGTGAAGATTTTCTCCCTCTCTGGGGGTTTTCTGTTAATTCTGCTGATTATTTATTTTGCTGTGCAGAAGCTTTTTAGTTTAATTCAGTCCCATCCCATCTATTTATCTTTCTTTTTGTTGCATTTGCTTCTGGGTTCTTGGTCACAAAGTCTTTGTCTAAGCCAATGTCTACAAGGCTTTTTCCAATGTTTTCTTCTAGAATCTTTATGGTTTCAGGTCTTAGATTCAAGTCTTTGATCTGTCTTGAGTGGATTTCTGTATAAGGTGAGAGATGAGGATCCAATTTCATTCTTTTACATGTGGCTTGCCAATTGTCCCAGCACCGTTTGTTGAATAGCATGTTCTTTTCTCATGTATGAGTCCGTTCTCATGCTGCTATGAAGAAATATTCAAGACTTGGTAGTTTATAAAGGAAAGAGGTTTAATTGACTCACAGTTCTACATGGGTGGGGAGGCCTCAGGAAACTTACAATCATGACAGAAGGCACCTCTTCACAGGACAGCAGGAGAGAGAATGAGCGCTAAACAAAGGGGGAAGCCCCTATAAAACCATCAGCACTCATGAGAACTCACTCACTATCATGAGAACAGCATGACAAAAAGCCACCCGCATGATTCAATTATTTCCACCTGGTCCTGCCCTTGACATGTGGGAATTATTACAATTCAAGGTGAGATTTAGGTGGGGACACAGAGCCAAACCATATCATTCTACCCCGACCTCTCCCAGCTCTCATGTCCTCACATTTCAAAACATAATCATGCCCTTCCAACAGTCCCCCAAAATCTTAACTCGTTCCAGCATTAACCCAAAAGTCCAAGTCCAAAGTGTAATCTGAGAAAAGGCAAGTCCCTTCTGGCTATAAACCTGTAAAATCAAAAGCAATTTAGCTACTTCCTAGATACAATGAAGGCACAGGCATTGGATAAATACACCTGTTTCAAGTGGGAGAAATTGGTCACATGCAAGTCCAAAATCTAGTGGTGCAGTCAAGTCTTAAATCTCTGAAATGATCTCCTTTGACTCCATGGCTCACATCCAGGTCACACTGATGCAAGAGGTGGACTCCCATGGTCTTGGGCAGCTCCATCCCTATGGCTTTACAGGGCACAGCCTCACTCCCAGCTGCTTTCATGGGCCAGTGTTGAGTGTCTGCAGCTTTTCCAGGAGCACAGTGCAAACTGTCATTGGATCTATCATTCTTGGGTCTGGAGGATCATGGCCCTCTTATCACAGCTCCACAGTGCCCCAGTGGGGACTCTGTGTGGGGGCTCTGACCCCACATTTTCCTTCCACATTGTCCTAACTGAAGTTGTCCATGAGGGCTCCACTCCTGCAGGAAACTTCTGCTTGGACATGCAGGTGTTTCCATACATCCTCTGAAATCTAGGCAGAGGTTCCCAAACCTCAATTCTTGCCGTCTATGTACCCACAGGTCCCACACCACGTGTAGGCCACCAAGACTTGGAGTTTGCACCCTCAGAAGCCACAGCCTGAGCTCTATGTTGACCCCTTTTAGCCACAGCTGGGATGTGGGGCACCAAGTTTTGAGACTGCACAAAGCAGCAAGGCCCTGAGCCCGGCCCATGAAACCATTTTACCACCTAGGCCTCTGGGCCTGTGATGGGAGGGGCTGCCATGAAGATCTCTGACATGTCCTGGAGACATTTTCCCCATTGTCTTGGTGACTAACATTTGGCTTCTCATTACTGATGCAAATTTCCACAGCCAGCTTGAATTTCTTCTCAGAAAATGGGTTTTTCTTTTCTATTGCATTGTCAGGCTGCAAATTCTCTGAACTTTTGTGCTTTACTTATGTTTTAAATGTAAGTTTCAATTCCAAACCATATCTTTATGTGTACACGGAACTGAATTATTTTAAGAGCACCAAAGTCACCTCTTGAATGCTTTGCAGCTTAGAAATTTCTTCTGCCAGCTACTTTAAATCATCTCTCTAAATTTCAAAGTTCCACAGATCTCTAGGGCAGGGGCAAAATGCCACCAGTCTCTTTGCTAAAGCATAGCAAGAATCACCTTTATTTCAGTTCCCAAAAAGTTCCTCATCTCCATCTGAGACCACCTAAGCCTGGATGTCATTGTCCATATCACTACCAGCATTTTGGTCAAAGCCATTCAACAAGTCTCTAGGAAGTTCCAAACTTTCCCACATCTTTCTCTCTTCTTCTGAGCCCTACAAACTATTCAAACCTCTGCCTATTTCCCAGTTCCAAAGTTGCTTCCATATTTTCAGGTATCTTTACAGCAATGCCCAACTCTCTATGGTACCAAGTTACTGTATCAGTTCATTCTCATGCTGCTATGAAGAAATACCCAAGACTCAGTAATTTATAAAGAAAAGAGGTTTAATTAACTCACAGCTCTGCATGACCTGGAGGCCTCTAGAAACATACAAACATGGTGGAAGGCACCTCCTCACAGGGCAGCAAGAAAGAGAATGAGTGGCAAGTGAAGGGCAAAGCCCCTTAAACCCATCAGCTTCATGAGAACTCACTCATTATTATGAGAACAGTATGGAGGAGACTGCCCCATGATCAATTATCTCCTTCTGGTCAAGCCCTTGACAAGTGGGGATTATTAAAATTCAGTGTGAGATTTAGATGAGGAAACAGAGCCAAAACATATCACCCCACGTTATGTTTTCATTTGCTTTGTTGAAAATCAGTTGGCTGTAAGTATTTGGCTTTATTTCTGGGTTCTCCATTCTGTTTCATTGGTCTATGTGCCTGTTTTTATACCAGTACCATACTGTTTTGGTGACTATGGCCTTATAGTGTAGTTTGTAGTCAGGTGATGCTTTGTTTATGAAGGCTCTTTTTGGTTTCATATGAATTTTTGGATTGTTTTTTCTAGTTCTGTGAAGAATGATGATGGTATTTTGATGGGAATTACATTGAATTTGTAGATTTCTTTTGACAGTATGGTCATTTTTACAATATTGATTCACCCATCCATGAGCTTGGGATGTGTTTCCATTTGTTTGTGTCATCTGTGATTTCTTTTAGCAGTGTTTTGTAGTTTTCCTTGTAGAGGTCTTTCACATCCTTGGTTAGGTATATTCCTAAGTTGTTTTTTGTTTTTGTTTTTGTTTTTTCTTTTGCAGCTTGGTCACTGTTAGTCTATAGCAGAGCTACTGATTTGTGTATGTTAATTTTGTATCCTGAAACTTTGCTGAATTCCTTTACCAGTTCTAGGAGCTTTTTGAATGAGTCTTTAGGATTTTCTAGGTATACAATCATATCATCAGCAAACAGTGACAGTTTGATTTCCTCTTTACTGATTTGGATGCACTTTATTCTTTCTCTTGTCTGATTGCTCTGGTTAGGATTTCCAGTACTATGTTGAATACAAGTGGTGAAAGTGGGCATCCTTGTCGGGTTCCAGTTCTCAGCAGGAATGCTTTCAACTTTTCCCCATTCAGTATAATGTTGGCTGTGGATTTGTCATAGATGGCTTTCATTACCTTAAGGTATTTATCTTCTATTCTGATTTTGCTAAGGTTTTAATCATAAAGGATGCTGCATTCTGTCAAATGCTTTTTCTGTGTGTGTTGAGATGATAATGGGACTTTTGTTTTTAATTCTGTTTATGTGGTGTTTCACATTTATTGACTTACATACATTAAACCATCCCTGCATCCCTGGTATGAAACCTACTTGATCATAGTGGACTACCTTTTTGATATGCTATTGGATTTGATTAGCTAGAACTTAGTTGAGAATTTTCACATCGATGTTCATCAAGGATATTGGTCTGTCATTTTCTTTTTTTATTATGTTCTTCCCTGGTTTTGGTATTAGGGTGATACTGGCTTTAGGATGATTTAGGGAGGATTCCCTCTTTCTCTACCCTTTGAAATATTGTCAATAGGATTGATAACAATTCTTCTTTGAATGTCTGAAAGAATTCAGCTCTGAATCTGTCTGGTCCTAGAGTATTTTTGTTGTTGTCCATTTTTTATTACCATTTCAATCTTGCTGCTTATTATTGGTCTGTTCAGAGATTCTATATCTTCCTGGTTTAATCTAGAAGGGTTGTATATTTCCAGGAATTCATCCATTTCCTCTAGGTTTTCTAGTTTATGCACGTAAAGGTGTTCATAGTAGACTTGAATAACCTTTTGTATTTCTCTGGAATCAATTATAATATCTCCCATTTCGTTTCTAATTGAGCTTATTTGGATCTTCTCTATTCTTGGTTAAACTCACTAATGGTCCATCAATTTTATCATTTCAAACAACCAGCTTTTTGTTTCATTTATCTTTTGTAATTTTGTTTTGGGTGTGGATTTGGATTTGGATTGTTTCTGTTTCTCCAGTTCCATGGTGTGTGACTTAGGTTGTCTATTTTTGCTCTTTCAGGCTTCTTGATGTAAGCATTTAATGCTATGAACTTTCCTCTTAGCATTGCTTTTGCTGTATCCCAGAGGTTTTGATACGTTGTATCACTATTATCATTCAGTTCAAAGAATTTTTTAATTTCCGTCTTGATTTCATTGTTGACCCAATGATCATTCAGAAGCAGGTTATTTAATTTCCATGCATTTGCATGGTTTTGAGGGTTCCTTTTGGAGTTGATTTTCAATTTTATTCCACTGTGGTCCTAGTGAGTACTTGATATAATTTCAGTTTTCTTAAATTTACTGAGACTTGTTTTGTCTATGGTCTATCTTGGAGAATGTTCCATGTGCTGATGAATAGAATGTATGTTCTGCCGTTGTTGGATAGAATGTTCTGTAAATATCTGTTAAGTCCATTTGTTGTACAGCATAGTTTAAGTCCATTTTTTGTTGTTGTTGTTGTTGTTGTTGTTGACTTTCTGTCTTGATGACCTGTCTAGTGTCTCAGTGGAGTATTAAAGTCCCACACTATTATTGTGTAGCCATGTATCTTATTTCTTAGGTCTAGTAGTAATTGTTTTATAAATTTGGGAGCTCTGGTGTTAGGCGCATATATATTTATAATTGTGATATTTTCCTCTTGGACTAGTCCTTTAATCATAATATAATGTCCGACTTTGTCTTTTTTAACTGTTGTTGCTTTAAAGTTTGTTTTGTCTAATGTAAGAATAGCTACTCCTGCTTGCTTTTGGTGTCCATTTGCATGGAATATATTTTTCCACCCCTTTACCTTAACTTCATGTGAGTCCTATGTGTTAAGTGAGTCTCTTGAAGACAGGAGTAACTTGCTTTGTGAATTCTTACCCATTCTGCTATTCTGCATTTTTTAAGCACAGCATTGAGGCTATTTACATTCAATGTTAGTATTGAGATGTGAGATACTATTTTATTCATCAAGTTACTTGTGGCCAGAATACCTTGTTTTTTTAATACTGTGATATTGCCATATAGGCACTGTGAGATTTATGCTTTAAGGAGGTTTTATTTTGGTGTATTTCAAGGATTTGTCTCAAGATTTAGAGCTTCTTATAGCAGTTCTTGTAGTGCTGGCTTGGTAGTGGAGAATTCTCTGAGCATTTGTCTGGAAAAGACTATATCTTTCCTTCATTATGAAGCTTAGTTTCACTGGGTACAAAATTCTTGGCTGACAATTGTTTTAAGGAGGATGAAGATAGGGCCCCAATCCCTTCTAGCTTGTAGGGTTTCTGCTGAGAAATCTGCTGTTAATCTGATAGATTTTCCTTTATAGGTTACCTGATGCTTTTGCCTCACAGCTCTTAAGGTTCTTTGTCTTGATATTAGATAACCTGATGACTATGTGCCTAGGGAATGATCTTTTAGTGCTAAATTTCCCAGGTGATTTTTGAGCTTCTTCTATTTGAATATCTAGATCTCTAGCAAGGCTGGGGAAGTTTTCCTCAATTATTCCCTCAAATATGTTTCCAAACTTAGATTTCTCTTCTTCCTTGGAAACACAATTTGTTTTCAGGCTTGGATGTTTAACATAGTTTCCATACTTCTTGGAGGCTTTGTCTATTTTTTAAATTCTTTTTTTCTTTGTCCTCGATGGATTGGTTTAATTTGAAAGTCTTGTCTTTGAGCTCTGAGGTTCTTTCTTCTGCTTGTTTGATTCTATTGCTGAGACCTTCCAGTGTATTTTACATTTCTCTGTGTCCTTGATTTCCAGAAGTTGTGATTGTTTTTTATTTATGCTATCTATTTCACTAAAAATTTTCCTTTCATGAACATTCTTCTGTATTATGGTTTAGACTCCTTTCTTGGACTTTACCTTGGTCTAGCATCTCCTTGATTAGTTTAATAATTGAGCTTCTGAATTTTTCTTCTGGCGATTCAGAAATTTTGCCTTGGTTTTGATCCATTGCTGGTGTGCTGGTATGATCTTTTGGGGGATATTAAAGAACCTCATTTTGTCATATTTCCAGTATTATTTTTCTTGTTCCTTCTCATTTGGGTAGACTATGTCAGAGGAAACATCTAGGATTCAAGGGCTGCTTTTCATATTATTTTGTCCAATGGGGTGCTCCCTTGATATGTATTCTCTCCCTTTCCCTAGGAATGGGGCTTCTTCAGAGCTGAACTGTAGTGATTATTATTGCTTTTCTAGATCTAGCCACCAAGTGGAGCTAGCAGGCTCTGGGCTGGGTACCAAGGTGTGAATGTCTGAAAAGAGTCCTGTGATGTGATCCATCTTTGGGTCTTTCATCCATGCATATCGGCATCTGCTCTGGTGGAGGTAGCAGGGGAGTGAAGTGGACTCTATGATGGTCCTTGGTTGTGTTTTGTTCAGTGTGTTGGTTTTGTGTTGGTTGGCCTCCAGCCAGCAGGTGACGCTTTCAAGAGTACATCAGCTGTCATCCTATAGGGAGGATGCAAACTTGCCCTAGAGACACCTGGTTAAGTATTCACATTTCTCAGGTGGTAGGCAGGGCCAAAGAACTCCCAAGAGATTGACCTTTGTCTTGGCTACCAGGGTCAGTAGAGAAAGACCTCAGGTTGGGGCAGGGATAAGGGTGTCTGAGCTCAGCCTCTCCTTGGGTAGGGCTTGCTGTGGCTGCTATGGGAGATGGGGGTGTGTTTCCCAGTCCAATGGAGTTATATTCATTCGCAGGGGGATTATGGCTGCCTCAGCTGAGTCATACAGGTCGCCAGAGGAGTTGAGGGAAGTCAGTAGTCATAGGTCTCACCCCACTCCCACACAGCCTACAGCCCTAAAGCCCAGTCTCACTCCCACCATGACCCTGCAACAGTGTGTCTGGAGTTGGTTCCTTCCAGTGGGTTCATGGTCTCACTGACTTCAAGAGTGAAGCCACAGACCTTTGCGGTGAGTGTTACAGCCTTTAAAGGTAGCACAGACCCAAAGAGTGAGCAGCAGCAAGATTTATTGTGAAGAGCAAAAGAACAAAGCTTCCACAGCATGGAAGGGGATGCAAGCAGGTTGCCACTGCTGGCTGGGATGGCCTACTTTTATTCCCTATTTGTCCCCTCCCATGTTCTGTTTCTGTCCTATCAGAATGCCCTTTTTACAATCCTCCCTGTGATTTGCTACTTTTAGGATCCTGCTAATTGGTACATTTTACAGAGCGCTGATTGGTACATTTTACTGAGTGCTGATTGGTGCATTTTACAATCCTCTTGCTAGCTACAGAGCACTGATTGGTGCATTTTTACAGAGCACTGATTGGCTCATTTTACAATCCCCTTGCTAGCTACAGAGTGCTGATTGGTGCGTTTTTACAATCCTCTTGTAAGACAGAAAAGTTCTCCAAGTGCCTACTCGACCCAGGAAGTCCAGCTGGCTTCACTTCTCAATCCCCCCTCTAAACAGGACACCCCAACTGCTATTGGGAATTGGGCGATGACTGCTCTAGTTACTTCCTGCTGGATAGGGGCAAAGAAGGGGCCCTGCAGTTGTAGTGTCCTCCAGAGGGGAACTACCTAGGCCAGTCAAAGGGCCAGTGGGTCAATCCAGGAATCCTCAGTAGAAGTTGTGAGTTGAGCTCATTTGGGGTTCCATTTGTAAGACCATCTGTAGCTTGATGCCCTTGATCCTGGAGGAAACAAATTTGACAAGGAGGTTAAAAATAGAGGGCCCAAAGGCGAGTAATAGCAAGATAGCTGTCACCGGACCTAGAAAGGGGAGAAGCCATGTCACCCATCTCTAGAGTTTGGCATAAGAGTTTGAGAGGAATTGTCTGATTTCAGAAGCCTTTTGCTATAAATGCCAGGTGGTGTCTCTTACTATCCCTGATTGGTTAGTGTAAAAGCAACACTCTTCCCCTAAGAAGGTGCAAAGTCCTCCTTTCTCAGCAGTGAGGAGGTCTAGGCCTTGGCAGTTTTGGAGAGTCACTGCTGCCAAAGAGTCTATTTGGGATTCTAGAGTAAGGATAGATTTTGTTATTTCTCACAAACTGTCTGAGAAATCCTTTGAGAGTGTGTGGTAGTAGGATAGTGAAATGAACAAACCAGCTATTCTAGTTAATGTAGCAATGGCCATTCCTAACCATATAAGTAGGGGTATTAGTTGTATGGCCCTGTGCTGATGGACTTGAGCTTTGAGGGGCACTGATAGGGTCTGATTTCCTGGGGCAATGTCAATGTTGGGACTTAGGAAGACTAAGGTCCGGGTGCCTGTCCAGTTGGTGGGGAGGAAGATATAGGTTGAAGTTCCACATAAGAATATGCCTTGGCTGGATAGACAGAACTGGTTGTGTATGTTAAAAAGGTGTGTGAGTTTGTTGTTTTCATTTTCCCATACTCCTAGAATACTTGCAAGGTAGCTCCGGTGAGCAGCTGGAAAGAGGATTGGGAGCAAACCGAGTGGTTTCCTGTGTTCTATTTTCCCACTGGAGAAAAAACCGTTTTGTATCTACTAGGAACCATTCAAGAGAGTAATTGAAAGAGGGGATGAGAAGGCATTCACTAGTGGTGGGGGCACTGCTTCAGGGGGTCCAGAGGTCCAGAGGTGAATGGTGATACAGGGAGTATGTTTGCCATTACAAAACACAGGCTGTTTGTTAAGCAGGGAGGAAGTGATGATTTTTGGGGGCCCTGAGAAGTGGGCAAGCCATCTGAATGTAGCTGTTTGGGAGACTCGGAAGTTACTATGACCAGCAGGGGCTGGAAGTTGTAGGGTGTAATTACACTGATGGGATAGTAGGTGTCCTAGAGGCAGGCCTGATAACAGTTGCATTGGATGCATAAAGGGGCTTGGAAAGTTAAGATGGTATTCATGGTTACAGGGCAGTGTATGGTTTTTTCATTGCTCATGTAATAGGTGATGTTGGCTAAATGCCAGTCCTCTGTGGGATAGTGCCCTATTCTTTGTTCCCCCAGAGGGTCCTTATGGTGGACCAAGAGATTATTCCTTTGGCACACCTCACAGGCTTTGACTACTTGTGGGATGGTCCAGAGGAGATTTGGCCCTGTAAATAGGGATTCAGCCACTTGAGTGTTCTCAATACACATATGAAAAGTTTAGTGGAGGGTTTTAAGTATTTTCCACTGGCTGGCTTCGGGTATGAGTGCCTTTCCCTCTTCTGTCATTAACCACCCTGAGGGGAGAAAACTATGCCCCCGTGAAAGTCCCCATTCTATTTCAGTCAGGGAGTACTGGGGCTTAATCTCTTAGAGATGGTTGTTCCATACCAAGGATCTTTCCATAGGTATTTCTAATGGGAGATTCCTCCTGGCAGCAATTTTGGCCTCAGTGTCTGCCTGACAGTTTCCTTCTGCCTTTTCTCCTTCACCATTTTAATGGCTTTGACAGTGTAAGACTGCCACCTCCTTGGGTTTTCACACTGCATGCAATAACTCCATGATTTCCTTGTAGTATCTAATGGGGGCTCCCCCAGAGGTTAGGAACTCCCTTTCTTTCCATATTGCAGCATGGGCATGTAGGATTAGATAAGCATACCTGCTATCTGTATACACATTTATTCTTTTGTCCTTTCCCAGTTCTAAGGCTTGGGTAAGCACCACTAGTTCTGCTAACTGGGCACTGGTCCCTGTGGGAAGAGGCTTACTTTCAACTACTGTTACATCACTAACTATAGCATAATCTGCCCTTCATATCCCATTCTCCACAAATGAACTTCCATTGGTATGTAGGTTAAGGTCAGGATTAACTAAGGGGACTTCTAAGAGATCCTCTCTGGAGGCATAAGTCTGGGCTACAATTTATTGGCAGTCACGTTCAATTGGTTCTCCATCTTCTGGGAGAAAAGTGGCAGGGCTGAGGACTGCAAGTGTGCATATTTGAAGCACCAGTTCCTCAAGGAGTAGCACCTGGTATCTAAGCAGGCAGTTGTCTGATAGCCATAAACTTCCTTTGGCACCTAGTATGCCATTTACATCATGAGTAGTCCAGATGGTGAGACCCTTTCCTTGTGTTATTTTGATAGCCTATGATACTGAGATGGCCACTGCTTCAACTACCCATAAACAGTGAGGCCAGCCTTTTGCTACTACTTCAATTTTCTTACTTAGGTATGCCACTGGCTGTGGGGTTGTCCCACGAGTCTGAGTAAGGACTCCAAGAGCTATTCCCACTGTCTCTGTGATGTATAAAGATAAGTTCTGTCCTGTGGGAAGGCTTAAGGCTAGAGCTTGTACTAGGGCCTGCTAAGGTTTTGAAGGCTGTTTCTGCCTCTGATTCCCATTCTACTAGATGAGTATTTGCCCTCTGGGTCTCCTTGATTATAGAGTGGCCTGGCCATCTCACTGTATTCGGGGATCCATAGTTGGCAAAAGTTGGTGATTCCAAGGAACCCCCACAACTGTTTTAATGTCTTAGGGTGAGGATAAGCCAGTATAGGCTGTATTTGTTCCTTGCTGAGGGCCCTGGTTCCTCTGGCTAAGATTAGGCCTAGATATTTGACTTGTTGTAGGCAGAGATGGGCCTTCAATTTAGATGCCTTGTACCCTTGATTAGCTAGAAAGTTCAAGAGATCTAGAGTAGCCTGCTGGCATGAGGTTTCCAAACTGGTAGCCAAAAGTAAATCATCCACATACTGAAGGACCAGAGTGTCTGGACTTGAGAAGTGGTCTAGATCTTGGGCCAGTGCCTGACCAGACAGATGAGGGCTATCCCTAAACCCTTGAGGCAAGATCATCCATGTGAGTTGGGCTGTGTGGTCTGTGGGATCCTCAAAGGCAAAGAGAAACTTGGAGTCAAAGTGCAGGGAATGCAGAAGAAGGCATCCTTGAGGTCCAGAACAGTGAACCATTCTGTTTCCTCTGGTATTTGAGATAGCTGGGTATAGGGGTTGGGTACAACTGGATATAGAGGAATTACTGCCTCATTGATGAGTCTAAGATCTTGCACTAGTCTCCACTGACCATTCAGTTCTTGTACTCCTAGAATTGGGGTGTTGCAGGGACTGCTGCATTTTCTTACTAAGTCTTGAGCTTTTAAATTTCTAACAATATCCTGTAATCCTTTATGAGCTCCAGGCCTTAAGGGATATTGCCTTTGATAAGGAAAAGTGGTGGGGTCTTTTAGCCTGATTTGTACTGGCTGGGCATTTTTTGCCTTTCCAAATTGTCCTTCCAATGCTCAGACTTCAGGGTTGATTCCCTCCTTAAGTAGGGAACAACAAATGGGTAACTTGTTCCCCATATTCATATAGATAAAAGCTTCAGCTTTGGCTAATATGTCCCTCCCTAATAAGGGTGTTGGACTTTCAGGCATAACAAGAAAAGCATGTGAAAAGAGAAAAGTCTCCCAATTACAACTGAGGAGGTGGGAGAAATACCTGGTTACAGGCTGTCCCAGGATTCCTCGGATGGTAACAGACCTTGAGGACAGCCATCTGAGGCAGGAGATTAACAGTGAGAAGACTGTGCCAGTGTCCAGGAAGAAGTCAATTTCCTGGCCCTCAATAGTTAAATGTACCCCAGGTTCTGTGAGGGTGACAGCATGAGCTGGTCCTTGCCCTGAGCACCCTCAGTCCTATTGTTGAATCATCTTGTTGGGGGCTTCTGGCCCAGAGAACCTTTGTCCTCTGGGGCAGTGTGCTTTCCAATGATTGCCTTGGTGTAGTGGACATGGGCGAGGGAGCAGCTAGTTTTTCTTTGGACAATCTTTTTTTAAGGTGTCCTTGCAAACCAGACTGATAACAAGCCCTACCAGGTGATTGGCCTGTCCCATTTTCTGTACTCTCTTAACCACCAAGATTTGTTTGTCTGAGGGCCATGACTAAGGCTGTGGCCTTTCTCCTATCTCACTTTTCCTTTTTGACCTGTTTCTCCTGGTTCCTATTATAGAACACCAAGGTTGCCAGGTTTAATGATGCCTCCAGATGTTGTTCAGGGCCCAGGGCTAGCTTTTGGAGCTTTCTCCTGATATCTGTGGCTGATTGGGTACTAAACTTATCTTTTAGGATCAATTGACCCTTGAGAGAGTCAAGTGACAGGGGAGTATATTTACTTAACGCCTCCCATAGCTGCTCAAGGAAGGTGGAGGGATTTTCTTCCTTTCCCTGAGTTACGGTGGACATCATTGAATAATTCATGGGCTTTTTCCTAATTCTCCTTAGTCCTTCTAGAACACAGGTCAGCAGATGTTTACAACTCCAGTCCCCATGATCTGAGTTGAGGTCTCAGTGGGGATCCATACTGGGCACGGCTTGCTGACCAGTAGGGAATTTGTCCCTTTATTCAGCTGTCCTTCTATAATTTACTAGACTAAGATACCAGGTATCTCCAAACTCTCAGGCTGCAGCTAAAGCTGCATTCTTTTTGTTAAAGGCCAGGGTTTGATTTAACAATAGCATGACATCTCCCCAAGTGAGGTTGAAAGTTTGCCCTAGACCCTGTAGGACATCTATATACTAGCAGGATCATCTGAAAACTTCCCCAGGTCTACCTTGATCTGCTTTAAATCGGAGAGGGAGAAGGGGACATGTACGCGGGTTGGGCCAAATTCCACCCCCCCAAACAGCTTGAAGGGGATATAACTGATAGCCCGGGGGGTTTTGTGGTCCCTTGGAGATTTCTTTCCTTGTTTCCTTCTTGGTGGGGGAGATTAGAGGAGGCTTATCACTAATAGGAAGAGGAATTGTAAGGAGGCTAGGATGTGGAGGTAAGCTGAGATGTCCTCCTGTGGGATGTAAATTGTAAGCTTTGCATAGTTGTGGATTATCCTTCAATGAAAAGAAAGCTTGGACATAAGGTATTTCACTCCATTTGCCTTCCCACTTACAGAAAAGGTCAAGCTGCAGGATAGTGTTATAATTTATACTTCCCTCAGGTGACCATTTTTCCCCATCAGAGAGAGAATATTGGGGCCAGGCCAAAGGGCAGAAAAAATAAGCTGCTTCTTTTTCAGGATTTGTGGGTCATTGGTCCCAATGGCTTAGGATGCATTTCAAGGGTTAGCCTGTTGATGCCTGAGTGTTTCCCATCTGAAAGAAAAAAACACCCATGTTTTTTTTGTTGTTGTTTTTTCCCTGCCCAAGAACCTGCAATGGTCCCTGGACCCTGCTGTTCAGAATAGTTGCACTCACCGAAGCAGCAGCAGAAACACTAGTTTTCCTCCTAGACCACAAAGAGGACTGAGGAAGGTCAGATTTAGTGGCCCTTACCAATGCTTTCTCAAAAACCTGCACCTTTGCCTTTCCTCTTAGACCACAAAGAGGACCAAGAAAAATCGGATTTAGTGGCCCTTACAGATGCATTCTCGAAAACCTGTTAGAGTCCTAAACGTTCTCTCCTGTTAGTATTGGGACCTTACCCTTGTCCTATAAAGATGATATGCCTTGAAATGGAGTGGAGAGCCATACCTGAGGGAGGGAAGGGATCAGGGTTGAAAGAGTGACACCTTTTGTCCTCACTTCTCACCATATGAATAGGAAGGATGTCTACCCCAATTTTGGAGTCTATAATTTCTGAGGCTCCCCATACCCTAGCATTGGGAATAGACTTTGTTAGGCCTGCTAGTCTGAGGAGGAATCCTAAAATTCCAGATAGTCCCCCTACTGACAAGGCTTTGGGCAAAAATTATGTCTTTCTGATTGGCGAGGCTGAGTGCCTAAAGAAGGGAACAGGGTCTGGAAATTTATACTAGAAATCATTCTTATAGGAGAAACTAGAAAAGCACCAGAGACAGGGAGTGTTTTTTAGAAGCAAGACTAGCCTCAGAAAAGAGAAGCAGGAGGAAGTTTGTCTGACAGGCTTTAGGACCCAGGAGGCAAGGGTCAGGAAAAATAGGATAGATGGACAAATCTTGTTTGAGACACGTAACTTTGAGAGTTCTGCTCATGGCTGTAGGGCCAACCAACTTTTTATCAGGACCCCAGAGCTGAATGGCTTTCCTCTTGGTCTACCCTCAGCTCAGCCTGGAAGTACAGAAAAAGTGGAAGCTGGTTCCAGGCAAGCCAACACTCCCAACTCTGAAAAGTTGGGGGTTGTTACAGAGCCCTTTCCCAGAAAGCCTGACACCCATGTCTTTAGTCCAGCAGCCATGCTAGTCACTTTTAACTGGCCGACAGGTGCCCGGTGGTTAGCCCCTGAATTCTAAGTAAAAAAAGACAGAATAGCAAGTGAAAGGGGTCCAATGGGACTCACCGCATGGTGATATCCTAGACAAGCCCCTAAGATGTGTCCAGAGTTGGTTCCTTCCAGTGAGTTGTGGTCTCTCTGACTTCAAGAATGAAGCCGTGGACCTTCATGGTGAGTGTTACAGCTCTTAAAGGCGGCATGGACCCAAAGAGTGAGCAGCATCAAGATTTATTGTGAAGAGCAAAAGAACAAAGCTTCCACAGCTTGGAAGGGGACCTGAACGGATTTCCACTGCTGGCTTGGGTGGCCAGCTTTATTCCCTATTTGTCCCCTCCCGTGTTCCATTTCTGTCCTATCAGAATGCCCTTTTATCAATCCTCTCTGTGATTGGCTACTTTTGGGATCCTGCTGATTGGTGTGTTTTACAGAGCGCTGATTGTTGCATTTTACAGAGCACTGATTGGTGCGTTTTACAGAGCACTGATTGGTGCATTTTAAAGAGCACTGATTTGTGCACTTTACAATCCTCTTGCTAGCTACAGAGCACTGATTGGTGCATTATTACAGAGCACTGATTGGTGCGTTTTTACAACCCTCTTGTAAGACAGAAAAGTTCTCCAAGTCCTCACTGGTATGTTCCTGTGGTAGGTCTTGGAGCAAAAGTTCATGATGTGCGTCTCCACACGTTGGTTGCTCTGTCCTTCTGAGCATGAACTGCAAGGTAGTACTGCCTCCTATCCTCCATCTTAATCCAGTGGGGATTATTTTTAATGTGGCTTATCAATTTTATTTATTGCCATTCTTTGATGTTCCCATAAACATTATGATTGCCTGCCAGGAAATTATACTCAAAATAGGCTTATGGGCACTTAGAATAGTGCCGAGGAAAAAATGATAATTAATAGTACTGAGCTAAAGGTAAGCCTTTATCCCTTTCCAAATGTGAGGCATAGATGTCCTAGTTGGTTTTTTTTATTTTTTAAAGATAACATTCAAATGTTGCTACCTTTCTGCTGAATTACTTGAGTAGAACCACTTCAGCAACTTGTATGTGCATGTGTGTGTGTGTGTGCATGTGTGTGTGTGTGCATGTGTGTGTTCATGTGAAACATTCAACTAATGCTCAAGCAGCCCTTACAGTGCTTGGAACTTACAAATGAAAGCTTTCCTCTAGGAAGCATCTCTCAGGGAAATAGGTGCAAGAGGAATACTGATATTTTAACCTTTGCCTCACCTTAAATTTTCAGCAAAGCACAGTGTTACTTCCTTTTAGTGCTAATTTTGGAGTAGTTACTATTTGTCTTCCTTATATCCTGCTTGATATTTTCCTTCTACAGTTGGGAATTAGGGATTCCAAACACCAGGAGGAGAGGAAAAGCTTCTATTCTCCTCCAACATTGTACTCGAGAACAGACCTCTCTGAATGTAGCTAGATTCTGCAAACTTCCCTAGCATCCAACTTCCTCCTCCAAAAAAAGGAAAACAATACAGTTATGTATTTATTTATTATGTTTACTTATTTGAGACAGGGTCCTGCTCTGTCACCCAGGATGGAGTGCAATGGAGCAATCTTCAGTCACTGCAACCTCCACCTCCCTCTTGGGTTCAGGTGATCATCCCGCCTCAGCCTCCCAAGTAGCTGGGACTACAGGCACACACCACCACATCTGGCTAATTTTTGTATTTTTTGTGGAGACTGGGTTTTGCCATGTTGCCAAGGCTGGTCTCAAATTCCTGGACTCAAGGGATCTGCTCACCTCAACCTTCCAAAGTACTGAGATTATTGGCATAAGCCACCATGCCCAGCAGTTACTTAGATGCTTATTTTATGTTCTTGCATATCCTGCTAAAATATAAACTCACCGAGAGCAAAAGACACATATTAGTGTTTTGTAAGCATCCCCCATTCCTCCACCACCCTCAGAATATGCTTAACAAATATGTTTGGAATTCAATCTGCATTAAACTGCTGATCTATCAATAAAGAATCCATCCTCATTCTTATCTCCTTGAAGAAAGGAAGGCAAATCTATACAGCAAAAAATGGATCAAACCAAGGATCCTCACAAGACCTTGGCTCTTAGAGCTTCTAGAATCAGCTATTGAACAACTATCAACTTAAGTGGATAGCTGATGCATAAACAGTTAAGAGAACCGCAGGTATTCAAATATTCCCAATGCAGGTATTTGAATGATGTTGTTAATTGTCCCAAGTGTGCATTTTTAATAGCATATACTCATACATATACAAACACAATGAATATACATAGTTTTTATTCCCTCAAACCCAGGGAAACAGATTACTGTGAATCTACTACTCTAATCTCTCACCTGTGGTCACTTGGTGGCCACAAACACCTGTTCTTCTCTAGGTCTCACTGAAAATATCTACAAGTGGTGGAACTGAGATTTACAGCTATCAACCTTGACAGTTTAGTCACCAATAAAAGCAGCTCCTCTATGCCCCACACTCACTCCACCCCAGGCTGAGTCCATCAAAGGTGCTGTGTATTTCATGCAAATTTCCATGACAGCAGCTCTATGTGGTCCACGCATAGTTTGCCTGAGCAAGGGACAGAAGGTCTATCCTCTTCCTCCCAATGAGCTGATCCTATTTCTCCTAACAACTGGTATGGGGCTGCCCCCTGGAGGTTTAAGAAAGCCTGTTCCCTTCAAGGCAGGCTAGAGGGTCTAACTAGAGGCATTTCAGATGTTGAAACTGGCAGACATCATCTGACCACCTAATCCAACCTTTCAGAAATGAGGATATCCAAGTTCAAACATAGGGAATCAACATGCGCAGATGCAATACTTTTCAAAGAGCCCACCGAGCAATGTGATCACCAGGAAACTAACTTACTGCAGCTTTTTAAAACTAGGGAAAGTGGCCTTACATTACCTACTTAAGATCCAGATTGTTCAGGGAGTTCGTTTCTTGATAGCATTTGTTGAACATCTACTGTAGATAAGACCATGACCTCCAAATGTGTATATATGCTATGCCTAGAAAAGCCATTATGTTTGGATATCAGTGATTTTCTCCAGCTGGCAGGATAATAATTGATTTCTGTTTTCTCTGAGAGAATCAATGAAGAAAAAGAAAAGGAAAAGAAAGCACACTATTGGAATCCTAGGAGGCAGATTCCAGTTCTTCTTAACTGGTGAGTTTGAAACCAACACAAGCATTAAAGAGAAAGGAAAAAAAAAAAGGCATTGGCCTGTAACTGGTGCATATAAGATTCTTGTGCTCCCCTATAGAGGGAAAAAATGATTTAAGATTTGTTATCATTTCTAAGCAACAACATACTCTTGAACTCATTTTGAAATAGCTACAACTCTATTTTTTTAAGATGTAAGTTGCTGGACTTTATTGCACATTGACTTAAACTGAAAGTTGTCCAAATGCCTTTGAATAAGAGATTTAAAGATGAGGGCCATACCACTTTCAGAGGGAGACTTTCCTTCTCAGTGGAACTAAGCGGTATTTCCAAAATATCTGGCTGGATCTTAAAAGTCATTCATGACAGGTGATAATTGATTACATATTGAGTTTTGCCAGAAACTCTAATGTCATTGGCATATAGAGACATAGCATTAACACAGTGTGTATGTGCAGAGGACTGGAACACAAATAGAAGGCTTCATAAATTAAATTTAATGTTTCGTAGCTCTTCTTTAAACAAAGTAGGTGTGGAAATTATTTTAAGTTAAAATTTATTTCTGTGCAAAACAAAAATCAGTCTCTAAGTGTATATGGGGAATAAGAAAGCAGAATTTAAGGTCAAGTGTAACACTAATTGAACGTTAAAAGAAAGAAAATATGTTTTAATATTTAAAAGAGTCAAATATTGAAATTTCAAATAATTTCAAACATGGGCTACACATAAAATAATAATAAGATAATTATGACAATAACAATTACACATGCACATACCATTCAATAGAAAAATTGTCAGAGGGTGACTTTTGATTGGATAAATTGATCCATGCAATTCACCTGAAACTTAATATCATCATTTCTATTTTATTGAAAGGTCAAATGTCTCCTGTCATTCAGAAAAATTTCTGCTAATATGCCTAAAAAGAGAAGAATTTGGAGATAGATAAGGTAACTCAGTGAGTTAGAGTAAAATTAAACTCTCACATTTAAGACCATTGCAATTCATTTAAAACATCTTCAATTGCATTCTGCCTTTTAGAACAGAAGTGACAAACCAACTGACCATGGGTCAAATTAGGCCCAGACTAGCTTTATGAAGCCTACACAATAAATTTTGTTTTGTTTTGCTGTTGTAATTTTTGTTGTTCCTTTTTAAGACTTTTTCAACAGCCTTACAAAGACTATATACTTTATCAATTTATCCACAGGCTAACTATTGTCATATCCAGGCAAATTCACATATTTATAATAACTGGTTTCTATGTGCATTTTTGTTTGTTTTTATTTTGCTTTGTTTTGATGTCTGCTCCAGAGCAGTTTATTTCTTAAACTGCCAGCTCCGATTCATTTGAGGCTGTGAAATATATTCAGTGGTTCCTGGATCAGCATTGTTTTCCACAAACTAGAATAGAGTAGAAATTAGCAGAGCATCACAGGTATAAAGGTAAGCCTTATTTTCAAAAACTGTCACCTCGTGTGTGTGTGTGTGTGTGTGTGTGTGTGTGTGTGTGTGTGTGCATATGCACATAGATTATATACATAAGGGAAAATGCAATTCTTACACTGGCCAATAGTCCACAAAGCCTAGAAAACACCGTTCTAAAGAGTCTTAGAGGGATTAAGATATTCCTTAAGATTATATTCAGATTATGTTTTAAAAAAGAAAAGAAAAGAAAGAAATGCAAATTGAATGCTGGCTCAAGTGAGCTCAGAAAAGTCTTAAAAGAGCTTTTTACTGTAAAGTCACTACTATCGCAGGATTTAAAATTTTTAAGTCATTGACATAGATCCAAATACAGACAAGGAAAATGTTTACCTTTGTAACATATCAGCTCTCACTTAATGATTTATGGTAGCAAAGAAAACACATCTGGAACCTTGGAGAGAAAAAAAAGTCTTCAGATACATCAAATATTTTAAAGTGGCAAAGGATAGTTGCTCGAGAGTTTGTAATAGTAAAACATTTTATAATAATTTTAAAAACTGATTATACCTTCCACAGATTATACATTCTACAAATTATATTATTCCACAAATATAGTACAGATTATATTCAGTCCACAAACATTTATTTTCTACTACTACATAGGCCAAGAATTTTTCAAACTCTTCTGCCTTCAAGGAGCTTATATTTATAAAGCTTGGGATACATTCTTAAAATATTTAATTGTCTACAAAATCCTTTAGCCTTTTCTCTTCTCCAATTTAAGTTCTACCCACTTTCTCTTTACCTTCCCTATCAATTCTCTCTTGGTCACCATGGCTAAAAGTGAAGAACTACTTCTCTTACTTCCTGCCTAGGCCACCCATTTAGCAGTTATTGCATGAGACTTTGTGGCACTTCTTCTATTGCTTTAATAAATAGCATTTAAATCTTGTTGATAAGCACAAAAATCCCTAAGTATTTGCAATATTTTCCTTCCCTTCCCTTCTAAGGAGGATTCTTTGTTACACTGCTTGCCTGTTGAGTCCTAATGTGCTGAGCAGAGTAACAAGACAAGATGCAGAACTCAAAAAGGGGACAGAATGCTATAGACTAAGTTACATAAGAAAAAGCATTACTGTATTCTGACAATAAGAGAAAAAAATCCAAAAAGTGGGGGAAAGGAGTTGCAAAAGAGGGAATGATGATGAATTAATTAGGAAATCCAGTTTGTCTAGAGTTTGGTTGAGATAAGTAAAGGAGTTTTTTGGAAGTTTTCTGAATGTTAGGAAATTTCTCCTTTGCTACCTGTTCAAGAGACCTTCGGGGAAGGCTTTTTATTACATTTCAATACTTTTTACAGTCATATTTGTGGGGTTTTTAGCTACTGCACTGTGGCTCTAGGCACTCCAAATTTACTTGGGTTGTAACTATATTACTTAACACTTTTGAGAACTGTGCTCAGCCTTCCCAGTTAGTTTGTGACGTTTGAAGAAGGGGTTTTAGACTCTTTTTGCTGGCCCATGACACTCAACTTGTAGGATTCACACTTTTTTTCCTCTGTGGTGAAGGTTCAGGGCATTCGAAGGTAATTCTCAACCTACCCAGAGTACAGGGTTTTGGCCTTTGACACCTGTAAAATCATCTGGGAAAAGACTGATCATACCTACATATTTGTTGCTTAACTTGCCTATAAGTATTTCAGAAGAAAGAATCTATAAAAGTCAACAAAAATATAATAGAGAAATTACTTACAGCAGCCGGCACACTATCCTTTCCTACCTTGCAATATGTCAAAGAAAATTCATATATTTAGATTTATTATCCATAAATCTTTTTAGTATTCTGTCCCATTCTCTAAACTCAATCTTGAAGACCAACCTCTTATATAACATCAAACAGAATCATTCTTGGAATAAGGCTCTCTGCATTAAAAAGTGGCATGTCACATGATCCTTCTAACACTGCAATCCCATGTAATAGCACAAAACATGTCAGTCACCACATGTAACCTATGAGTTCAGGAACAATAATCTATCGAGTATGTGCAATGCTATGTGAGAAAATCTCAGAGAGATGCTCTTATCATATTTTAGGAAACCATTCTCTAGCAAACAGAACCAAAAACACTTGATATTTTGTGTCTTAAATCCATCTTCTACTGAAGGACTTTACCAATATAAACATTAACTGTATACTTTGTAATCATTTATTGTTATGATAATATTTACTGCTTTTAGGATCTCTTCTTAGATGAATTGACATCTCTAAACAACTAATTCCATTTCTTTAAGTTGTTTGTATCGTTCAGCACTAGCCAGTTACCAGGATAATAACGGGCTTTTCTTTGATGTACCTCAATCTGCACATCTGCTTCAACTCCTCCACCAGATGTTCTTATTTATTTATATTCATTGCTTAAATTTTTGAGATAATTCTGCTCTGGGGAAAGACATATTAGTACAATAAACTCAATAAACTATATTACACAGGATGTCAAAATAGCTAGTATAATCACCAGAATAATCATAACTATCTCAATCAACCAAAAGTGATATGATTCTAGAATATTCTTAAATGTGTATTTATAATAAATTTCTAAATCCTTTTTTAATTCATACATAAGGTGACAATAATATTGAAGTACCCATTGGCCCAATGCAAACAGCCTTTTAAAATTGTTTCAGCTGCTGCAAATTGTCTAATATAATCAGCCCAATTACATCTATCTGTGACCATTTAGTGCCTATAACTGTATCTGAATCACCTCTAAAATTATTTCCATAGCAAATAATTCCTAGTGTTGGTATATACTGAGCACTTACTATATGTCAGGCACATGATATACACATTACAAACATTTCATTGAATCCTCTTAACACTCTCTTGGTGCAAGTGCCATTATAACCCCCACTTTACAGATGAGGAAACTGAGGCTCCATAAGGTTACGTATCCAGTAAATGGCAAAGCAGGCATCAGGCCTAGGACCACCTGGTTCTCTCCTAATCTCTGTGTTTCTATTGAACACCACTTCAATATCAAGTAGAATAATTTCATCTATAAACTAGACACAAATTATTAGGTACAACTAATGAGAAAATAAATTCCTTGTAACACCTCCATGCATGAAGTCGCTTTGGTTTAATTGGTGAAATTTGAGGTAGGAGGCCAGTTGATGGAGTTCCCATGGACCCTTGTTTCTCAAGCTGGGGCACACACACTTATGGATAAAGTGTATCCTCTTGGAACATACTTTTTCCCCAATGATAGGTAGCTTAAAATAACAATTTTTATTAAAACAAATACAGACATATTATGGAATGAGTCAAAGAATTTCTTGAATTTTTACATTAAAAGTGAGATTTCCAGAAGCTTCCTCTCTTGAGGAGAATTGCCCCAGCTTTCCTAGGAGGTAGGTATTTGCACTCTTCTGCATTCAGGGTATACTGACTGACAGCTGTAGGAGCAGGGGAGCCCTTAAAAAGCCTTAAGTAGTTTCTTCACGGGCATTCCATTCTGGTAAAGACTGACATGAAAGAAACAAGACCAGAGGCAGAGGAAAAGTTAGAAAGTCCGACAAAAGGGCAAAACACAGGTAAAGGACAAAAAGCAACACAGCTCTCTCTCTCTCTCTCTCTCACACACACACACACACACACACACACACACACACACACACACACAGCCTGCAAAATGAAGATGTAAAAGATTTAAAGGATGCATATCCAAATCTCACCTTGCATCCACCTTGCCCCCACCACCTACTCTGGCTCTTGCTTCCTCACATTAAGCATGGGCCATGTCAGTGTAGGCTTGGCCTGGTTTGCTTGTTCAGCCTGCCTTACAGGCAGAACCCCTCCAGCAATTATCTTGGCCTAACATTTTCACACCCTGGGCACGTTTGCTGTGGTCCTTCGGCCACGGCCAATTATGTTTCTGGACAAGTCATCAAGAAGTTTGCGATGTCTGCATAATGGTGCTCTCTATAGTCTAATAGGAACACATGTTTGGAGAAAGAGAGTTTCACAGGGGAAAGAAATGTTTTAATTTTTTCTCCTTTTCAGCTGAGGGTTGTTGTTTCAGGATGTGAGTGACTTCCATTGGTGAGAGAGATTTATTACTTCCTGGAGAAGGCAATTTTCTCTCAAGTGTGAACATTTAGACAGGGGCATCCAAAAGAGTCACTAATTTTTGCCTTTGTAACTTAGAAAGAGAAATTTAAATGTGCCCAATTTCCCCCTCTCCTCAGGAATTAGCAGTGATGTGCTCCCCAAAGCCACAAGGCACACAGGGCCACTGTGTTCCTTCCTTGCAGTGAGAGTACAGGGTCACCAGCTGCAGCAAACAGTCTCTGTAACCACAAACTAACACAAATTCTTTAGTGACTCTTGTAAATTCATTGCAGCAAAGACACAATAACATAACTGCTTACACAGAAGAAACCCTAGGCACGTCTAGTACTACTTCCCTCCTTATCCTGTCCTCCAGCATATCCCAATGGTGGCTACAAAGCTGTGTTTTTGTATTATGATGGTTTTACTGAAGAGTGGCAAGGAGCTTTCAATAGCCACTAAGCGTTCTTTCTCACTCTACACCTTCCCTCCCTGGGAAATTTCATCCATAGCCATTGCTTTCTTATCACTTACAGGCAGATGATTGACAAATCCATGTTCATATCTATATCCATCTCTCTGTGCTGAGCACCAACCCATACACCAGCCTCCTTAGCAGCCATCTCACCTCAGATATTCAGACTCTTCAAGTCAAAGCCTGAGCTCATCACCATCCTTCCCAACCCTTTTTATTCTGCTGTGTTCCATGTTTCAGTGATCAGCACCACTATCCTCTCATTTTCTCAATCCAGGAACCCTGAGCATCCTATTCCTCTCTCTCTTAACACCCAACTTGTTCAATTGGTCTTCATCCCAGGCAGCTCCAACTCTTAAACAGTTCTAGAGGCCGTTTGGTTTGCTTCTCTATCCCCACCACTACTCAACTGGTCTTTCTGCCTCCAGCCTCTTTTCCTATCTAATTCCTTATCCCTGTCTCCATACTGCTACCGGAGGAATCTTCTTTTAAAAAGCAGATCTGGTCATACTACCTCCTTTATAAAGAAAATTCCCTGATGGATACCCATTAACGTAAGAAGAAAGTTCAAACACCTTAACATATTTTATAAGACACTTCTGACCTGAGGTCCTGTTTATTTCCATCATTCACATCTACAACCTTAACTCTACTTCCAAATCCAGACATTATGAAATTATGTGCAATTTCCTGAAGTTCTGTCTTTTGTCCCCTAAGCCTTTGCACATATAGTTACAGAACAGTTTCTATCCTCTTGCTTGTGGCTAAACTCAAGCACACTGTCAGATTACAACACACTCAAGGCCTGGGAATAAGGTGAGTGCCTGCTTAAATGTAATCCCAGCACTTTGGGAGGCCGAGATGGGCAGATCACTAGGTCAGCAGATCGAGACCATCCTGGCTAACATGGCGAAACCCCGTCTCTACTAAAAATACAAAAAAAAAAAAAAATTAGCCGGGCGTGGTGGGCGCCTGTAGTCCCAGCTACTCGGGAGGCTGAGGCAGGAGAATGGCGAGAACCCAGGAGGCAGAGCTTGCAGTGAGCCGAGATCGCGCCACTGCACTAGCCTGGGTGACAGAGCGAGACTCCGTCTCAAAAAAAAAAAAAAAAATTTGTACCAAAAGTGTCTCTCTTGGCACACCCTAGTTCTAGCCCTACATGTGCTTAACATCTTCTTCTTCCTTGACGTCTATTATTTTCTTTCCCATAAATGAGTTAGGTGCCCCTCCTATGTCCTCCATTTGTACCCACTCTTCACTCCTACTGTATGTAATATTTATTCTGCCGTGTTGTAATTGGATTTTTACTTGTTTGTCTTCCTCATAAGACAGTAAATTCTTTGAAGTCAGGAAGCTCATATTAACCATACTTATCACAGTACTTGATATATAGTAGACAATGTGTAGTGTATAAATTAGTAAATGAATATACTTTTAGCCCTGTATGTCTGTATAATGGCATACCTGTACAATCAAAAACAGTTTGACTTGAGAGAAACCCCATAAATCATTAGGTCAAACCCCTCATTTTACTAATGAAGAAACTGAGGTCAAGAAGGTCAGGTCAAGGCTGTTTCTCAGAATTTCATATGCTGGAAAGATATATCCTAGTATCTGATTTTTAGCAGATAGCAGTTGCCAGTGTAATGAAACATAAGCTATTCACCAATGATATTTAATATTCAAGCCAAACAATGTAATATGTCAATCAAAATTATTTCATAACTCCACATGAAATGAAATAAATCAGGTTTTCATAACACATCTTTAAGTGCATATGTAAGCCTCCCTTACTACACACCCACCATATTTCACAGTTGAAACAACAGGGAAAATGCCAGAAAGAATAAGTAAAGATGCAGCTAGAAAGAAGAATGTTTACTACTTTGTGATACTATGTAGGTAAGCGAGACCTTTCCCCCTACTTTGGGAGATGAGGGTACAGATAACATTGGCCAATCTCTGAGTCATTACTCCTCTTTAAAGTCTAGAGCCATGATTACTCTAAGAGTGTCGCTAACAGAAATAGAGGATGAGGGCAGAGGATTTTCATGAGTATGCAGTCAAAGCATGGAGTTTCTTATACAGAGTACTTATTTTTGTATGTGAAAATATTAATGTAAGTATTATATTAAGGAATTAAATCTTTCATATTTGGAACCCTCAAGCAAAGGCATTAAATATCATTTAATGAGTAATGATTTGTTAGGCTTTTAATTGTATATCAAACTCCCAACAAATCAAATTGGAATCTATTAGTTTTGTCCTCATGAAAGAGGATAGTGGTGACAATGTGGAAAGATACATGGAATTTTTTTAATATAAAAGAATGCTGGAAAAGAGAAGAATGCTGAATTAAGTGCTTTCTACATTTACATGCCAGCAAGTCACAGCTGATCAACTTCCTTATCAGCTAATTCACTTGAAAATCTAAAGGGCACAGAAGTCTGCTAGATGTCATTGACTAAGGTAAAAGATGCTTTTGGCAAAGATAACAGCTAGAAAAAAACAAACTCAGAAACATGATCAAAGCCAAATACAATAAACCCAAAGTTGGTATCATATTGAATGGGAAAAAAACTGAAAGCCTTCTCCTAAGGTCTGAAATAAAATAAGAATGCTCACTTTTACCACTTTTGTTTAACATAGTACTAGAAGTACCAGCCAGAGCAATTAGACAAGTGAAAGAAATTTAAAAAGCATCCAATTTGGAAAGGAAAAAGTAAAATTATCTTTGTTTGCAGATGATATGATCCTATCATATCCTAGAAAAACCTAACAACTCCACCTGAAAACTTTTAAAACTGATAAATTCACTAAAATTACAAGATGCAAAATACACATACAAAAATCAGTAGCATTTCTTTTCTTTTTTTTTTTTTTTGAGACTGAGTCTCGCTCTTTCGCCCAGGCTGGAGTGCAGCAGCGCGATCTCGGCTCACTGCAAGGTCTGCCTCCCGGGTTCATGCCATTCTCCTGCCTCAGCCTCCTGAGTAGCTGGGACTACAGGCAGCCGCCACCACACCTGGCTAATTTTTTGTATTTTTAGTAGAGATGGGGTTTCACCGTGTTAGCCAGGATAGTCTCGATCTTCTGACCTCGTGATCCAACTGCCTCAGCCTCCCAAAGTTCTAGGATTACAGGCATGAGCCACTGCACCTGGCCAAAAATCAGTAGCATTTCTATATGCCAATATTGAACAATCTAAAAAAGAAATCAAGAAAGTAATGCCATTTACAATAGCTACAAATGAAATAAACTATCTAGGAATAAACTTAACCTAAGAAGTCAAAGACCTCTACAATGAAAACTGTAAACATTGATGAAGGAAATTGAAGAGGACACAAAACAGTGGAATGACTTTCCATGTTCATGGATTGGGAGAATCAATATTGTTAAAATGCCCATACTACCTAAAGCAATCTAAAGATTCAATGCAATCCCTATCAAAATACCTATGACATTTTTTCACAAAAATTGAAATAAATAATTCTAAAATGTATGTGGAACAACAACAGACCTAGAATACCCAGAACAAAACTGGAGGCATCACATTACCTACATCTAAATTATACTACAAAGCTATAACCACCAAAACAGCATGATACTGGTATAAAAACAGACACAGACCAATGGAACAGAAAATAAATTTTACAGTGAATTTATCTTCAATGAAGGCCCCAAAAACATACTTTTGGGAAAGGTCATTCTCTTCAATAAATGGTGCTGGGAAAACTGGACAACCATATGCAGAAGAATGAAACTAGATTCCTTTCTCTTACCATATATAAAATATATAAAATAAAAATATATAAAAATAGACTCAAACATATATAAAACATATAAAATAAACATAAACTCAAACATATATAAAAATAAACTCAAAATGGATTAAAGACTTAAATTTAAGACCTGAAACTATGAAACTACTATTAGAAAACACTGGGGAATTACTCCAGGACATTAGTTTGGGCAATGATTTCTTTAGTAAGACTTCAAAAGCACAGGCAACCAAAGCAAAAATGAATAAATGGGATCATATCAAGCTAAAAGCTTCTGCACAACAAAGAAAACAACAAAGTGAAGAGACAACCCACAGAATAAGAGAAAATATTTGCTAACAATTCAACTGGCAAACGATTAATAATAAGGAGCTCAAACAATTTAAACAGAAAAATAATCTGATTTAAAATGGGTAAAAGATCTGCATAGATATTTCTCAAAAGAAGACATGCAAATAGCCAACAGGTGCATGGAAAAATGCTCATCACTAGTCATCAGAAAAATGCAAATCAAAACTACGATGAGCTGTCATCTCACTCCAGCTAAAATGGCTTTTTTTGAACTAAAGTCTTGCTATGTTGCCCAGGCTGGAGTGCAGTGGTGTGATAGCAGCTCACTACAGCCAGAAACTACTGAGCTCAAACGATCCTCCCACGTCAGCCTCCTGAATAGCTAGGACTACAGGAGCATGCTACCATGCCCAGCTAATTAAAAAAAAAAAAATAGCAGTAGTGTCTCACTGTATTCCCAAGGCTGAATTCAACTTCTAGCCTCGATAATCCTCCTGCCTCAGCATTCTGAGTATCTGGGAATAAAATGGCTTTTATCCAAAAGACAGGCAATAATAAATACTGGCAAGGAATTAGAGAAAGGAGAACCCTTGTACACTATTGGTGAGATTGTAAATTAGTACAGACACTATGCAGAACAGTATGGAGGTTCCTCAAAAATCTAAAAATAGAACTACTATAGGATCCAGCAATCCCACTGCTGGATATAATCCAAAAGAAAGAAAATCGGTACATCAAACAGACATCTGCACTCTCATGTTTATTGAGCACTATTTCAATAGACAATATATGGAATCAACCTAAAGGTCCATCAATGGATGAGTGGATAAAGAAAATGGGGTACATATACCTAATGGAATATTATTCAGCCATAAAAAAGAATGAAATCCTGTCATTTGCAACAACATGAATGGAACTAGAGGACATTATGTTAAGTAAACAAGGCACAGAAAGACAGATATTACACATTCTCACTCATATGTGGGAGCTAACAAAAACAATAAATAAACCCTTAGAGAGTAGAACAATGGTTACCAGAGGATGGGAAGGGTAGTGGGGAATGGGGATACTGTGGGAATGGTAATTGCTATCATCTCACTCCAGCTAAAAGGGCCATTAAATAGAAATACAAAAATATAGTTAAATAGAATGAATAAGATCTAGTGTTCTGTAGCACAAATAGGGTGATTATAGTTAACAATAATATGTTGTATGTTTTTAAAAATAACTAAAAGAGTGGAATTGAACTATTCCTAACACAAAGAAATAAATGCTTGTGATGATGGATACACCAATTACCTTGCTTTGATCATTATACATTATATGCCTATATGAAAACATTACATATACTCCATAAATATATACAGTTATTATGTATCAATAATAATTTTTAAAATATAAATTTTAAAAATGAGCTAAAAATTCTGATATTTAGGGTGTTCTGGCAAAGACATTATTTTGACTGCCTATTTCATGATTTGGAGAAAAACATACCTAGTAAGTTATCTCTCTACCAAATTTTTTCTCTGCAGAAATTGGGAAATAATTAAGAAACTTATGGAGTTCTCATTTACTAAGGGTCCTACTGTTTCATTTCCAGCTGCCACCTTGACTCTCTCTGTAGAGACTTAAAATCAGTGACGTGCTATTAAACTTTTTCTTCCTGTGTCATAATTTTGCTGAGGCCTGGCTGCTTGGTTTTTATAAATAATTTTTAAATTTTATTTTTAATTGACAAGTAATAATTGTATATATTTAAGGAGTATGATGTGATGTTTTGATATGAGTATTTAACAACTACCTTGCCAGGAAAAACAAAAATGCCATGATTTGTAACATTAGACAATTTCTATGGTGTAAATACTTCTACCATGGCCAATGACAAGTTATCAAGGTGATGTCATTAAACGTAGAGTTGGGAAAAAATGTGCACAATCCAGGGTAACAAGCCAGTACAAGGCAGCTCCATACACCACACAACTGCCTCAAACCCCGGGGCTGCCAGATCCTAAAGAGAACGCTGCTCTCACCAGAGCAGGTCTTCAGTCTTCCTTG
The DNA here is from genome assembly GCF_000001405.40 of Homo sapiens. Lineage (NCBI taxonomy): Eukaryota > Metazoa > Chordata > Mammalia > Primates > Hominidae > Homo > Homo sapiens. The sequence goes on along the minus strand of NC_000001.11, from coordinate 118,210,882 downwards.
CTTCAAGCCCAATTATCCCTGTATTAGTCATGACTAATTAGTCACAACTAGGTTATGCTGCATAACAAATTAGCCTTGAAATCTTAGTGATTTAAAATAACAAAGGCTTGTGTCTCATTTATGATGAATATCCAGCATAGGTCCATGGGAGAAGGATACTCTGCTTATCAAAGTTACTCAGGGTTCCAGGCTGGTGGGGACTTTGCCATCTGGAAAGTGCTGGTGTCAGTGAAGGAGAGCCTGGAGATTTGCACATAGGCTTTTCACCAGTTCAGCTTATGTTTCATTGGTCAGAACTAGGCTCATGGCCCCACCTAAGTGCAAGGGATTTGGCAAATGCGAAACAGCAGATGGAATGTTTGGTGAGTACCACTGTCTCTATTACACCCATGATGATTTCAGCAGGCATCAGAACCTCTTGATAATTCAGGACATAACACATTCAGGGGAACCAGTAGGCTTAAAGGAAATAAAGGACCTGACTGTGAATGCCTCAGGAAAATGAGAAACTCAGCAAGAATCTTCAAACACTCATTTTTTTACTCTTGATAGATATTAATGTGCTAAACCAATCATTCTTCTTTGACTGGAAAGGAAACTTACAGCTCAACAAAAATCCTAGGAAGGTTTTGCCCTGGTCCACTTTGCCATACTTGCAAGATGATGCAAGTCATCATGAATTTGCTTGTCTAAATAATAAACTAGCAATTTGAGGTTTTTCTAAGTCTAAAGCCCAGAGCCCCTTTGCAGGAGGATAGAATATTCCTGGGAGAAAAACTCCTCAGAGTCCCAGTCTCTTTGAGACAGGGAAAGTCTAAGACTGGAGAGACTGTGGGGTCCCAGAGACTCTTTCCTAAAACCACAGTGTTTCATTCCCATTCAACAGACGTGTATTTTGCTTGCATCCGCCTTGCGCAGTGTTGGTGGGGGAGGGTTATGCTCCAGGAGTGCTCTGTGCATACACTCACTTGCTCTCGCTCCCTTGTGAGCATGCCAGCGCCTCTCCTCTGCCCAGGCTTGCATGGGCCCTCCACATGTTGCTCCTGATCTGCTGGTTTACTGTTCAAGTTCCAGCATGTATTCTTCACAGTGTGATATCCCACCCCAGGGTGTTCTTCTTCATGAAGCAAAGGGTTGAGTTACAAAAGCCTGCAGTTGCGAAAGGGATGTGGAGGCTTCCTCTAGGCCATTTACAGATGGGAGAGCATCAGGTTCTTCAAACTCTTTCAGTTTTTCCTATGTCTCTGGGTTGATCAGACGCGGCAATATTTTAATTATCTCTATTCTGAAAGCAAATAGCTACAAGTCTAGAGCTAGGAAAATACACCAAAGCAGGTATGAAAAAAATAGTGATTTCAATCTAACTTCAGCCCTTAATTAATTATGGGCATGTGGACAAGCCTCTAGCATCTCCATTTCCTCATTTACACATTGAAGGTTGTACTACAGTGATAGTTTTCACACTTTCAGGAACGGATTTGCATAAGGGAAGAGAAGCAAGTGGGTAGGGCTTCAGGACCCCATCCTGATTTTCAACCCAAGCAGATAACTTTTTTTTACCATATTAGGTTTTAGAGTACATTTTTGTTTTGTTTTTAAAAATGGCATCATAGCTTCATAAAAGTTGTTCTTAAGAAAATGTTTCTAATATTTTTTAAGTTTAAAAACCACTGGAGTAATTCAACTGCCCGAGAGAGCTATAGAAAATAAAGTGGACTTGTAGCACATGTGTCCCAGGAGATAAGGCTCTATGGCTTACGTGGCACTCAGGTAAGACATGTCCCTCTCTCACATAAATGGTCAGCCAGGCTCCCAGTTCTTCCACACTGTCCAGACTTCCATAATTGCAGGCTTCCAGTCAAGCCTCTTCATCTACACCCTGCCAGCATGTTACAAAGAAGCTCAGACTATGTAAGCAACATGAAGCTTAATGGGTAGTAGGACTTCCCTGAAATTAAGGTAAAAGACCGCAGCCTGCCCAGAGCGCATGTGGTTTGGAATATTTCCACTGAATATTAAATCATACAAGAATTTTCACTCATCTTCATCTTGGAGGTCACAACATGACTTTCCTCTAATGAATTCTTTATATTGGCAGCTCTTCTGTTTTCCTCCCTTCCTCCCCTGGCTCCTCACTTCCACCTCTACCCTCCTCCCCGTCTTGCTGGGAGCAGCCCTCTCTTTTAGTCTCTGTGTGGGAACATATGGTAATACTTTCCCTTGATTTAGGCCTTGAATTTGGTCTACACCTGTGTAGACCTTCAAGTAATGGCTCAGCAGGCATCGCAGGAGGGTCATGCTCCAGAAGTGCTCTGTGCATACACTCACTTGCTCTCGCTCCCTTGTGGGCATGCCAGCACCTCTCTTTCTCTCCCCAGGCTTGCATGGGCCCTCCAGATGTTGCTCCCGATCTGCTGGTTTACTATTCAAGTTCCAGTGATGTATTCTTCACAGTGTGATACCCCACCCTAGTGTGTTCTTCATAAAGCAGAGGGTTGACTTACAAAAGCCTGCAATTGCAAAAGGGAAACAAAAAGAGAACTGAAAGATAAAAAATAATGGAAAGAATTTTTTTTTTTTTTTTGAGACGGAGTCTCACTCTGTCTCCCAGGCTGAAGTGCAGTGGCATGATCTCCACTCACTGCAACCTCCGCCTCCCAGGTTCAAGCCATTCTCCTACAAGTCCTCAGCCTCCCAAGTAGCTGGGACTACAGGCGCCCACCACCACGCCCAGCTAATTTTTTTGCATTTTTAGTAGAGACGGAGTGTCACCATGTTGGCCATGCTGTCTCAAACTCCTGGCCTCAAATGATCCACCTGCCTGGGCCTCCCAAAGTCCTGGGATTACAGGTGTGAGCCACTGCACCTGGCTGGAAAGAAATAATTTGTACTGGGGGAGTTTATCTACCACAAGCACTATCCTGACTTAATCTTGTGAGGGCAACATGGTTTGCATCTCATAAGTGAAAAAACAAAGCTCAGAGAAGTCAAATGATATGTTCAAGGTCACAGAGCCAAGGAGTGGCAGAACCAAGATTTAACAACAGACCTTCTTATTTCAAGCCAAACATTCTTTCTTACTTCCCAAGCAGTAGTTATTTATTTTTGGAGCTATCCAGCATATAATAACTATAAACCCAGGTACTATAATAGGTGCCTCGGAGACATGCTCTCATTTTTGCAATAGCACAGCAAGGTGGGTTTTAGTATAGTCAGCTTATAGATTTTACAGAAAAGGAGCTCATACAGGTTACCTGCCCAAGATCACACAGCCAAACACAGAAATGATCATGAAGCTTTCTTCCCCCAAATCAGTCACTCTCCAGGATTTTCAGGCATCAACAGACCACCATCGCATTCAATGCTTTCATACCAGTGAATCCTTACCTTAGCAAACCAGGCCCATCATGATCTGGTTTCTGTCCATCCTTCTTTCTGTTCCCCCATTTATACCAATCTTTCCCACCAGATGAAGCTCCTTGTGGTTCCTCAAACTACTGTATCACCCTAGTACATTATACATGCTGTTTCCTCTTTCCATCTTTGTCTACTGCTAACTTCTACAATACTCATCCTATGCCCCATTTTGTCAGAAGCCACCCACCATGTGTCTCACCACCAACCATCTCATCACAAAGGCAGACTTCATTACCAGTCCTATTGCTCTTGCAGCACCCTATGAATACCTGTACCAAAGCACTGAAAACACCATTGTGTGATTGTCTGCTGAGTCAGCTATCACCACCACAAGGCCCAATCCTCCTTGAAGGTATAGGACACATTTCATTTAACTTTGCATTCCCAAAGCCTACCATAATACCAAAAAGAAAGTAGAATTTAGAAACTTTATTAAATGAATAACAAAATGGGAAGGGAAGGGAAATAAAATAAGAAGGGTAAAAGGGTAGATGTGAAGGACTAAACTCAGGTCTGTCTGATTCTGAACTAGACAAGACTACTACCATTCCATACCCAACCCAATGCTCCCCACTTTATCAAAGTTGTGACTCTTCTCATTCTCCCTTCTCTTTTTAAATTCTTTTCTTCTTTCCTTTTCTTTTTTTTTTTTCCTTTTGAGACATGGTCTTGTTCTGTCAGGCTGGAGTGCAGTGGCACAATCACAGCTCACTATAGCCTTGAACTCCTGGGTTCAAGCCATCCTCCCACCCCAGCCTGCTAAGTAGTGAAGTTGCAGGTGCACACCACCACACTCAGCTAATTTTGTTTGTCTGTTGTTGTTGTTGTTTTGTAGAGACAAAATCATTGCCCATGTTCTTCTCTTTCCACTCAGGTATGGAGGCCTCCATTCTTCTCTATGGCTGTCAAGACAGCACATGTGGCTTTGCTCATCATCAACTAGCTCCCTTCTTGGATTTTCCAGAGTTTTCCATCTGACTTCTTTTTGCATTTTTCTGTTTGAATCCTTCTATCCAAGAGAGTTCATCTAATAAAAACAAAAATAAGTTAGATTCTGATATTACTAAAGGACAATATCTTAACAATGTCCTCGCCAAATAAATATTTAGGGTTGAACAGGATTTTTAATTTAGAAAACAACCTAATATAGCTTTTGGCACTTCAGATTAATTTATCTGTGGAGTATCTTCCTTGCAAAAAAAAGTTCTGTATTTTAATCTTTTAGTAACAAACTGCACTTTTAAACCACTTTCACTATATTTTTCATATTATAAAATATTATGTATTTATTGTAGAAGATATAAGGTATAAATATACACAATGAAGAAAATTCTAATAAATCATAATCATACCATTCAGAGATAATCACTCTTATTTTAGTATTATCCCTTTTATGCATATATAATTACAGCCATGCATCACTTAATGACAGGGATGCATTTGAGAAATGCATCAATTGAGCAATTTTGTTGTTGTGCACACATCACAGAATGTAGTTACACAAACCTACTTGGCATAGCCTACTACACACCTATACTGTTATGGCATAGCCTATTGCTCCTAGGCTACAAACCTGTGTAGCATGTTACTATAATGAATGCTGTAGGCAATTGTAATACAATGGTAAGTATTTGTGTATCTAAACACACAGAAGGTATGAATTGCCCTGTGATGTTGAGATGGCCACATCACTAGGCGATAGAAATTTTTCCACTCCATTATAATCTCATGGAAATGCCACCATACATGGAGCCCACGGTTGACCAAATGTTATGTGTGTATGACTGTATTATAAGAATAGCTAATATCTACTCTAGGAATGCTGTGAGCCAGCACTGTTCTAAGCATGTTATGTGGATTATTTTAGCCCTCAGAACAATCTCATTAGATTGGCAAAATTATTATCTCCACTTAACATATGGAGAAACTGAGGCATAGAGAGGTGGCTTGCCCAAGGCTACATACATATTAAGTGGTAGAGCTGTTACTTGAACAGAGGCAACCTAGCTCCTGAGGATGTGCTTGTATCCCATAAAATATACTGCCTCCCACACTGATATAAACTTGAGATCAGACTGTGCAATCTATGTTGGTAACTTGCTGATTTGTAGTTAATATACCTTGAAAAGTTTCCATGTAATTTAATATTCTTCTGAAGCATCATGTTAATGAGTGCCTAATCTTTCATCATTTTGATGTGCCATTATTAATTAAACAAGTTTCTATTGTTAAAAGCTTAGTTTATTTTCCAACCTACCATAAACATACTGCGACCAACAACAGTACAACTAATTTTTTACTTACAACTTAGAATTGAAATTATTGGGTTAAAAGATAGCAACTTGACACCTACCCACCACTCACAGCCTCCAATGTAGCTCAAAAATAAGTAAATAAATAAATATAATGAAATATCCCAGTAATTGACCACTACAGTTGCTGACTAGCACAGCCTGCATTCTGGGGCTTTTCTGCCAAGTTCTTCCCTATTCTTGGAGCTGGTCATAATAAATGGATAAAAAAAAACATCCTAAGCCAGGCATGTGCTGTTGTCAAAGACTGTCCACATACTTCTCCTTGGACCAGTGCCACCACCTGCTGCTGGGGAACATGCCTCTCTCTGCCTTTCTCCTCTGTCAACACCACACCAGAATGAGTTATCATTTGCAGTTCAGCAGTTGGTATCACCAACATAGAGGCCCTTCCCATTTGGAATCCTTACCATTGGAATGACAGCAGGGAAGAGGAGGTGCAGAAAGTTGCTAGAGGAGAGGGGGATCCCTCCAAGTCAACCTGTCCCATTAACCTACATAGCCTATCCATGGAGGACTCAGAGGAGGGAAACAGCAAAGGCGACTTTTAAAGAGACACTCCTTGGAAAGTGGTGATCCTCATTTAGGACAAGGAGATCATGTAAAATGACCTCAGCGACAAAAAAAAAAAAAAAAAATAGAGATAAACAGCACAGCATGTCTGAGTGTTAATTAAGATGGTGAGGATCTTAACTGGAGAGCACTTCATGACCTAATTAAAATGAAGAAGAAAAAAATTTAGAAAACAACACACTATGAAAGAACACAGCAAATACCGATGAGGTGGCTGGCATCCTGTGAGTTTTCTGTCAAACCATTTTGTCATAAATTTTAGAGCCTCCTCATCTGGATGCCACACGTGGAATGATGAGTAATGCTCTGACACATTTATTCAAGCATATTTTATTGAGTCTTTAAAACTAACCAATCTTACCAAGCACTTTATAAAACTCTTTTCATACACATTATCACGTCTTATCCTCCTAACAACTCTGTGGGGAAATTACTATTATTACTTAATTATTATTTATGAGTTACCTGAGACTAACGAAAGTTAAGTAGCTTACCCACAATCACACAGCTAGAACTGGGATTTGAACATGGGCCTCTTGACTCCAAATCCTCCAACACCTACTATGTGCCTAACAAGGCAGGCATCAAAGACCAGCGAGCCCTTAAAGAGATTGCATGAAAGTCCGTTGTGGGAGGAGACTGCCTTTTCTGTGCTTGGGACCAACACCCGCAGCAATCAACTGAACGAACAGTAAGCCCGGAGTTGTACTGTGTGCCTGACACTGACCCAGGAACAATGGAAACAAAGAGAAAGAGATTGTAACAACTGGGGGATCCTTCCCTTAATCATTAGGATTACCCAATTAAGACATTGAAGCAATTACCAAAAAGAGAAGTTGTTAATGTTGGCTAATTAATGAACCTTTCGTAAAGGAGGCAAGGCTTGATGTAAGAACAAGAGAGAAGGTATCATTTCAATGATGGATCAGCATGAGCAAAGTCCTGGAAATACTGACTAGCTGTGATGCTGCGCAAGGGATGAGGAAGATGAAGAGCTATGATGTGAAGAGCTATTATTCAAAGACAAATTTAACTGGAATACAGTGAATGTGTTAAAGAGAAGAAAAGAGGGATGGGGAGAATGGGACCAAATTATAGAAGGCCTAGAAAGCAAATGAATTCTATCCTTTCAACAAAGATTTACTAGGTTCCTTCTATATGCTAAACCCTGGGGATAAATAAATATGAATAGAGCATGGTATCTTCAGAAGTAAGGAGTAACAAAATGAAAGTTTATCTCCAGATAACGTATAATCTCATAACCAGTAGACAGAGCAGAAACAAGTAGGCAACAGAAATGTTACAGATCCACCCAGAATGGCAAGGTGGTTTTGGGGATATTCTCTATGGTAGGCTACAGGTAGTACTTTCAGAAAGAATTGGGTATGAAAGAGTTCTGGTGTCAGTGAAAGGAACTAGCTTTTACAGAAAGATTCCAATGTATGGGAATATCAAAGAAGGCAGAGTAAGGGGCAGGAGAAGCTGGAGGAGAAAGGATTCCAACATGAGAGGAATGTAGGAATGTATTGTTACCTAGATCCTGAACAGAATAAGAACCCAGGAATGGGGAAGTAAGGTAAAAACCCAAATACTAGAATTAGGGCAAAGGAGCAGCTCTTGGAACCAAGGAACGAGGCAAAAGCCTGGTGATGGGAAGCTGGCTGCAAAGTCAGTCCAGTCCCAGAAGCATGACTGTCCACTGGACATGTGTCCCTGCCCAAATCTCATGTTGTAATATAATCCCTGCTGGGCACAGTAGCTCACATCTGTAATTCCAGCACTTTGGGAGGCAGAAGCGGGTGGATCACTTGAGGTCAGGAGTTCGAGACCAGCCTGGGCAATGGCTTAGTAGAAACCTCATCTCTACTAAAAATACAAAAATCCCAGCTACTCGGGAGGCTGAGGCAGGAGAATCACTTGAACCCAGGAGGTAGAGGTTGCAGTGAGCCGAGCTCATGCCACTGCACTCTGGCCTGACCAATAGAGCAAGACTCTGTCAAAAAAAAAAAAAAAAAAAAAAAAAAACAAAGGAAAGAAAAGAAAGAAACCAGAGTTTGAAGGTTTCTTTTTCTGAATCAGAGAACAGTTTCACCCTATCCTCCCACTGATCAGCTTCTTTATTGCTATAACTTAGAAAGAAAGAAAGAGAAAGAAAAGTCCCCAATCCCCAAAAGGTGAGACCTGGTGGGAGCTGAATTATGGGGGTGGATTTCTCATGAGTGGTTTAGTACCATCGCCTTGGTACTATTCTCATGATAGTGAGTGACTCCTCATGAGATCAGTTCATTTAAACGTGTGACATTTCCCCCTTCATGCTCTTGCTCCTGCTCCCACCATCTGAGATGCCTGCCTCCACTTCAACTTCTTCCATGATTGTGAGCTTCCTGAGGCCTCCCCAGAAATAGATGCTAGCATTATGCTTCCTGTACAGCCTGAAGAACCATGAGACAATTAAAACTCTTTTCTCATAAATTACCCAGTCTCAGGTATTTATTTATAGCACTGCAAGAATGAACTAACACAGCCTGGGTCAGAACTGAGTCTCTAGATGGAGTGTAGGCCTATTGGAAAGCCTAACAGAATTCCAGACCCAGAAGTCAAACCCATCATGGTGCATATTCCTAAAATTTTCCAAGAGGAGCTTCTGTAATCTGTCTTAACACTGGCGATTTTATATCTGGCCTGTCTTTATTTGAATGCATTCTTGATTCCAATCACACTGTACTCATTGCTGTACCCTACCCACATGCCAACTGACCAGCACACCACACACACACACACACACACACACACACCACAGTAATTTCCTCTTCGAAATTTTGCTTGGGCCAACTCTTTCACCCATGCAATGTTCTCTATCTTCATTCAAGTCCTTTCTAGCTCTTTTCTGAAACTACCAGAGTTTGGAGGTTTCTTTCTCTGAATCAGAGAACAGTTTCACCCTATCCTCCCACTGATCAGCTTCTTTGTTGTTATAACTTAGAGAACGTTTTATAAGCCTGAATGTTGCTTCCTCATTTTGGTTACTGTCATTTAGATTTAGTTTCTAGGGCAATTCCTTCTGAATTTCAACTTGGGAGATTGGGAAAATATTTATCCCTTCTCCTTTCCCAGGCTGAAACAGGGAGAGGAATCCTTTTTTCCTGACATTAAAACAGCATCCACAACAAAAAACGAGATAGATCCCAGTGAGAAGCGAGAGGTCAGAAGAGGAGATAGAGAAAGGGAGGTTTCTGACTAATATGGGAGATGAAGTAGAAGCATTAGTTGCTAGAATAAAATAAAACAGCCACGGAGATTTTATATGTGTGAGATAGTGTTTATCAGAGACCCTCAGCACAACCTTATTACAAGTTACTGGTGAAATATATTTATAAGGGTAATGGAGAAGAGGGAGGAGGAGGAGGAGAGAGAGGAGGGAGAGGGGGAGGAGGAAGGAGACGGGGAGGAGGAGGAGGAAGGGAAAAGAATAAAGAAGAAGAAATGAAAATGAAAACCTAATATTTACTGAATTTATATGTGCTAAGCACTGTAATAATGTTCCTTTTACCAAGGCTTCCTACAATCTGTTTTTGGCACTATGGGTAAATGGTGTTTTTCATAGTATATGTAAAAATATTTATTGAAGTGAGAACCAGTAATTTGGTCTTCTTTTTGGTGAGTGTATCCCTGTGAAAACTTATAAAAAGATTTTTCTCATTGTGCCTGCCAACCATAATCAGAATCATGATTTTAACCAAAATCATGGTGACAATATGCAATACATGAGGAGGGAGTGACTAACTCAATTTCAGAGCTGCAATATTCTGAATTGGATATTTCAGCTGAACTTAAGTCTTATGAATTTCTGCAAAGCAAAGTTTTGAACTCTTATTTATCTCAGCGTGAATCCCAATTAGCAAGAATTAAATTGTGTAAGTACATGTCTTTTCAGATAAATACCTATCTTAAGGCTCTAATGAAAATGAAAAGGGTAAGTAAAGTAAAAAATAAATATTCACTTTATGTAAAGCTGGGAACATTCTGAATTTGAACTTAGGGGTTTGGAAAATATCTGTCCTTTCTCCTTTCCTGAGCTGCTAAATAGAATCTAATAAGTATAGAACTATCCGTATTACAGTTGTGATTTACAAGTATTTCAGACAGATACTTTTACATCAGCATTTCAATGGACACTGGACATGCAACTCATTGAGAAAAGTCAGGTATTTCTAGTTTAAGAAAGTTTGACAGGAAGTTGAATAGAGTTCTTCGATTATTCCATACTATGCCTGGATATAAATGCAGAGGCAAAAGGCAATTATAAAGGGAATCTGAATCAAGACAAAATTAGTTTCCCCTTAGCCAAACAAAGAAAATCCAAAAAGCTCCCCGACATTCCTCCACTTGGTTGCTACAACTAGTCTTTCTGTTTTGAAAATCTAAGCCCTAGTACCTTCCTCCTCATGCTTTTCGTACTTTTCTTTTCTGCTCTCTCCTACTTCAAAATGCTCAAGAAATGCAACACAGAGTCATTATACCACCAGCAGCCCACTCCATCTCTTTCTAACCACCCTCCTTCATATTTGTTAGTGCATTGTTCATTTCTCAAAGGCAATGTAGGGCCCAATACACCAGAAAAAAAAAAAGAATAAATCCAGTGCATAGTTCCACTCAAATCTGAATTTTTATATCTATGTTTTTCCCACAGTAAGTGACTTTGTACAGTTTGTTGCTTAGTAATGTGTGACCTTTGACTAAAGGATTTCCTCTGCCCCACATATGTGCTCAGTATCCCTCTCTCATGTGGTAGATAATGTCTTTGATGGCAATGGCATTTATTCCACACTGAGATTTATTCAATCTCAGTCTCAGAAGATCCTTCTGTTGTATTTTGGCTTATGTGTGTTGTCTAATTTTTGAGAGGGAGGGGATTAGGGTTAAAGACCTTGGGCTCTTCCTAGGAATAGTCCTATGGTTGAATTTTTTAGATATTTTACCACCTTATATAGGTTCCTCCCTTATATCCAAATATTTCTATCATTGGACAGAATTAGTTCATTTTTAGGGTGGAGAAGCAAAGTATAAAAATCAATTTAAGGAAAAATAAATTCATGCAAACAAATTCACATTAAAATATACATACTTTCTTGGGTGTTATAAATACACATAAGCCTGCAAATATTGAAGCAAAATTATCAGACTTTCACCAATTGGTCATAGGAATTCTTCAATGTGGGGATAATTAATTTAAAAGGAAAGCAGTTACATTCTGTTTCATAGTTTTATTGTTTCATTTTTAAAGCTGCCTTGTCAAGGATAGACAATTTGAAGAAAGATTATAAAATTTATGTTTCTGACAGCATGATACACTAAATACAATGAACAACCTTCTTCTTACAAAATACTTTATGATTCTGAATAAAATAATTTTTAAAAATATATAATTGAGCTGACAAGTATAGAAGGGAATTCATCAAAGGCCAAAAGACAAAGTGAAAGCAGGAAACCAGAAAGATAAAGAAGCATCAAAGTGACCATGAGCTTCCATTTTGGCAACCCTGAGAAAAGTGGAGGGACTAGAGAAAATAGCCATAGCCTCTACACATAGGCAATCTATAGCAGACTCCCACATAGAGCTGAGACCCAAAGGAGTATATATACCCTTAGTAAAACGGAAAACTGAAATGCATACGTACATAAATCCCACTCCACAGACAATGACAGCAAAGAAATTTGCTTGTCCCAGCTCTGGAGCAGAGTGAAAAATAAATTTTTCCTGAGATTTCAAGCCCACCTTCACACAGGTTTGTAGTAAGTGATCCACAAAACTTCAAATCAAGAATTCGCATACACATATTTATGAGAGAAAGACACCTTCAATCCAGGCCTGAAATATTTCATTAATATTAACTTATAGAAAATAATAATAAAATGCACAAGGAGACAACAGTCCTTGAATAAGAGTAGAAACAAAGAAGATATATTCAAGCACACCTAATGCTTCTAATGGTAGAATTATCAATTAAGAATATGGAGTAAGTATGCTTAATATGTCAAAAGAAATAAAAGAGAACAGTAAGTGGATCAAGGAATAAGATACTCTCTAAACAAAGTACCAGGTAGATTTAGAAAAAGTGAATCATATAGAAGTACAAGAGCTGAAATTTTAAAAATAAATAAATAAAATACAATAAAATGTTAAACAGCAGATTAGACAGATAAAGAATTCAAAGAACATCATTTTAAAAAAACTATTCATAACACAATTAAATAGAAATCAAAATTAAATAGATAACTGGGGGAAACTCACCCACATTTGAAAACAAAATCAAAATGCTAATAATTCATGGGTCAAAAAATAAATTACAATGAAAATTAGAAATTGTAAAGCACTAAATAATAATAAATCCTCTATATATTAATGCTTGTGATATGAAGCCAAAGTAGCAATTAGAGGGAAACATGAGGGCTTAAATGATTATATTACCAAATTTAAAAGGCTAAAATTAATGTGCTAAGCGTTCAACTTTATAAATTTGAGAACAGAATATAGAAAATAAAAGTAAGGAAATTAAAAAGGGCAAAACATAATGAAACAGAAAACAAACACGCAATAGAGAGGATCAAACAAGCCCAAAGTTGTTATTTGAAAGACTAGTAACATTGACAAATTTCTAGAACATTTACTCAAGAAAAAAGAAGGCAAATATAATGACCTTCAGAGTGAAAGAGATATAATGATAGATTTTCAATGAACAGCAAAGAAAAGTATTAAAATCATTAAAGCTTTAAAAGCATGAAAATCTTTTCAGTAAACAGAAAAGAGAAGCATTAAAATCAGAGGTACTTTACAGTTTTGCATCAATAGAGATTGTCTTCATAAGAGAATAACACAGGTCCTCCAATTCGAGATAGCAGTAGGTGATAACAAATCCCATATGAATTTACATGTGAGTGGCAATCATAAGATGCCACCCTAAACAAAGCACCTTGGTAATACCGTATGATTCTTTACATAATCCTATACTCAAAAATGAGATGTGAAAGACCTTTCAAATGTGCAACACAACTGGGAGGTACACTAACACTACTCTTATTTAGCACTAAGCCACTCTTCTGCTGGAGTGTTTTAACGAAAGGTGAAAACCCCACAGGGCAAAGAGCTGACAGAGGAGAAATGAGGGTAGAGAGGAAAACGAATGATTAATAGAAAGTAGTGCCATCTTGGAAGTGGGAGAATGGACTATGGTGGGAAAATGCAGAGAGATATGGAAATAGGCTGTTGTGATTGATGTCATTCCTTGGTAGTACCAAAGAACTAAAGTAAAAATGTAACATGTAAACTGGATTCTAAGCTACATGAGAGTAGGGATAGTATCCGCCAGACTCTCTAATCCTCAGTGCTGAGCACAGGGCCTGGCATATAATAGACACTCAACAAAATTTGTTCAATGAATCAATAAGTGAATGAATGAATAGCTAATAAAATATTAGCAGGCTAGAAGGAAACATGTGGTACTGGATTAGAGTGGGAAATATCAGTGTGAACTCGTGTTTACCTTAATATAGACAGAAATAGATAAAGAAGTAATTTTGTGTATATATATATATGTGTGTGTATACATGGGTTATTTCTTAAATCAGTCCACTGAGAGGGCCTAGAAACAAAAGATACTCCAGTAGCAATCAGCATGTTCAACCATTCTCCAGGAAAGAGAACCAGGGCTCCTTGGAAAACTGGCTGCTTCTAGGACAGGGTCAGGTAATATGCAAGATGAATGAGGCTGAAGCATCTGTAGTGCCAGAAAATAAAGAAAAAAAATCCAATAAAGGGGTATATTAAGGAGACGCAGAGCCAATTAAAAGACCTCGCAAATATCAAAGCTAGGGCAACTGACTGAACAATAAAGTAAATAAATATTATAGTACATTGGGAATACAACCCAAAGGATAAACATTCATGAGTCATTACTGAGGTAAGCAAATGACTGAATAAATAAATTAATGAGGTAGAAAATTTCCCATACAGAAAAATTTCAAGTTATTTATGTAGGAATAGATACTACCCCCCTAAAGCATGTTGGAGTGTAACTTCCCATACTTTAAGGGTGAGCTGCACGTAGTGACTTCCTTCCCAAAAACACAGTAAGGAAAGGTACGGGGAGGGGAGTAACTTTGTAGAGAAAAAGCCTAATAAACTACCTCAGCCAGGACATCAAGGTTAACATCATCGATGTTAATTCATGTTAACAGCATGTACCCTTGACATGATGTGATGAGAATGGCACTTCACATCTTTGGTCTTTTTCTCCAACCTTGTAACTCCAGGCTAAGCATGAGAAACACTTCACAAATTATCATACCACCTCAAAATTGTCAAAGTCATCAAAAACAAAGTTTGAGAAATTGTCAGTCTGCAGGAGCCTAAGGAGACATGACATCTGAATGTAATGTAGTATCCTGGGTGGGCTCCTGGAACAGAAAAAGGACATTGGGTTAAAACTATTCGTTAGCATATTAATATTAGTTCATTGTTGCAACAAATATACCATACTTAATTTAAGATGTTACCAATAGGGGAAACTGGATGCGGATACATGCAAACCCTCTGCACTATCTTTGAAACTTTACTGTAAAACTACAACTATTCTAAAATAAAACATTAATGTTTAAAATATTAGCTAACATTTATCAAGGGCATAGTATGTGCTATGAACTGTTCTAATCATTGATAGCTACGACTTTCACCTTCACAACAGTCCTACAATGCAAACATAATTATTCCCATTTCATTTTTAAAAACAAAACAAAAAAGTGAAGCAAAGAGGGGTTAAATAATTTGCTCAAGGTCATCAAACAGCCTACAAGGAGCGGTGAAGGGAATTGAACCCAGGAGAAAGAATGTTGTTCTCTTAGCACAAGATGCCCTGTGAAAGTGCCTCTCAGCCCTGTGATTGGATTCTCCAATTTTTAATTAGCCTCCTGTGTTGAAGAAGGAGTATATGACAAGTTGAACAGCTAATATCAGGAGGAGTTTTAGAAACTGTGATAACAAATAGCTTAATAGGGTTTCAAACGACTACCAGACTGAACAGGGAGGGAGAAGAGATTATGGGTATAAATGTGAGTAACTTAAGCTTTATAAAAACAATTTCCATAAAATGAGGAATTTACTTAGTGGGATAAAATTGGCAATGGTTATTACCCAAAAGTATAATAGTGGAAAATAGCCACACTCTAAAGGATTAAGACAGCCGGCTCAGGTGAAGTGCATACAGTTATTCAAAAATAATCATAAAAGTTTTAAAATGTGGATTATTGGCAAATTGTGTAACTTGATTTTGAACAAAAATAGAAGCCTAAAGATTATAACTAACCAGCTTTAAGAAAGAAAGAAAGACAGACAGAAAGAAAGAAAGAACCATGGGAGCATAAAGAAGGTACTGCTATTTACAAAACAAAAAGTAAAGCACAAAAATCAAAGCATAACAGACAATGAAGTTTTGTTTAATATAGTTGAAATATAAGAAAGAGCCAATAAAGCTGTTATTTGGGTGGGCAGAGTTAGAAACAGTTGGCTCCCATAAAGGAAATGGCAGAAGACCTGAACAGATTCATTCAGAAGTGGAGCGAGACAGAGAAACCAGCCTACACCACCACCTTTAGAAGCATTATTTGTTCTGCTGATAGACTTGTGCATTGGCTGAAATTTTGTTTTTGAATGAGTCTTTTCTTAACGTTTTCCTTTGCTTCCTACTGTCTGACTTCAAGTGCTTTCTTTTTTCTCATATCCTTTCCTTATATTCATTTTTGTCAACCAAATGGTAAAACTTTTGTTGGACGTTTTCTGAGAATGTGTATTTGAAAGCGGACAGAAATGCAATATAGGGCCTTTCCCTCAGTATGACATAATCCTTCCTCCCTTTTCAGACTGATGCATTCACAAAACATGCTTAAAGTAGATTTTAATAAGATGATTTCCTTACTATTACATTTTAAAACTTAAAAGATGCCAGTGTTGTGAAAATTTCTTTATACTGTGCATAGAAGCCAGTGCTCACTGATATCTTTAAAAAATTACAGGCCGGGTACGGTGGCTCACGCCTATAATCCCAGCACTTTGGGAGGCCAAGGCGGGCAGATCACGAGGTCAGGAAATCGAGACCATCCTGGCTAACACGGTGAAACCCCGTCTCTACTAAAAATAGAAAACAATTAGCCAGGTATGGTGGCAGCGCCTGTAGTCCCAGCTACTTGGGAGGCTGAGGCAGGAGAATGGCGTGAACCCGGGAGGCGGGGCTTGCAGCGTGCTGGGATAGCGCCACTCCAGCCTGGGCAACGCAGCGAGACTCCGTCTCAAAAAAAGGAAAAAAATTACAAATAAGAAAATGTATACAATAAAAACTGTGTATTGTAATAGATATGATTTTCGCAGTTTACACGATTTAAACAAAATTTTTATTTTTATATTTTAGGGATACATAATATTTGCACATATTTCTAGAGAACGTGATATTTTGATACAAGCATACAATGTGTAACGATCAAATCAGGGTAATTGGGATATCTATTACCTCAAACACTTATCATTTCTTTCTGTTACAAACATTCCAATTCCAGTCTTCTAGTAATTTTGAAATATAAAATTAACTATAGTTGCCCTATTGTTCTACCAAACACTAGATTTTATTCCATCTATCTGTATTTTTGTACCCATTGACCAACGCCTCTTTATTCCCCACCAGTCCCTACTACCTTAATCAGTCTCTGGTAACCATAATTCTACTCTCTATCTCCATGAGATCAATCTTTTAGCTCCCACACTTAAGTGAGAATATATAATATTTATCTTTCTGTGCCTAGCTTATTTTGCTTACTGTCCTCCAGTTCCATCCATGTTGTTTCAAACAACAAGAGTTAATTCCTTTTTATAGCCAAATAATATTTCATTGTGTATATGTACCCCATTTTCTTTATCCACCAATCCATTGATGGACACAGGTTGATTCCATATGTTAACTATTGTGAATAGTGCTACAATAAACATGGGCATGAAGACATCTCTTTAATATACTGATTTCTTTTCTTTTGGATATATACCCAGCAGTGGGATTGCCAGATCATACAATAGTTCTGAGATTTTTGAGGAACCTCCATACCGTTCTCCATAGTGTCTGTACTACTTTACATTCTCACCAGCAGTGTACAAGATTTCATCTTTCTTTACATCCTCACTGGCAACTGCTATTTTTTGTCATTTCGATAAAGCCATTTTAACTGGGGTGAGATGATGTTTCATTGTGATTTTGATTTGCATTTCTCTGATGTTTGGTGATGTGGAACAATTTTTCATATACCTGTTGACCATATGTATGCCTTCTTTTGAGAAATGTCTATTCAGATCTTTTGCTCACATTTTAATCCAATTATTTGACATTAAAAATTTTTTTTGCTATTGAGTAGTTTGTGTTCTTTATATAGTTTAGCTAACAATCTCTTGTCATTTAAATAGTTTGCAAATATTTTCTCTCATTCTGTGGGTTGTCTCTTCACTATTGACTGTTTCATTTGCTGTGCAGAAGCTTTTTAACTTAATAAGATCACATTTATCCCTTTTTGCTTCTGTTGCCTGTGCTTTTGAGGTCCTACTCAAGAAATCTTTGCCTAGGCCAGTGTTCCAAAGCATTTCTCCAATGTTTTATTCTAGTGGTTGTCCAGTTTTCCCAGTGCCATTTATTGAAGAGACTGTCCTTTCTCCAGGGTATGTTTTTGCAGCCTTTGTTGAAAATAAGTTCACTGTAAATACATGGATTTGTATCTGGGTTCTCTATTCTGTTTCATTGGTCTATGTGTTTTTATGCCAGTACCATGTTGTTTTGATTACTATAACTTTGTAGTTTAGTTTAAAGTCAGGTAAGGTAATATTAATACCTCTGTCTCTATTCTTTTTGCTTGGGGTTGCTTTACAGCAATTCAGAGTCTTTTGTGGTTTCATATAAATTTTAGGATTTTTTTTTTCTATTTCTGTGAAGAATGCCACTGGAATTTTGATAGGGATTGCACTGAATCTTTAGGTCACCTTGGGTAGTACGGACATTTTAACAATATTAATTCTTTCAGCCCATAAATCTACCACATATCAAACTATCAGAAATGTAATTTTTTTAAAAAAATCACTCTTACAGATCAGTTTGACCCAAGAACAGTAGGAAAAATTACCTTCATAGGAAATGCATTCAAGTGAATGTAGCTAAAGTGGAGTAGGTAACTACTGCTGACCTTTTCTTCCCTAAATCCAGCAAGCATTTTTCAGTCTTTCTCACTTGACCTCTCAGTAGCATTTAACACTGCTGGACACTCCCACATTTTAGAAATGCTCTCATCCTGTCCTTTGGCTCCAGTGACACACCTCTTTGGTCGCATATCTATTTTCTTTCTCACAACCACAGTCTCCTAAAGGTTCAGCTCTAGATTCTGCTCCCCTGTTCATTTGGTGGTCTCTCCAGGCAAACTCAACCTCATATGCTGATGATTCACCCATGTCTATCCCTGCTGTGAGCACCAGGCCCACATATCCAATTGCCTGAGACATCTGGATGTCTCAACGGTACACACACTGAACATGTCTAAAACCAAAATCATAATTTCCTCACCTACCACCCAACCCCTCCAGAACCTTCTTTTTCTAGCATTCCCATCCCTCTAAATGGCAACACCGGTCAACTAGGAAATACAATTTTATTTAATCAGATAAACATTTTCTTACCAAGAGATGAATATAGTATAAAATACTAAGAAAGAGCATTTTATAGTTATTAGGTAAGCAAATGATCTGTGAGCTTGAAATATAGGAGGAAATGAAGTAATTGGGTCCTACTGAATGATAACCCCTTCTCAATAAGTGGGGCACTATGGTATCCTACAGCCTTTGGTTGGGGTTCCCTCCATAACAAGATATTACACGAAAATTGGAATCTAGCAAAGCAAAATTAATTCATGGAACTATGGTTTGGCATACATGGTAAGACAGAAAAAGGTGAGTAACACAGTTGCATTTAACATTTACAAGATCATAGTCAGAGACAAACTTCCTAGGAAGTCATTTGGAAATCTTCCTAGTGGTATTCTGAATTTTTTGAAGAAGGCTGAGGGTTAGGCTGGAAAAAGGAATGAGAAGTTGAAGACGGATGGGTAAGAAAAGTGGTAGACACCACTCTTCACCTAAGCCACATATACAGTGCTACCAGGTCCTCAGAGCCCCATTACCAATCATCTGTTCTCTCCAAAAGAATGTTCCATGATCTGGCATAATATTACTTGGTGTAGTCTGTTAGATTGGAGTAGGTTTACCTCAACTATAGCTTTTGGACCTTGTATACAGCAAAAAGAAAGTTATTATTTAACATAGCACACATTTATAAGTAACAGACATCTGATAAAACATTAAGAAATCAAACATTTAGGTAAGCATTTAGAGAAATAAATTACATGAGTTATGGATTTTGAAATGGTTCCCTAAGGATTCAGGGCAAATCCCTTCACTGAAGATATTAAAATTAGATTCAAAGAAGGACTTGAGAGAACACTAGAGTGAAAACTCCCACACTAACAAATATGAAACAGATGACTTTTAGCTTTGTCTATTTTTACTATGTACAGTTGTTATTTTTCTGATTCATTAAATGTAGATTTGGTATTCTAAACTCTCTCACTACAAATAACATAAAAATTAAATCAACAGCACTTAATTATGGTTCCAGACACTTACAGATATATGACAAGACATTCAAGGCCAAAACTATAAACTACAAATACTGCTTTTATCATTGACAGAAACTGAGGGTTCTTAGGGTAGTTCTTCTCTGGAAAGTGATCTACTCCCAGGCTCCCCAGAATTCACACGGGATTACAAATTGCAAGCACTGCAGCTGATTTTAATTGCCACAGTGATGCATAGGGAGAGATGTGATATCTGGAGT
This sequence comes from Homo sapiens, assembly GCF_000001405.40. Taxonomy (NCBI): domain Eukaryota; kingdom Metazoa; phylum Chordata; class Mammalia; order Primates; family Hominidae; genus Homo; species Homo sapiens. The sequence goes on along the minus strand of NC_000001.11, from coordinate 118,190,619 downwards.
AACTGGCTTCTAAACAATGAGGGGTTTTAAAGATTAAAGTCAACACTTTAAATAGCACTCAAAAATAAATAGGAAGCTAATGCTGACCATAGAATGCAGGTATAATATTCTCCATATGTTTTGGACCCTGTAGCTGAAAGACACCTAGCCCTTTGTATCACACACAATAAAAACTCAAAGACAGGGCATTATAGCACTCTATTTTGAAGGTTAGAAATGCAAAGATCATGGTGTGAACAAGACATATGTATACCGAGAGGTGTTCTTGGATGTAGGATACCAACTGGAGAAATCAGTAGACATCTGTGAGGCCTTCTTAACCCAAGGCAAGTTGGTTGCTGCAGCTAAATGGATTTTGAATACCTGGAATCCTGGCCTAGAAGTGACTTGGTCTATAGTTCCTGCTGTTACCTGACAACAATGGAAGTACTGGATGCATCAATAGTTGGCTAAACCTTTCAAGTATGAAAAGTAATATGGCTGACTTCACACCTGAGTAAGAGTGAATTATAAGATCAAAGCATAATACTTGAAGAAATAACTTATTTAGTAATCATAGCCTAAAGAAATCATGCATCCCTGAAAGTGGACAGTCTTTGGTAAGCTAAACATATCAAATGCAAACTCATACTGGAAAAACTAAATCAAACAAACCAGGAGTAACCCTGCCAATGTGAAAGAAAATTTTCCAAATAGTATAGTTTTGTTTTAGCCACTGACATATGGGAAAATTTATGTAGTAAAGTATATGCTTATAAAGTTTCAACTTATATTTAGTGGGGGAAACAATTTATTATACCAAAAAAGCATAAACGTATGACAGATGGTAATGCTTTTTTTCTGTTCTTGGCAGGGTCCTTTTTTGGCTGAATGACTTTTGCTACTTCAAATTGTGAACATTGTCATTCACACCTATTTTCTGAAATTAAACAGACCAATTCTATGACGAAACCCCTTATAAATTTGGTTACTGTATAATATCTTCCCATTTTGTATCATAAATTATCTAGAGCACCACTTTCCCTAGAATAATGGAAAAGGCCAAAACTGGGCAAAAAGCATTCTGTAATAAAACCTTTATTTTAAACTCCTTAAATCAATTTTGGAAAACCTTTTATATTTAAATGTTTTCTGGTAGGACTTTACCAAGGAAACTATAAAAGATTATATTAGAAATACACTCTTCCATTCTGAAATATTTATTTTTGGCTTTTAAAATGTTCAACTCCTTTAAATCATTTTCAAAATTATAAATGATGTATATGGATAGCTAGGTGATGGATCTAGTTGGTTTATCTTCCGAAAAATAGGAACATTTTTTCCTAAGTATAGGTGATATAAGACTAGTTTCTTGTATTACTTAACTATGCAAACCATTTGTTTAAAGTAAGAAATTTATTTACTAGATAAAGAAGCGAAAGAATGTACTGTATATGCAAATGGAAAGCAAGGTAAAGGGTGAGATCGAGATCTCACTAGATGCATGGGGTAGTGGGGAGGTAGGGATTAGATCTTCCTGCCTCTCACAGTGGCCAGCATTGTGTATTGCCTCCTTGAAAGTAACAAGGTTTTTCTCTCAGGCAGTTTCAGAAAGGCTGGCTGGTGTTAGATTTATTAACAGGTGATTCTCAGATGAAAATGATAAAAAATGTTAGGGTAGTTACGGTAACCCTTGCTGCTGTAGCAAACCCCAGTACTTCAGCAGCTTTAAGAAAAATGTTTAATTCTCACCTACATAATAGTCCCAAGCAAATGCTTTTGGTGGGAGGAGCAAGATGATCTTCAGGGGAAGGAGAGACCTCTGTGTCACAGCAATCATTCAGAGATTCAAGGTTTTCAATGCCACCCCAATATCAAGCAAAAAGGGTATGAAGAATGCTGGGGGACATTTTTCAAGGCCAGGCTTGGCTAGAACTCAGTCACATGTTCACATCTAAGAATAAGGAAGGCCAAAAAATGTCTGACTCCCATATTAGGAGAAAATAAAAGGAAATGTCTGATGAACAACTGGATAGTTTCTGTCACAATAAATATTGCAAACATCTTACTGCTGCCAATATTGTGGTTGGACAGCTGTCACTTGTTAAAAAAAATGGCTAGTGACACTATCTCTGCAATTTTTAAATAACACTTAATTTTACTTTTTTTCTGCTTATTCTATTTTTTCCTCTTCTTATCTGCAACGTATTTTATTAATCATCTGCTAGTGATCTGGCAAAACTGATTGCAGGTAATGGTTTATTTTGAAGTGTGCGTTCACATTCAAGAAGAAAGAATATTAGTAATGTAGCGAGACACGCACAAACAGCTAAATTTTTTAATAAAATATCCCGGAATGCCAACAAACTTTTTACTACGTTTTAAATAAAAAGGCAGGACTTTTTTTCCCCCAGTTTAAAACTATGAGAACTTAATCAAAATTTAGAATGATCTAATTAATGATTAGGTAGATTTTTTTTTTTTTGGTCTGAAAGAGACTCAACTTTATTTTCTAGCCATAATACAAAGAAAATTTTCATCTTACAAATGCTGAAAAAATTTTGGTGAGGAACAAAATTTTGGAGAAAATGCTATGAAAATTAACAGCAGCCTCGGTGTTGTTATAGACTCTCAGGAAAATTCTTTTCTGGCAGATCTCTCTCTGGCATTACCATGCATCAGTTATTTTATTTTCATGACAAAAGAGGGCTTCCAGATGTAAATTATTTAGCCTATGGCCAGGCTGCCATAGGATCTATCTATTCCCTCCCAAGAAGATGAACTGTATTTATTCCAGCAAGAAATAAAAACTCGTATTTTTCTGTAAAGTTTCTGTGAAAGACTGTTTCTAGAAATTATTTTTCTTTAATACAATGGTCCCTTGGTATCCACAGGGAATTAGTTCCAGGACCCTTCACGTTCTCAGATAGAAAAATGTCTGATATTCAAGTCCCTTAATGATGTGTCTGCATTTGGTTCCTGCCGGTGGGTTCATGGTATCGCTGACTTCGAGCATGAAGCCCAGGCTTCCACGGTGTTATAGCTCTTAAAGATGGCATGGACCCTGTCCGGGTGCGGTGGTTCACGACTGTAATCCCAGCACTTTGGGAGGCTGAAGTGAGAGGATCACGAGGTCAGGAGATGGAGATCATCCTGGCTAACACAGTGAAACCCCATCTCTACTAAAAATACAAAAATTAGACAGGTGTGGTGCTGGGCGCCTGTAGTCCCAACTAGTCAGGAGGCTGAGGCAGGAGACTGTTGTGAACCCAGTCTGCCTCCGCTGGGAGGCAGAGCTGGCAGTGAGCCGAGATCCACCATTGCATTCCAGCCTGGGAAACAGAGTGAGACTCCATCTCAAAAAAAAAAAAAAAAAAAAGATGGCACAGACCCAAAGAGTGAGTGGTAGCAAGGATTTTTGTGAAGAGTGAAACAGCAAAAGCACAAAGCTTCCACAGCATTGAAGGGGACCCAACAGGTTGCCGCTGCTGGTTGGTGGTGGACAGCTTTTATTCCCTTATTGTCTCCGCCCATGTTTTGTTTTTGTCCTATCAGAGCGCCCTTTTTTCAATCGTCACTACGATTGGCTACTTTTAGGATCCTGCTGATTGCTGCATTTTACAGAGTGCTGATTGGTGCATTTTACAGAGCACTGATTGGTGCATTTTTACAGAGCACTGATTGGTGCATTTTACAATCCCCTTGTTAGCTACAGAGCACTGATTGGTGCATTTTACAATCCTAGCTACAGAGTGCTGATTGGTGCATTTTACAATCCTGTTGTAAGAAAAGTTCTCCAAGTCCCCACTCAACCCAGGAAGTCCAGCTGGCTTCACCTCTCAATAAAATGGCCTAGTATTTGCACATAACCTACGCACATCCTCTCCTACACTTTAAATCATATCTAGATTATTTATAATATCTAATATTATGTAAATGCTGTAAAATAGTTGTTATGCTGTATTTTTATTTGTATATTTATTTATGTTTTAATATTTTGGATCCAAAGTTGGTTAAATCCAGGGATGAAGAACTGTGATGATGGGAGGGCTCACTCTAACTATATTAAAGAATTAGGGTGGAAAGATAAACTTCCTTTCATGGTCCAAATTACGAACAAAAGTTGAAGCATCATCATTAAAATTTGCCCCCAAATGAAAAAGGATGCTAGTGGCTGGATAGCACTATCCTCCTTCCCTCAATTTATTCCTCAAAGAAATTAAAAGGGTTAGCAATTAAAAGGTTTAGAACATCCCCCGTGGAAGGTCACCCGTTCATCAGGTTGTGCCCAGGGAAATTAAGTTTCTGGCTTGCATCACCTCACTCATCTGGGCCACTGGGATAACTGAAGCATCTCACCTCTAGGCAAAGTGCAGGGCCTTAATGGCTAGTTAAGCCCTGGTCAGTGCTGAATTCCATATGACTAATGAGACCGCAAGGCACCTTTGGTTGCGCTCTGCCCCAGGGTGTCCTCAAATTTGTCTCACTGCAATAAAAAACAAAAGTAAATCTAGCTCCAGAAGGGGGTATCCCTCATTTTGGCAGGCCTAAAACAGTAGTAGACAGCAGTGTAGCAGTTATGCACACTAGATCTGTGACTCAGATAATCCTGGGATCTAATCCTGGCACCATCAATCAGACACTGTGGGAATTGGATAAGGTGGTTGTGAGAATTAAATGAAATAATCTTGTATATAGCATATAACCAGTGCCCAAGAAACAATGGTTTTTATTACTATCATTATTTTGGGAAACTTGTCCAACCAGGATATTTTAGATATTGATGAGTGCAGGGTGGGAAAAAAGGGGAAAAAAAAGTCTACTTACCAATCAATAAAAGGCAGTTTAAAGGACTGGAGCTGTTTGGGCAGATAAGTACATTAATCCCACCTACAGTTAGATAAGGGGTCACGTGGAAGGGTGATTGGACTTGTTTAGTAAGGCCCCAGAGGCGGAGGCTGAAACAGTGCAGAGGGTAGAGGTCAAGGAGAGACAAATTTGGATTCATATAAGGAAGCATTTGGGGCAGATTAGAGCGGTTGGGAAAAAACGGCATGGGCTGCCTCCTGAAGGGGTCAGTATTCCAATCTTGGTTACTCAGGATCGGAAGAAATCTTGATGGAGGAGTCCTGGATGGGATTCCAGAGATTTTGAGTTTCTAGACAACGCCTCAGACCGTAGAAGAACGTAGCCCGACCTGCGAGGCCAGCCTCGTCCTGCCCTCCTCCAGTTGTGCAGCTTTCCTGCTGAAAAGTCCTAAAATTTGACCGGGGGACTGGGAACCCCGCCCCCAAGCTGCCGCGCGCTCTGAAACTCCGTTGCTGTGGAGACGGAGGCGGTTGACCCAAGGATTCCGAACGGTGTTGGGGGAGGGGAGCCGACGTGGTTCAGGAACTGGGCGTGGCTTCGGTTACTGTGGTAGCGGGGACGCTTAGGCAGGGCCTGCGCCCAGTTTAGAGGCCAATGCTTCTCCCGTCCTTTGCATGGCACCCAAGAAGGAGAAAGGAGGAACTGTGAACACCAGTTCTAAGATATGGGAACCCTCGCTCATAGCTGCACAGTTCAATCAGGTGAGCCTTGAGCCCTTTAAGCCCTCCCTGCCCCCGGCAATGCCAGAGGCCCGGCCAGACCCTCCTAGGCGACGCCTTAAGGCTCGCCCTCTCTTCCGTATCTCTCCGTGGCCTGATGGTTCCAGGACCCAGGGTCCCAGGGACAGGAAGTGCTTGATAAACGAACGGAACTTAAGGGAACACCCACCAGGTGAGTCAGTGTGATTTCAAAGGTTGGTGAGAACTGCCTAGTGGGGAAGAGAGGAGGTGTCGCTCTGACACCTCCAGAACCTTTTCAGTGAAGTCGTCCAGATGGCACTCCACAATTGTACTGGAATTCCTTTTATGGACTTTTTGTTTTCTCCTGAAACCTTCTAAAGGATGAGAATCGCATCAAATCATCTGTGGCCTGGCCCATAATAGGGCTTTAATAAATGCTGAGTGAAAACAGACACGGAGTGCCTAGAATTACACTGTATTTAGTACAAGCGAGCCTTGTATAGATAGGAAAAGATGATTTTTTAATGTAATGCCCTGATCCCACTATATTAAAGTTTTGACATATTTTTAAGGTGTGGGAGATCAGAGCAATGAGGGGTTGGCGGCCAACTTACCCACAGAATGCCACAAAGGCACCAGGCAATCTACAAACCACCTACCACAGGACTTCAAAGTGCATGAGATCCCAGAATTCACTGGCTCCCCACCCAGCTTCAGTAAATGAGGAGCCCAATAGCTCTTGTCACCTGCAGCTGGAAATCCCCTTCTACATTAAGCTGTTTCTACGTACAAGTTAGCATTTGGGAAGAGAAAAGTTGTTTCTGGAAATTCCAGCCCGCCATTATGAACTACTTTGAAAAGTGGGGAAAAAAAATTTTTTTTTCATTTTATATATGTCTGTATGGTGCACTAGAGAGTCAGTACTTAAAGGGAAAATGGATCTAAAGTCTTGTGTTGCCTTCATGAGAAATTTTTACCTGTCTTTATTTTCCACTATAACTGTTTTTTTTTCCTATTAACAGTAATTCTGTTTGATAAGGAAATTAGTCCTGATGAAGAATTTCATGAAAGTAGTTGTGATACTCCTGATGCTGATGTGATGTCATGGAATTTTGGGTCCTTTCTATAACTTTAGTAATGCTGGATGTCAACTCAGTAATCCCCAGTTACATTCTCAAATTCTCAAAGATGTTTTTCAAAGCACTTTGTAAAAGCACCCTCTCTTTTGCTTTTATAAGTCAGCGCTAGCCAAAATAATTTTTTCTCCATTTTCTTTGAGATTGTGTAGGCCAAGTTTGGTCTTGGAGTGAACATTTCTGCTTGAATTATAAACTGCTGAACAACGGAGTTTGATGGAGGTGCTGACACTGCATTAGCTTTAGTGTTGCAAATATGAAGCTATAATTTTCCTAGTTGAATGGAAAACCTAAAGGCACTATTTGTCCTTATGGCTTGAAAACCTGAAATAATATTCAGCTTTCTTGATCCTACTCAAACAATATAACTTCAATAAATCTTATGTATTAATAGAAAGAATTTGAACTCAAAGTAATATGTAGTTTTAACTATAAACAGTGAACTCAATTTTCTTCAGTTTGTTGGAATACACATTTTCTTATTGCAGGAAAAAGACAACTACCCTCCACCTCCTCTCTCATTTTTCTCTGCTTGATTTCATGTCTGATCTAAAAGAATAATTCCCAGATTAACCCAGCAGTTCAATGCCCAGAGGCGTGCCCTAACCACCAATGAAACGGACTCTGAATTTAGGTTATAGATGACTGTGGGTGTGTGAATTTTGAGCACACGTAGTGTGCTCTATTGTTTTAGTATCCAGAGAGTTTCTTTCCATACACTTGTTACTCATGTCCAAGTATGTGTGGTTGAGTGTGTGTGCTAGTTTATGTGTTGTATTATGTGTGTGTGCTGGGGGTGAGAGAGAAGGAAAGAATTCCTCCAGTCTTCCATAAACAAGTTTTTAGAAGTAACTCATTGGATAACCCAAATCAATAGTATTTTTGAACTCATGTTCATGTTGGGTAGGCTTTAAAGAGAATAAACAAGTTCACATTTTGGTTTTATTGAATTTACCTTGTATCACTGTCTCAGGTTGTCCTTTCAGGCTGGAATAATTATCAGTTGTTTCATACATTTTAGTTGGTTTTAAAATATAAAATGATAGCAAATAATACAAAGCATTCTATCACTAAGCACTAAATGATTAAATAGAGACTAGAGGTTAGGAAGATGAATATGGGCTGGGATAGTCAGGAAATGATTTGTAAAATATTTGCCTTCACCTGGGCTCTAAATAATGGGTGGAATTTGAACAGGTAGAATGAAGAAGCATGATTATTTTAAGTAGGGAGACTAATATGTGCACCAAGTAAATCTGATACATTTAGATTGGGAGAAAAATGTACGTTAGACCACTTCTGGGTCTACGTTGCTCCTAAATTAATTCCGTCAAGGAAATGGTCATTTACTATCTTTGCTATCCATATACCAAAATATTTAACTTACTGATATGAGTGAAATATCACATCTCAAATTATATAAAAAGAAAATAGGTACATTGGCAATAAGATAAAAATACCCTTTTGTGTTAGTATGTATGTGACATAGACATTATATTTATGATCTCTAGCAGCATTAGAAAGTCAAAGATGCCTTGGTATCATAGAGATTAAAATCTTTCCATGCAATGGTCAAGGCAGGCTCTATTGGCCACAGTGATAGGAAGAAGTGTTAACCTTAGCACTCGGTACTATTTAAACAATATTAATTCCCCATCCTTCCCTCTCCTCACCCCCTGGAAGCTGCCATTGTACTTTCTTTCTCTCCAAATTTGACTACTTTAGGTACTTCATGTAAGTGGAATCATGTAGTATTTGTCTTTTTGTGACTCTTATTTTTACTTAACATAATGTCTTCAAGGTTCATTCATATTGTAACATGTCTCAGAATTTCCTTACTTTTTACATTTTATTTATTCATTCATTCATTGATGGGCACTTGGGTTGCTTTCACCTCTTGGCTGTGGGTGTGCTAAAATCTGTTGGAGTCTCTGCTTTAAAATCATTTGGGTATGTGTACAGAAGTAGAATTGCTGGATCATATGATAATTCTGTATTTAATTTTGTTTTGAGACGGGGTCTGTGTGGCCCAGGCTGATCTCAAACTCCTGGACTCAAGCAATCCTTCCACCTCGGGCTTTCAAAGTGCTAGGATTGCAGGATTAAGCCACTGTGCCCAGATTTAATTTTTTGAGGAACTACCATATCATTTTGCACAGTGGCTACATCATTTTGCATTCCCACCAACAATGTACAAGGATTTCCATTTCACCACATCTGTGCCAGCACTTTTTATTTTTTATTTATTTATTTTTTGGTGAGGTTTGTTTTTGTTCATTTTTTGGTTTTGTTTTTGATTTTTTAATAATAGCTGTCCTAACAGATATGAGATGATAGCTCACTGTGGTTTAGATGTTCATTTCTCTAATGATAAGTGATGTTGAGTGTCTTTATTCTTTGTCTCTTGTAACAACTTTTGACTTAAAGTCTTTTTTTGTGTGTAATAGTTGCTTAACTTCCCCTGCTCTCTCTTGGTTACTATTAATATTTGCATGGAATATCTTTGTCTGTTCCTCACTTTCAACCTATGCATATCCTTAGAGCTAAAGTGAATCTCTGCACACAGCATATACTTGGATTCTGAGTAGTTTTGTTTTTTTTTTAATCCATTCTGCCAGTCTCTGTTTTATTATTGTAGGGTTTAATACATGTACATTTAAAGTAATTACTGGTATGAAAAGACTTACTTTTGCTAGTTTATTATTTCTTTTCTATATGCCTGACAGATTTTTTTGTCCTTTGTTACCTCCATTGGTGCCTTTGTTTAGTTGATTTTTTTGTGTGACATGTTTAGAATGCCTTTTCATTTTCTTCTGTGTATATTCTATAGATATTTTCTTTGTGGTTACCATGGGGATTACATATATCATAAAATTATAATAATCTGTCTTAAATTGATACTAACTTAATATCAATTGCTTATATAAATTCACTTTACAGCTTCACCTTCTGCATGACTTATGATGTCACAAATTACATCTTTATATACTATGTACCCATTAGCATAGATTTATAATTAATTTTATACATTTTTCTTTAACTCCTGTAGAAAATAAAGTGGATTTGCAAATCAGATTACAATAATACTGTTAAAAATAAATTTGTCCATGCATTTTTTTACCAAAGAAATTTATATTTTTTATAGCTTTCAGCTACTATCTAGCATCCTTCATTTCAACTTCAAGGACTCCCTTTAAAATTTTTTTATCAATTTTATTTTTGTATTCATACGTAATAGAGGTACACATTTTAGAGGTACATGTCATAATTTAATACAATCATATAGTTTGAAAAGATCAAATGACTATAAGTAGGATATTCATCACTTTAAATATTTGTCTTTTCTTTATACTAGAAACATTCCAATTATTCTCTTCTAGCTTTTTTGAAATATATGATAGATTATTGTAAATTATAGTCACTCTACTGATCTATTAAACACTAGGACTTATTTCTTCTATCAAACTCTATATTTGTACCCATTAAGCAAACTCTATGCCCTGGCTTCGCTACTTTTCCCAGCCTCTGATAACTGTCACTCTACTCTTTATCTTCATGAGATCTACTTTTTTATTTCCTACATAAGAGTGAGAACATACGATATTCATCTTTCCCTTATTTCACTTAACATAATGAACGCCAGTTCCATCCTTGTTGCTATAAAGGACAAGATTTCATATTGTATGGCTGAATAGTATTTCATTGTGTATATGTACTGCATATATACAGTTTTCTTTATTGATTCATCTGTTGATGGGAACTTAGATTGATTCCATACTTTGGCTATTGTGAATACTGCTGCAATAAACATGGAAGTGCAAATCTTTCTTTGATACATTGATATCATTTATTTTGGCTATATACCAAGTAGCAGAACTGCCGGATTATATGGTAGTTCTACTATTAGTTTTTTGAGGAATCTCCCTACAGTTTTCTATAGTGTCTGTACTAATTTACATTCTCATCAGCAGTATACAAGAGTTCCTCTTTCTCCACATCCCTGCCAACACTCATTATTCCCTGTCTTTTTGATAAAAGCCATTTTAACTAGGGTGGGATGATATCTCATTGTAGTTTTGATTTGCATTTATCTGATGATTAGCGATGTTGAGCATCTTTTCATATACCTTTTGGTCATTTGTACATCTTTTTTGAGAAATGTCTATTTGAATCCTTTGCCTATTTTTAAATCAGATTATTTGGGGTTTTTTCCTATTTAGTTGTTTGAGCTCCTTAAATACCTGGTTATTAATCCCTTGTCAGATGGATAATTTGCAAATATCTTCTCCCACTCCATGAGTTGTCTTTTCACTTTGTTGATTGTTTTCTTTGCTGTGCAGAGCTTTTTAACTTGATATGATCCCACTTCTCTATTTTTGCTTTGGTTGCATATGCTTTTGAGGTCTTACACAAAAAAATACTTGCCTAGACCAATGTCCTGAAACATTTCTCCAATGTTTTCTTCTAATAATTTCATAGTTTCAGGTATTAGATTTAAGTCTGCAATCCATTTTGATTTGATTTTTGTTTATGGAGAGAGACAGGGGTCTAGTTTCATTCTTCTGCATATGGATATCCAGTTTTCCCAGCATTTATTTCCCATTTATTGAAGAGACTGTCCTTTCCTATTGTAAGCTCTTGGCACTGCTGTTGAAAATGAGTTTACTACAAATTCGTGTATTTATATCTGAGTGCTCTATTCTGTTCCATTGGTCTATGTGTCCATTTTTATGTGAGTCCCATGCAGATTTGTTTACTATATTTTGAAATCAGTTTGATGCCTCTAGCTTTGCTCTTTTTGCTTAAGAATCCTTTGGTTCTCCTGGGTTTTGTGTGGTTCCATGTAAATTTTAGGATTTTTTTTCTATTTCTGTGAAGACCGTCATTAGTATTTTAATAGGGATTGCATAACTGTAAATTATTTTGGATAGTATGGATATTTTCACAGTATTAATTCTTCCAATCCATGAGCATGGGATATCTTTTCTTTTTGGTGTATATCCTCTTCAATCTCTTACATCAGTGTTTTCTAGTTTTACTTGTATAGATCTTTCATTTCTTTGATAAAATTGATTCCTAGGCATTTTATCACTACTGCAAATGGGCTTACTTTATTGATTTTTTTTCAGATTGTATGCTGCTGGTGAATATAAGTGCTACTGATTGCTGTATGTTGATTTTGTATCCTGCAACTTTACTGAATGTTGATTTTGTATCCTGCAACTTTACTGAATATATCAGTTCTAACAGTCTCTTTGGTGAAGTCATTAGATTTTTCTAAGTATGAAATCATGTCTGTGAACAATGCTAATTTGACATATTTCTTTTCAATTTGGATGTCCTTCATCTCTATCTCTTGCCTAATTGTTCTGGCCAAGATTTCCAGCATTATATTGAATAAAAGTGGTAAAATTCAGCATCCTTTTCATCCTATTCCAGATCTTAGAGGAAAGGCTTTCCATTTCTTCCTGGTCAGTATGATTTTAGCTGAGGGTTTGGCCTTTATCATTTGAGGTATGTTTCTTCTACACCCAGTTTTTTATGGTTTTCATCCTAAAGGGATGTTAAATTTTGTCAAATGCTTTTTCATCATCTATTGAAATGATCATATATGTTTTGTTCTTGGTTCTGTTCATACAATGTATCATGTTTCTTGATTTACATATGTTAAGCCATCCTCGCATTCCTGACATAAATTCCACTTGATAATGGTAAATTATCTTTTTAATGTGTTGTTGAATTTGGTTTGCTAGTATTAGGTTGGTGCAAAAGTAATTGCGGTTTTGGCCATTTTAATGATATTTATCACTTTATCAGTGATACTGACCTATAGCCTTTTACGTTGTTGTTTCTTTATGTGGTTTTGGTATCAAGGTAATGCTGGCATCACAGAGTAGGTTTGGAAGTATTCTCTTTTTCTCAATTTTTTTGAAGAATTTGAGTAGAATTGGTAAGAGTTTTACTTTAAATGTTCAATAGAATTCAGCAATGAAGCTGTCATGTCCTGGGGTTTTATTTGGTGGGAAATTTTTTATTACAGCTTCAATCTTATTATTCATTATTGGTTTGTTAAAATTATCTATTTATTCATGGTTCAATCTCAGTAAGTTGTATGTGTTAGGAATTTATCCATTTCTTCTAGGTTTTCCAATTGTTGGTGTTCAGTTGTTCATAATAGTCTCTCATGATTCTTTGCATTTCTGTGGTCTTAGTTGTTATATCTCCTATTTTGTTTCCAAGTTTATTTACCTGGCTCTTCTCTCTTTTTTCTTAGTCTAGCTAAAGATTTGACAATTTGTTTATCTTTTCAAAAAAACCAACTTGTTTTATTCCATTGATCTGTATTTTTTTAGCTTCATTTTCATTTATTTCTTCTCTGATCTTTATTATTTTCCTTCCGCTAATTTAAGGTTTGATTTGTTCTTGCTTTTCTAGTTCTTTGAGATGCATGACTGATATGGTTTGGATCTGAGTCCCTAACCAAATCTCACCTTGAATTGTAATCCCCATAATCCCCATGTGTCAAGAGAGACCAGATGAAGATAATTGAATCATAGGGGTGGTTTTCCCCATGGTGTTCTTGTGATAGTGAGGGAATCTCGCAAGATCTTATGGTTTTATAAAAGGCTGTTCCCCTGAACTGGCTCATATGCTTTCCCACCTGCTGCCATGTAAGATGTGCCTTTGCTTCTCCTTCATCTTCCACCATGATTGTAAGTTTTCTGAGGCCTCCCCAGCAATAGAGAATTGTGAGTCATTAAACCTCTTTTCTTTATAAATTACCCAGTCTTGAGTATTTCTTCATAGTGATATGAGAATTGACTAGTATAATTATTAAGTTGTTTTATTTGAAGTCTTTCTACTTTATGGATACAAGTGTATTCCAATAAACTTTCCTCTTAATATTTATTTTGCTGTATTCCATAGATTTCAGTATGTTGTTTTTCCATTTTCATTTGTTTCAAGAAATTTTTTAATGTTCTTAATTTTTTCATTGACCAATTTATCATTCAGAAGCAAGTTGTTTAATTTCCATGTGTTTGTGTAGTTTTTGAGATTTCTCTTGTTATTGATTTCCAGTTTTATTCCTTTGTGGTCAGAAAAGATGCTTGATATGATTTCCACTCTTTTTAATTTGTTGAAATTTGTTCTGTGGCCTAAGATTTGGTCTGTACTGGAAAGTGTTCTGTGTGCTGCTGAAAAGAACGTATATTCTGCAGTATTTGAGTGAAATGTTGTGTAAATATCAGTTAGGCCTATTTGGTATAGTGTGTATTTTAACTCCAACTTTTTTTGGTGATTTTTTGGTCTGGATTATTTGTCCATTACCGACAATAGGTCCTCTATAATCATTGTATCATAATCTATCTCTCCCTTTACAACTATTAATGCTTGCTTTATGTACTTGGGAGCTCTGATATTGAATGCATATTTATAATGGCTATATTTTCTTGTTGAATTGACATCTTTATCATTATTTAGTGACCTTGTTTGTCTCTTTGTGCAGTCATGATTTGTAATGTATTTTACCTGATATAAGTATAGCTATTCGTGCTCTGTTTTTGGTTTCAGGTTGCATGAAATACCTCTTCACTTTCAGGTTATGTGTGTCTTTATAGGTGAGGTGGGTTTCCTGTAGGCAGCATAGAGTTGGGTCTTTTTTCTTTATTCATTGAGCCATTACAATTAGAGAATTGAGTCAATTTATAGTCAATGTTATTAAGGACTTACTACTGCCATTTGTTGCTTGTGTTCTTGTTTCATAATTCCTCTTCCTTTCTGTCTTCCTTTGTGATTAGGTGATTTTTCTCTGGTAGTATATTTTAATTTGTTTCTTTTTATTTTTATGAATCTATTATAGGTTTTTGCCTTGTGGCTACCATGAGGCTTACAAATTATTTTAAAGAGATGATCACTTAGCTTAGAAAAGTATAGAAACAAACAATTTAAAAAACCTTCACACTTTAACTCACCCCCCATTTTGACTTTATGTTGTCTCAATTTGCATATTTTTAATATTGCCTATCTCTTACCAGGTTGCTATAGCTATTATTGTTTTTAATAGATTTGTGTTTTGGGCTTCATACTAGAATTATTAGCTGATTGCACACCATAATTACAGCATTACAGTATCCTGGGTTTGTTTGTGCACTTAATTTTACTAGTGGGTTTTATACCTTCAAATATTTTCTTTTTACACATTAGTTTTTTTTCTTTCACATTAAAGAACTCCCTTTAGCTTTTCTTTTAAGATGGGTCTGGTGATGGTGCATTCTCTTAGCTTTTGTTTATTGGGGAAAGACTTTATTTCTCCTTTGTATTTGAAGTGTAGCTTTGCTGGATAAAATATACTTTGATGGCAGTTTTTTTTTTTTTTTTTTGTACTTTGAAAATGTCACCCGAATCCCTCCTGGCCTATATAGTTCCCATTGAGAAGTTTGTTACCAGATGAATTAGAACTCTTATATGTTATTTGCTTCTTTTTTTTCTTGCTGCTTTTAGGATCATCTCCTTGTCCTTGACCTTTGAGAGTTTGATTATTCTATGCCTTGGGGTAGTCTTATTTGTGTTGCCTAATGCAATGAACTCCCTCAGCTTTTGGTTTTCTGGGAATGTCTTCATTTCCAGCTGGGCGCAGTGGCTCACGCCTGTGATCCCAGCACTTTGGGAGGCTGAAGTGGGTGGATCACCTGAGGTCAGGGGTTCAAGACCAGTCTGGGCAACATGGTGAAACCCCGTTTCTACTAAAAATACAAAATTAACTGGGTGTGGTGGTGCGTGCCTGTAGTCCCAGCTATTTGGGATGCTGAGGCAGGAGAATTGCTTGAATCTGGGAGGTGGAGGTTGCAGTGAGCCAAGATTGCGCCACTGCACTCCAGCCTGGGCAACAGAGTGAGGCTCCATCTCAAAATAAATAAATAAATAAATAAATAAGAGTCCCCTTCCACCCAGACCTTCCAATCTATTCACATATCTGCTGCCAAGTGGCTATATGAAGTTTTAGATATCATTATTTAGAGTGGCTTAAGGTAGCAGAGGCTTGACTACCTGGGACTGTCTTCATTTCTTCTTCATTTTTGAAGCACAGTTATGCTGAATGTAGGATCCTTAGTTGACAGTCTTTTTCTTTCAGCACTTTAAATATATCATCCCAGTGCCTTCTGGCCTGCAGGGTTTCTCCTGAAAAATTTGCTGATAATCTTATAGATAATCCCTTATACATAAAGGGTCACTTTTCCCTTGCTGCCTTCAAAATTCTGTCTGTCTTTAGCTTTTGATAATTTGATTATGTGTCTCTTTGGGTTTATCATACTTGGAGTTTGTTGAGCTTCTTGGATTTTTATATGCATGTCATTCCTCAAATTAGAGATGCTTTTAACCATTACCAATAAAAGTAATCTCTCTACCTCTTTCACTCTCTCTTATCTTTCTGGGATTTCCATATGCATCTACTGGTCTGCCTGGTGGTATCCCTTAAGTCTCTTTTGCTCTATATACTTTTCTTCATACTTTTTTCTTTTTGCTTATCAGACTCTATAATTTCAAATGGTCTGTCTTCGAGTTCACTGATTATTTCCTCTGTCTCATCAAGTCTTCTGCTGAATCCCTCTAGTGAAATTTCCAGTTTAGTTATTGTATTTTTCAGCTCATGAATTTCTGTTTGGTCCCTTTTAATAATTTCTTTTTGTTGATATTCTCATTTTATTCATATGTCAGTTTCTGGATTCCTTTAATTCTTTAATTGCATTCTCCTTTAGGTGTTTGAACATATCTAAAACAGTTTTCTTTTTTTAATTTTGTCTTGTAAATCCAATGTGTGTATTTCTTCAAGGACAGTTTCTGAAGATTTATTTTGTTGATTTCAATGGGGCCATGTGTTCCAATTTATCTGTATGCCTCATTGAAAATTGGGCATTTGAAAAAATAGCCACTTCCAGGTTTTGAAGATTGGTATAAAGATTTTTCACTAATTAGTGGGTTATGTCCTGAGCCTTAGCAACAGCCCAGGATAAAGGCTTAAAATCTTCCCAGGTCTTTTCTGGGCATGCATGCATTCTTCCTGGCTCTGTGTGTGTACTTTTTTTTTTTTTTTTTTTAGACAGGGTCTCGCTCTGTCACCCAGGCTGCAGTGCAATTGCACAGTGTTGGCTCACTGCAGCCTTGACCTCCCAGGCTCAAGCAATCTTCCCAAGTCAGCCTCAAGTAGCTGGGACCACAGGTATATGCCACCACACCCAGCTAATTTTTGTATTGCTTTGTAGAAATGGGGTTTATTTTAATAAAAACAAAGTTCTCCCATATATGACTGCTTTTAAATATGTCTTAATTTCCTAGTGTCTCACAACAGTTTCCTCTCAGGGCCTTAGATGTGTCGTTGTATTCCTCTGCCCATAATCTCTTTCCTCAGGCATCCATGAGTGTGCCATTGCCCTGAAGCTTTCATGTACCGAAAAGCATGCCACTGACCACAGCTTCTGCCAGCCTGAGTTTCGAGCTGTCCTGCTGTTCCCTGTCTGAGCTCTGAGTCAGATCAGACATAAAACAGTCCCTTGGGCTGCCCACTGAAAGCTTAGAACATTGCAAATAAGATATACTCTACTCCTCTGGCTCACAGATGGGAATCAGGAATTGGGCTGCTTTCTCCCATCCATGATACCACCACACCACCTCAGGGAGGACATGAAGCAAGGGAGAGTAAAAGTGCCACAAAATTTTCTACTGTATTACGTGTTGAATTTTCTTGATTGGTCATTCATTTGTTAGATCTTCAACTGATTTCATAACTCCTATACTGCTACGTTAGTCTCTACGGTTTTTTTTTTTAATGGTGGGCAAAGAGGGACTGGAGCTTTCTAGCCTGCCATCTTGCTGATGTCACTCTGATCTAAGATTTTTTTTTAATAAATTCTGATTTTCTTTTTCATTTTTTCCAAGCCTATCATATGGGAGGTGAAGCTGGGAAGAGAGAGATGAGTAAAAGCTTTGTTCATGACAATTTATAAAAAATTTCCAGACTTGTTTAAATAGTATAGCCATTCCCTCTAGAAGCTTATGGATTGCACACAAAGCCTATCTCTGAATAATGCAAATGTTCAGAGATGGCAAAGCTATATATTTCAGTTAGAACTCTGTGTTATGGTCAGAATTTCTGTGCCAACACAAGAAAAAAAAATCACACAATTATTAATGTTAAGTGAAGCATGGTACCAGTAAAGAGAATATCCATAGACCAGACGTAAATTTTTTTCATTAAAATATGGGCCTTTTGTTCCCATATGTGTTCTTCAGAATACCAGGATTGCCTGGAAGCTTGTTTAGGTTCTTTAGACATCTTATAGGTAGAGTTTAGATTGGAGTTTTGTCAATTTTAATCATTAAATACTTTTATATTTGCAGATTATCTGAAGCTGGTATTTTTTTTCTTCCTAACATTTGAAGTCACATTTTTACATGTAGCAAAAGGGCATCTATACTTGTGAGACCAACTATTGGCATGACAGTTATTCCATTCCTTTGCTGTGACACTACAGGAAACATTAAATGCACAGAAAAAAGTTTATGGCAACCCATGCACCTCTTAACCCAGCCCGACCCACTACTCCAGTATTCATTAATTTCATTCTGCAATGATGATTTCAGTTTCCTAATACTCAAGGGATTGAAAACTCCTATTAGTATTTGCCTAATTTTTATCAAGAATTTACTTTATGATAAAGCTTTTAATTCTTCTGTAGTATAAATATCTACATATTTTAAAATATTTGGAAACATCTACTATAATATATTGAGGTCCTAACTGAGACTGCTAGGTCTTGCTTCCAATTTCTGTATTTTCATTCTCAGTGTAGGGTTGCCCTTTTTTCAAATAAGAGATAATATTTGCATAATTATTACTTTTACAGGCTGAAAAACACAAAGTGATTCTACACATTATAGTGCTGTCCTTTACAATACTCATTCAGAGATGGAGACTCCCAGGGTATCTAGGCTAATTTGATCCTTTTACAAAACTGACAATTTAGGAGTTTCAAGATCGGGTCCAAAGACATGTAGTGATTTGTCACATCAGGAACCAAATCTTATATTTTCTCACTATTCCATTCTTCCTCCTTAACAGTAAGTTGTGACGATCATAACATTTTACGTGGACCTTGCAATTCAACACAAAATGTTAAATATTTGGTCTCTTACGTCACTCTCTACAGCAGTGCTATGAGGTAGATATTATTAGAGTAAAGGAAGTTATTTAATAAATGTCTATTGAAAATTTTTCTATTAATACTTAAACTTGATATTAAAGTGTCGCTTAAAACCAATAAATAAGTATGAAAAGAGCACTTATTTTACCTGCAACATCGGACTTCATCCTTAGTAAATCTTTTATCCTCTGACTTTCACATTTAGAGGACAGAAAGACCATAGCATTTTCTTGTTTATACTCAACTTGTAGGCTTCTTACTGAGAGCATCTAAATAGAACAGATAGAGATATTTGAGTTTATAACTCCATACTCTATTGTGAGACACATAAATTCTGGTTAGGAAAAAGTTATTTTTCTAGCTCCAAAAAAGTACAGAAAATGGCCCTTCTGATACTTGAAAGCATGCCATATTCCCTGGTTGTGCCAGCCAAAACTTGTCTCACATCAGGAACCAAATCTTATATTTTCTCACTATTCCATTCTTCCTCCTTAACAGTAAGTTGTGACAATCATAACATTTTACATGGACCTTGCAATTCAACTTATTATACAACTCATTGACCATGATCTTTCCCCATATTCAGTCTGCCTCTAAGTCCTCTTGATTTTTTCTATAACATCTCACTTCTACCTCCTCCTTGTCATTCTCATGCCTTCATTATAGCCTAGACTCACATCATTTGATCCCTAGGTTTTTAAAAGAGCCCTTTACTTCTACTCATCTTGGAATTACCTATTTCTCAAACCATTTATCTTTCCTAAACGCTGCACACACCATGTTAATTCCCAGTTTAAAAATTGAAAGTGACCATCTGTAATCCCTTTGAGCAAAGTCTAATTAGCCTGCCTGCTTCTGCTCTTTCTAGTCTGGCTCCAGACTAAAGCCACAGGATATCCCACAAGATAACCAAATTGAGTTGTTACAGGCAAGATAGTTCCCTCACTGCTGTATAGGCACATAAAGGAGGCAATGAGCTCCTGGAGAAAGTTCCACTTTGGGTAAGACAGATATTGATATTGAATCCTGATTGTCAGCCATGTAACAGGGTAACCTCGAGCATCTTTCTTACCCGCTCTGAGATTTATTCTCCTTTTGTCAGATAGAGACAATAATATCCACGTCAAAAGCTTGCTGTGAATATTAAATGATGTTTATTTCATTTCATAAATATTTCCATAAAACATGGCATCTAATACACCTTCAATAGATGACTTATCTCTCTCTTTTCTGCTCTCTCACCCAGTCTCCTTGCTTGACATGAACTTCTACCTTTCCACTCCTTGCTCATCCATCCAATCTTTGAGGCTCTCTTAAAGCATGTCTTGCAGCAAGCTTTCCTAGCAACCCTAACCCACTGTTTCTCTTCCTTCACCTTGGTTCTAGGATCTCTCTTATAACTTAATACTTAGTTACAGAATGTCTTGAAGTAGTTGCTATGTATTTCATGTTTTTTAGAACACAAGTATTAATAGAACATGAGCTGCTTAAAATCACATCTTACTCTTCTTATATGTCCCCCAAAATAATTAGCATGGTTTTAGGCATGTAGTATACACCCAAACTCTATACTGAATTAATTCACTGATTTACTTTGAAATATGAAGAAATGTATGTTTTGGGAACCAGGAGAGCTAGTTGAATTAGATGTTTTACAGAAAACATTTGTATTAAAGGCATCACAGCAGATACATAGGATGATTATGATTGTGTCCTGAGAAGAACTATGCAATGACCCATTTCACTTTTCAGAGATATTTCATCTGCCAACCAGAAGGCATTTAAGTTAAAGTTCTTTAGAACATTTAGTTTACAGCCTTTTCTTATTATACTTCTAGTTGAGGAATCACATTTTAATTTTTAATTTTTTTCTATTATTAAACATAGCTTAGTGACAATAGCTGAGTTGTGCTTAACTTAGAAAATAGTAATGGAAGTTCCTAGAGTTTTGAACAAAGCTTCTAATTCTTATAAAGGGCTGGAAAGTGGATATGAGTTCAAGATAGGTATTGTTGAAATGTTAATATCACAGTCCTCTTAAATAAGGAAAGTTATATATAGATGATAAACTGGGTCTAAGTAGGATTTGGGAAGGAAGAGTTCAGTTGAATTGAAGTGCATGAAACCCTTATAAATGTAGTTTATCAAAAAGGAAAATGCATTTTATTGGACATAACCCTTGAGCAATTTTTGAGAGGCAGCAAAGAGTTTTTCAACTTTTTGATCTTAAACAGCAAGCTATTTCTTATGTTAATGTGTATTTAAGACTTACTGGAAATACTCATAATATGAGCTGAAGACTGATGTCTGGCAGCAAGCAGATTTCTGGAATTGAGTTGGCTTTTATTACTATATTTTCTGAAATATGCTTTCATCGATATTTACAAAACAAATTGCCAGTTCACACAAAGGTTGTTTTAATGAAAGCCAATGAAAACAACTGAGTTGCTAGGAAGAATGTTAAGAGGGAAATGGACTTTTCATAACCTCACATTATAATTCCACTTTTTGGACAAAACTGTATTATTTGAATGAGTTTGGAACTGAAGGGAATTAGTATGTCAAAATATCCACCTAGATGTTATATGTGATCATTTGTATTGCAAGTGAAAAATATTAAATATAAGTAAAATATAAGTGTTGCCAGTATGAGTTTGGCAACATCCTAGGAAAATGTTAGTTAAGAAATGGTGACTATTGACCATGTTTCAGCTCTAGCCATAGAAACCATCAGTAGCTCCCAGTTCCCACAGGATAAAATCCAAGGTGTTCTGCCCAGCTTTCACAGCTCTGCCTAATGTGGCCTTTCTCTGCCTATCTATCTTTATCTTCCTCTACTCCAGTCAAATGGTCCCCAGGTACATGCTGACTATACCCATGCAGTTTCCTGGCCTGAAGATTTCCCTGCCTCCATCTCACTCTTTCTCATTAAAATCCTCTCCTGTATCTTTGAGAAAGAAATTCAGTTCACACCATTAGGGCCCTCACTGACATCCCTGCTTTCACTAAACTACTTCAATGATTGTTACCTTTGTTATCTCCTTTAGTTGTTGCCCAAGAATTTAAGTGTCATCTACTGTGTCTATATTCTCTTACAGAATATATGTTCCAGCACTGCTAATGCCTGGGACCTAGCAAAAGTTTAGAATTTTGAATTCTCTCCTTGCTGGCTATAGCACCTGATAGTGATAAGCACATAGTGGTCTTTGAAAAATATCTACTGGATTAAATTCACTGATTATTTGTTACTACCGTAGCCTCATGGCCTGTTTTCTTTTTTGAGCTCCAGAATCAGCCAACTCATTGGTCACAGTAACTTAAATTCAATATCTCCAAATCTTAGTTACTGCATCTATAAATCAGGAGTGTTAGTCATACCTCTCTTACAGATATTGAAAACGTTGCTGAAAAGAATTAAAGGCATCTAGATCATAGTATCAAAGACCCAAACTCCAACTTTTCCCTTAAAACCTATTCTTTGCAGAGTAGTCACCTTCTCATTGAATGATGTCACCACTCACCCAGACAGACACTAGGGCCCAAGCCTTCCATTCATTATTTTTTCTCTTTTTCTGTACCCATAATCAATTCCTCAATTCATCAATATAAGCCCATTCTTGTATTGCTATAAAGAAATACCAGGGACTGGATAACTTATAAAGAAAATAAGCTTAATTGGCTCACAGTTCTGCAGGCTTAAAGGTAGCACAGCAGCTTCTGCTTCTGGGGAGGCCTCAGGAAGCTTCCAGTCATAACAGAGAAGGCAAAGGAGGAGGAAGTGTCTTACATGGCAGGAGCAGGGACAAGAGAGTGAGCGGAGAGATGCCATGCCACACACTTTTAAATGACCACATGTCACGAGAACCCACTCACTATTGTGAGAATAGTACCCAGAGGATGGTTCTAAACCATTCATGAAAAATCCACCCCCATGACCCAGTCACCTCCCACCAGGCCCCACCTCCAACACCGGAGATTACAACTGAGCATGAGATTTGGGTGGGGACATAGAACCAAGCCATATTAATCAGTAAATCCTGTTGACTCTGCCTTTGAAATGTACCTAAAATCTCTACTCCTGTATCTAAAATCTATTCAAGTTAATTATCATCCTCAAATTATTACTTCTGATGTTTAGTTTTACTTTTATTTTAATTATAATGCAATTCAATTTTTTGTGTGAATAGTTTTTAATACACATAGTATATAAATGTAAGATTAAATATTTAGAATGAAAACCCACAGTAAAGAGACTTCAAAATTTGGTTATTTTTCTTAATGTTTCTTTAAGTATCATAAATAGGTAAATATTCTAAATTTCAGGAGATTAAAAGAAAAAATCAGTCACAACTGGAGGCATGTTCTGATATTGTACAAAAATCATTATAACATAAGTAAACAATTTGTATTTCTAAAATGAAAAACAACCTGAGTCTACTTAAAAATTGATTAATTTATTATTGCTAATGATATAAATGTTGGATGGAAATTAAGTTCAAATTCTATGTTGTTAGGAGCTGAACGGCAAAACACTTTTAAAAAAATCAGAGAATTTGTTAAAGCTCATGTTTCTAGTAAAGAAATTTTGCAATCATTAATGAAAGAAAACTTAAAGAACATCATGTATCAGCTTTATGCATTAAAGTTTTTGAAATAAAAATTTTATCAAAGTGTATCAATAAAGTAATTAAAAGACATTTTTGAACATATCATCAGAACTTTTAACATAATGTGTTATGTAGTTAAACATAAGTGAGCATTGTCAGACATGAAATATTTAGTTGAGCCTCAAAAAGTAATATCTACACAGATGTACCATTGCAATGTAGATTTATGGTCCTGACTTTGTCAAAGCATTTGTCTACTGAAATAAGAAAGCAAACTTTTTGGAAAACGTATAGTACAGTGAAATTTTAATCACTATTAATAAAGCTTTAAATATTTTATGTAAAAGTATTTTAATAATATTTAACATGCAAAATTTTAAGATGCTGAAGATGGTAAAAGTTTTTTGTTGATCTGGTGGGGCTAGACAAAATAGCACCTGCAATAGCTCAAACAATATCATTGATTACCAAGAAAAATGGTTTCAATGATAAGTATTTACACAAAAATTGTGCCAAGGTGGTGACATGCAGAAGGTCTGGAGTTTTAGCCTGCAATTTTAGAAAAAAAAATTAGACAAAATGACAAGGAAATAAATCTTCCAGCACTGAACCCTGTGCTTTTAAGTTTTACTGTATAATTTATTTCATGTCTTGTATACAAATAGTTAAATAAGATCCATCTATGGATGATTTCCAGGGATCCCCACTGTTAACATTTCTCTGTCCAGAGAAGTGCCCAATTAACCTTACCTTTGTCTTTAAGCCAGTTTTCTAGCCATGACAAAACATTTCCTATACTTCCATGGTAACTCAATATTTTTCATACAGAAACTTGTAAAATGCTTTCAAAATGTTTGAGTGAATTCTGTTTCCTGGCTTTCCCTTGTCCTCACCCTTCACCATCATTATTCTTTGTGTTGTTCTTAGTGTGTTTTCTGTTAAATATGATTGTAATGTGCCGGTTTGGGTGGCATAGACACTGTAACACTTTCTCCAGCAGCATATATTGAGTAGAAATAGAAAGAAAACCTCCACAATTATACAAACACCAATGAAAAAGCATGTGATCCTAAAAATGTATATGACTTCATGTATGTATATAATATTTGGGTTTTTGTTAAACTAGTTTAAGGTTAGTAATATTAAGTTCAACCACCTCTGTCTTCACATCAAATATTTAGGATGCTAGGTAAAAAGAAAGATTTCGGCCGGGTGCGGTGGCTCACGCCCGTAATCCCAGCACTTTGGGAGGCCGAGGCGGGTGGATCAGGAGGTCAGGAGATTGAGACCATCCTGGCTAACACAGTGAAACCCCGTCTCTACAAAAAATACAAAATTAGCTGGGCATGGTGGCGGGAGCCTGTAGTTCCAGCTACTTGGGAGGCTGAAGCAGGAGAATGGCGTGAACCCGGGAGGCGGAGCTTGCAGTGAGCCGAGATCGCGCCACTGCAGTCCAACCTGGGTGACAGAGCGAGACTCCGTCTCAAAAAAAAAAAAAAAAAAGAAAGTTTTTTTTTTTTTAATTTACACTTGTTGTTACTGTAACTGTCAAGTCAAAGCACCCTCTAAAAAGCCTATTGTTTAACTTGCCATGCATATCTTATGAATTTGGCACCAACCTAAGAAAATATGTGAAAAATGGTTTATTACAGTCATATTTCAACTCTTGATGAAGTAGCGTCGTTGTCTGGGGTAAATACCCGAGGTTCTTTGCCTCATGCCAAGGAAATCAAGGACACAGACACACATGGAGTGAGGTTAAGAGTGGAGGTTTAACTGGTAAAAGAAACAGAAAGGAGAACAGCTCTCTCCTGCAAGAGAGAGGGGCGCCCAAGTGGGACTTCTGGCGCCCTTGCACCAGAAGTTTCGGCATCACTTGGGAACTTGTAAGAGATGAAAATCCTTAGGCCCCAACCTAGATTTACTGAATCAGAAACCCCAGGACGACCGTGATGATTTGTGCTTTAACAAGTGTGAAACTGATCCACACTAGCACTCAAGACATGCTCTAAGGCCGTGATCACAGTGCAAGTATTGCATTACTTGTGTAATACAGACACTAAGTTTTCATAGGCAGGCAGAGGACACTGTTGGGCTGAGACACTTAGGGAAATAGTCACAGGTGAGGCAGGACTTTGACCTGGAAGGAGGGCATTCTGAATAAAAGGACCAGGCTGAGCAAGGCAGAGAGCTGGGAAAACACAGGACGTGTTTGAAATACCACAGGTAACCACTAACAATAAAGTGTGTGCTTTACACAATGGTTATTCCTCAAAACAACCAAAAAAGTAGTATTCCCATTTATGTGAAGAAATTCAGACTCAAGAATTTACACAGAGCAATTTGCCTGAGAGCAGTAAGAGTTTAGAAAAGTAATGAAGATATGGTGTTAGAAATATGTTAGGAAGAGAATGTAAAGGGCTTTGAATTCCACACTTCAGAGTTTGGGCTCTACATGAAGGAAGACACAGAATGATAAAGTTTATGTCTCAGAAAAACTAATAGATTGGAGATGAGAGTAGCTGGAAGCTTAAACAGACCCTATAGATGGTGTTTTCAATAGTTCAGATTCAAAGTGGTTATAGGTAGAACTAGGAGAATAGTGATGAGAATAAAAAGGAAGAGACAGATTCAAAAAGCTCTTGGAAGAGGGCAACTGTGATTGCATATCTGAGAGAATAATGGGGGAGGATTTTAAGTTATGATGACTGGGAGAAATGGCCAACTTCAGACTGACTGACAAATTTAGTAGAATGAACTTAGTTTTTATTGTTTGTGATAGGGAGGTTTTTTTGTTTGATTGTTTTGTTATGTTAGGGTTTGGAGAGATATGAAGAGCTCAGTTTTTAGACATGCTGACTGTGAGATTATGGCAGAACATTAAAGTAGAAATGTTCATCAAGAAGTCAAAAATACGGACTATATAGCTCAGACTGCAAAGTTGGAGATGTAGACTAGGGAATTGTCAGAGCAGAGGCAATAGCATGGGAGTAGTTATAATATCCATAGCTAATATGTGCCAAGAGAACAGAATTCTGTGGGATACCTAAAAGGTCCTTGTTTATGGGACAGAAGAAGAGAAAGAGCCTGATGGTCAGAGAAGGAACAGCCAAAGGAATAAAGACAGAATGAGAACGGGGTGGTGTCATAAGAGTCAAGTTAGAGAGAAGGTCACAAAATGGCAATTCAAGTCCCCAACATACAAACACCTTGGGAGAATAGGCAAGGCAACCATATCTGGTAATGAGGACATAATCAGTGATCTTCCAGAATGCAATTTCAATAGGGTGTATGGTGGTGGTGCTGGTGGTGAGGGAAGAAGTGTAGTGGGAGTGTGGGGATTAAGGACATTATGGCCTTTCAGGATGTGGGAGCTTTTGGTGTAGGTCACATGTTTGGGGGAGTTTGACTATGAAGTAAAAAGGTCATAAGGGAAAATGGTTAGTGGGGAGTCTGGGCTTAGGTGAAGATGGCCATGTATGTGTGAAGTAGGGATAGAGAGGAAAGAGGAGTGGATTGAAAACAAGGCGAGGCGAGGGAGAGATGGGAAAATTGAAGGAACACAGTTAGAGAAGAGGTCATTTGCTCTAGTAAAAAAAAAAAAAAAGGAAGAAGGAATCAGAATGTCTTCTTCAGCCCAACAAAAAGGAGTAAGTTCTTGGGGCCAGTGAAGGATGTTTTCAGATGGAAAATGTAAAAAGGAGAGGAAACCGCGGCAGGAAAACCTTGTGCTTCTCAGGCAGTGGGAATGAGGTCACCACATAGACAGACAGTGGACAAGCAGGACATGGACAAAGAATTCCTTCCACTAATTCTTCAAGTGACCTCTGCTCGTGAGGCTTTTCCTAAGACACAGGGAGAGATGGGTTCTAGGTCAATGCGTATCACCTTGTATTATAAGTGTTTCTATATCTGTTTCCTCTACTAAACTGTTGGTCTTTTGAGAGCAGACACTTTTTTTCAGTACTTTTTTAAATGCAGAAAAGCACGAAAAGATAATGTGGCAAGCACATTTGTACCCTCACAAAAAATTATTTTCTTTTTTGAAATAAACCTGTAAAATTAAAGCTGAAGAACTCTTGTCCTCACCCCCATTCTATGTTCCATTTCTTTCTCTTTCTTCTCAGAAGCAAACACTAATATGGATGGAATACATATCCTCTTAGCCTATGTATCTATTTATCTATATTCATGAATAACATATAGTATTGTTTATTGTATGATTTCACTAATAGTTAATATTTACTGTGTGAGTACTTATGTTGCATGTGCTGCCCTAGAAATAAAGGATGTAAACATAAATAAGACAAGAGCAATTAAAATAAATGAACTAAATCTGTATATCTCAACATGGATAGACATCAAAACATAATGTTGAAGGAAAAAAAACAAATTGCAGAATTAGTTAATACAATATGAAACAATTTGGGCTCCATGTTATTCAATTTTGCATCCTTCATTTCTAGGGCAGCACATGCAACGTAGGTACCCACGTAGTAAATATTAATTATTAGTAAATACATTTGGATGAACAATATGATAATAGAAATGAACAATTTGTACAGTGCTTCATAGCTGCGAAATACGTTTACATGTAATCTCTTTTCACCTTTTTTGTGTATTTCTCTTCCCAGGCTGATGCTGTTTAAGGGAAGTGATTATGCCTTATGCCTATTCCCAATGCCATGCCCATTTCAATTTTTGTAACCCCTCAGTAAATATTAGCTGAATGAATGAAGGACTTTCTGCTCTAAGTATTATTATTATTTTGCTAAGGTCCAGGTTGTGAGTACTTAAATGTTTTTCCAAGGCCATGTGGTTGGAATCAGGACTAACAATCAGGTTTTCTGATACTAAATCCAGTGCTCTTTTTATTACACCATTGAAAGAGCTATTGTAAGGACTCTATTAGGGAATCAATATGAGAGGAATAATTATAATGAATTACTGCCCTAACGTATCCAATAAATAGATTCCATGTACCTGTGTAATTGGAGAAAATTAAGAACCATAACCAGATCTAGGGCTTGAAATTTATTCTAATCATTGACTGGGGATACTTTGTCACGTGGTCCTTAAAGGGGTTTTATATTATGAAGGAGATATGTGAATTATGAGGGTGTGTAGGATTACACAAGTGAGGGAATGAGTGGGAAGCAGTTTCACTCAAGTAGAACTGCTCTTGCTAAGGTCAGCAGTGACCTTCTAATTGCCTTTGACTACATACACCATTCCTCCCCTGGCTTTAGTGACACCTTCCCCCCAGTTCTCTTTCACCTGTCCTTCTTGTTTGCCTCCTAAGAAACCCTTCCCTGGCCGGACGCCGTGGCTCACGCCTGTAATCCCAGCACTTTGGGAGGCCGAGGCAGGCAGATCATGAGGTCAGGAGATCGAGACCATCCTGGCTAACACGGTGAAACCCTGTCTCTACTAAAAATACAAAAAATTAGCCAGGTGGGGGCGGGCGCCTGTAGTCCCAGCTACTCAGGAGGCTGAGGCAGGAGAATGGCGTAAACCCGGGAGGCGGAGCTTGCAGTGTGCCGAGATCCTGCCACAGCACTCCAGCCTGGGCGACAGAGCGAGACTACGTCTAAAAAAAAGAAGAAAAAAAACCTTCCCTATTAAAAAAAATGATAATTGCATGAAACTCTAAAGAAAGTTACAAGCATTCTCAGAAGAAAGATCTCAGGAACTACTTCAGACACCTCCACCCTCCACAATTTTATCTTCCCTCCCACTAGGATTGATTGATCTTGATTAATACTTTTACCCTCCACTTGTCTGTTTAAGGTCTGACCTCATTTTCCTTACCCTATGACAGGTCTCCACTGCCTTTTACTTTCCTAGCACAATTGCTATGTCCTGAGCAGCTGGAGAAGTCAGGATTACTGCACAGCTCCAGCTCTGGACACTAATTCCCTCAGTAAAACCCAGTCAGGGCCACTGATGTTAAATAGCCTTTACAAGAAATAGTCTCTAGAAATTTATTTCATGATACAAGCATTGTTTGCTCATTTTCACACTCCCATCTTAGTCATTTTGTGTATCCCTTAGTTTGTTACATCATATACATTTAGTCATACTAATGTAATAAATGCTTGTTGAGCTGCACGACTACTCATTTTTGTTGAATTGAGGTAGGGCACAGATTCCCTGACACTATTCTTGCTCAAGTTACAGTCTCATAGTTTTTCTGACACACCCCTAGGGAGTTATTGGAGAAATTCCCATCATTCCCTGCTAGCATAATACAAACTCAGCTCCCTAGAAGATCTGGCACTGCTCCCTGGATCCTCTTTCTTTAACTCTTCTTTCTCACCCTATCATTTGAAGACCATATTTGTAGACCTAAAAATCAGAACACATGGTCAGACACATCCTGCTTTCAGATATTAGGGATATTATGAGATATGTAATTGGGCTGCCAAAATATTCCCATTGCTTGGACATTTTATTGAATTTGGGGAAGAATAAGATAGAGTTAGTGTAATCAGGGCAATCTTGTGTTTGTAGAAGTAGCCCTGGATATGCCCCACTCAAGATGGATGTAGAAATTAAATTATATCCATGGCTTTGTAGTAAACAAGGGATAAATGAAGACGCTTGTATTCACTGTAAGAAAATAAGTTGTCCATGAGATTGAATTAACCAAGCAACAGCATGGATGGCTCATGAGAATGAGTATTGGTCGGTTATTTTGTTTCTTCTGGGTAGCCCTAGTGCCAAGGCACAACAAATCCATGAAACATACACAAAGCTTAATGTATAAATGACATTTACAATACAGGAAGGAAGATAGAAAAACAAAGCAAAAGGGCTGCAGTAGAGTAAGTAATGAGCTAACATTAAGTCTTAAAAATATATCTTATTTTTTAATGTGGAAGATAGTGATGCAACATTGAAGGAACTCAATCAAGGTCAAAGAAGGTCTCGTGCTTGAGGAAGGAGTTGATGAAAGGTTGTAGCTTTTAATATATGATGATGAAAAGAGATCTCCTTTTAGGGCGGGTGAGTCTCTGATTCCAGTTTTACATTTCTGGAGCAATTAGCAGGACTCCTCTTGGCTTTTCTTGGTCTCCTCTGTTAGAAGAATGTCTCTGATATGTAATATTTGTTTCAAAACCCAAAGAAGCTCGTTTCCTTTTGAGGTTTGCCTTACTTTTTATGTTCTGAAGTTCATTTTGAACCTCAGATTTTGCTCCAAGCCATAAAACTGGTTGGATTGTACTAACATAATGGAGCCGTAATTTCAGCCCACTGTTGGGGGTGGGGAGATAGTTAAGGTGTGTAGTGGCTCTGTGGTTTCTCTGTGGAGTAGAATTCCCTGCAAAGCTTTTCCATGTGGTGTTTTAATAGCTGTCTTAAAACTCTCTGATGCATGGAGCAAAACCGAATTAAGCTCATGTGCTAGATTGGTGGGATGGGCCAAGAACTCTGTGAAAAACGAAAGAAAAACAATCAAACAGCCTAAGCCAGAGGCTACACGGTACAAAGAAGATCCCCAGGACATATCTAAATTCAAAATTCAAAATTACTGCAGCAGTCACCTCTTTTAACCCATTTTTGCAGAACTTTCTACAGGAAATTAGAATATTTCCCTTGCATATATTAATATTTTACATTTATGTGGTACTCAACAAATTTACAAAAGGACCCTAAGTGTATTCATTCTTGGGTCCTGCAATAGTCTTTTGAAAGTTGTATTAATAGATTCATAATTTTAAATGAGAAACTGAGTCACAAAGATAAGCCCAAGGTCATTTGGCTAAGAAACCACAGAGGCAGAATTTGACACTACCCAAACCTCTCTGCATACCTACACCAGAACTTCAATAATTTTAATTAGTCACATTTAATATTTATGAAGACAAGGAAAACCAGCCAGACAGTGTATACATGCACAGTAAAGCTGTTTCTAGACTACTGTGTTTTCATCAGTGAATATAAGCCATGTACAGTGTTGTCTAAACATCAAAGGAATGCGCTCTTTCTCTAATTCAAATTCTGGGTGATTCAGAGGCATGACTCCTTCCAAAGTGCTGAGTTTGGCTGATAAAATGCCACATACTCAGTCAGCCCTCCCATGCTAAGCATGTGTAAAAGTTCTCTTTAGTGTGTGGTTTTGGCTGCTAAGTTCAAGAAACATTTATTGAATGCTTCTATATGCTAGGCACATGGGTGAAGCAGGAAGTTGTCTAGGGGTCTGTTCTGGTATAATTCTAGGGGAGCCTTTTCCACTGGACCAGTCCACAGCCTTAAATACCGCCATTAGCAGGGCATCACTTTGAGTTAGTCCAGGAGTCACTGGGATTCCTTTTTGGAAATGCAGATATTAGAAGAAATACTTCAAAATGGTCCTAGCACTAAAGCCTCTGGGTGTGTATATATATATCTATAATCAAATCAACTCTTAAGACTCTGAGCTGAATAGCAGGTAATACCTAGGAGAAGGAGTTAGTAGATTCTGCTAAGGTCTGTAATGAGCCCTGTGAAGCCAGAATATAGCGGCAGGCCAGGAAACGTGTCTTATTGCACTAAGGCTCCCTATCAAAAATAAACTTCAATTTATTTCTTTTGTTTTTATTTTAAGAACTAGCGCTGCATGACATCCATGTTTTAGACCTTGATGCCCAAAATTGATCAGATTAATATTTGCAGTTCAACCAGCAAACAACTGATTCATTTTCATATTTTTTAAGCCAAGTAAGCAGATCCACATCTCTAATGAAAAGTAGCCTGAGGCTGCTTTCTTCCCCTAGTCCTCTGTATGGCCACCTCAGAGGTGATCATCTTCATAGTCAGCCAGTGCACAAAATCTAAAACTCAGTGTCTTCTCATTTGACTCTAATTGATAATTGGTTTGTTTCTATGGTTGGTGATAGGTTAATGTCTCTGGCAGACTTGCACAGGGCACAAAATGACTTGAAGATTTCTCCTGCCACACTCACATTCTCTTCCATGGCTCTGAAAAAATTATTATACATTCCTTTAGAATTTTAAACATAATATGTTCATGATTCTGGCCCTCTCTTCCAAGGACCCAAAATACTTTAGAAACACGTCAGTTAACAAGTTTATTATTATCCAAGAGAAAATTATTATACAAACTCTTGTTCAAACTCATATTTGCCTTTTTGTGATGCAACTGTTGATATTCTGATTGATTTTTTTTCCCTGGGTCTCCCATAAGTTCTTCACACATGAAGCAGCTTGCATGGACTAGCCATGTTTGTTCTAATGACCAACAAGAGCAGAAGCCCCCCAAAATAATATCTTTAAGGATGGCTAGGATTATTGCTAGGTGCTGTACTGAGAAGGGCTTTCTATAGGTTTTCTCATTCAATCTTCACAACAATCCCAATAGACAGGTACTGTCATTATCTTCATTTATGCATGAGGCACAGAGAAGTTAAGTAACTTGCCCAGGGACACACAGCTGGTTTACTGAGATTCGAATCTGGGCTCAGTGAATCGAACCCAGGCTCCTAATTACTGTGCCACAGTGACCCATGCTTCTTCAAGGGGCCACCACAGTATGAAGGAATCTAGTCATTTGTTGGCAGGGGGTGCTTAGGGATCTCCCAGATCATTGGCCCCATTGTGCAGATGCCTGAGTGGGGAAGTAGGGAAATGGTCAGGAGGAAAGGAGAGCCCTGGAGTGGTTTGCCCCTGCTCCTGTCAGTGGTCTCTATACTTGCCTTGTCACCTGCTTTTCATAGAGCCCATTTTGAAGGATATTACTTAAGGCTAGGTCACACTTGAAGCAACATCAGCAGACTCTTAATTATAGATCCACATAGCGCATTGCTGCAGAGTGTGTCTTTGGGATGGGGGTGGGGTTTGTATGCAATAGAGGGAATAAATCTGCTTTGCCCTCCTTAATATTTTCTCTGAGACAGCTTTGGTCTTCCCAATGAAAATCATAACTAAGTCAGTCTTAGACATGCAGCTCTTCCTGGGATGGCAGCTGTGATATGCTGGTAAATGTTTAGTAACCTTCTCCAAGTGAACATCTCTGATTTGTAGTGTTTGTCATCTCCTTAGTTTGAGTACTCCTACTGTAGCATATTTCAAATTATTAAGGCAATCACACTGAAGAGAGTTGGGAAGAGCCATGAGCAATCGGCTTCAACACATCGCTAAACAGAGGTCAAAAGATTAGGGTGAATCAAGCAGTAGTTGCTGCAGGAGGCAGATGTCAGGTTATAGCCCTCTCCCAGATTATGGAACATGACAGCACACACTGTGTGCTGCTTCAGTCTGCCTCCCTTCTCTCCCCACTCCACCTTGATATTCTTCCACCATAAATCAAACTCATAAGAATTTCTAAGGCACCCTGAAAAAAAAAAAGAAATCACAGAATTTGCAGCCTATAGGTAGTAGGTTGAGAAAGGAAGAGGGAGCAGGCCATCAAGATGCCTTCTAATAGGAGACGGGAGAAAGTAGGAAGGAGAGAGAGGGGAGGAATGGTTTTATAGGCAATGCAGATTTGGATGTGAGTCTTTGGCTTTTTTCTCCTATCTGGAGGAGCATCCTCCTTCCCCTGACATCTGCTTGCATGTCTAAGTCACTCCTGGGAAATATGTCTAAGCAGAGAAATGGCCTCAAGGCCCAATTCCCAAACCATTGTTACTGACCCCTGGTATGGACCATGTTAGATCAGATATAGTGTATTCTCCTCCTAAAGGACTCCAGGGCCATGGACTGAATACCCTGCAGTTTCCTGACATGCTACATTCTAGCACTTTATGATTTGAGGGTCAAAACCATCTCAGGATCCAAATGTACTCCCTGTTGCTTTGAAATATCAGCCAACAGATATTTATGTATAGAGCCCTGCTCCATTTCCCATTCACTGCCAGGCACCACAAAGTGCAAAAGCATAGAAAACATCATTTCTGACCTAATGAGTTTACAGTCTAGATGAGAAAACATGACAGCCACATATGTGGTCCAATTCCTAAATAAGGATTACTTTAACAGTATTATCTAATTAAGTGAAACTATAGCACTTATAATAAATTGTGTGAGATATATAATTAGAGTCTATCATAATAACTACTTGTTTAGTAAAGACAATAAAAAGATTAGTGCATAGCATGGTCGTTAATAGTATTCTTGTTTATTATATAACAACGTATGCCCATTTTAAACATACATTTTCAACCTATTTTACAGTTAGAGTCACACAAATATGATTGTAGCAGCCAGTTCTATGTAATAAAAATATTTCTTCTGCTGGCCAAAAGCCCATACCAACACTCCTTGCTGATGGAGATCCAAGACTTTTTTTGAAGGAAAAACCTGGTATGAGAAAGACATTCACAAATCCCTGTCCATTTTGCAGTAAATCTGCTTAACAAAAAGGTTATCGTCTCAGCAGAGTATTGACATAAAGTACAGGTTTGCATATCTGTACAGTGTTAAGTAGCTCTTAATAAAACCAGACTTTTTGAATGTTGCATTGATTTTACCTGGGGCATTTGTACGTCTTCTCCTAATAAGGGCGCTGACCACTACTGGTTCATATAGCTTATCAGGCCCTGTTCAGTTCTGGGTATAGGACTGTGAGACTCTCATCTCGAGTCCTTCAGGGACACAGGCGCCCTATCATACTAGCAAAGGCAGCAGAAGAGGGCTTGCAAGTCCTGCCCTTGTCTTTCCCTAAATCAGCAAGTTGCTGGTGCTAATAGAGGGAAGCAATTACAATCCGATTGTCCAAAAGCTACTTTTCACTTTTGAAAAGGCTTTTGCAATTGTTTAAGAATATGAAATGCCTAAGTAAAATTTGGAGAATTTGCAATATATGAAAGAAAAACAGTTGTAAATTTACCCTGTGTCTCTGGGACAGTAGGCTTATATGAGACAGCCAGTTTCTCTGCATTTACATGAATACTTTCCTGCCTTAGGAGACTACTATGTAAGTGTCTGGGTTAAGAAGCCCTCCTGCTAGGCCTCAAATTAGGTGAGACTGGTAAAGTAAATAAAAGGAAATGGATTGTGTCCATACATGACTTCATTCCATCCTTTGAATGGCTTTATCAATCACTAGGAGGGGTGAGACTCAGCAATGATCATGTACAATACATGCCTCCAGGTCATAGACAGCTGACTTGATTTCCTAAGCAGCCGACTTGATTTCCTAAGGTGCTTTCGGTGTGACAGACCCAGACCCTCTTCCTTCACCATTGGATATATCCAGTATAGCTTTTCTGAAATTATTAGTCTTTTCTTTCTCTCAGCTCTTGCTACTAATTACACCCAAACTTCTTAAACTATCTTAAACTTAAACTTCTTAAGATAGTTTAAGAAGTTTGGATGTAATTAGTAGCCTGTGGTGAATTGGGTTGCACACATTATACTTTCATTTGCCCACAATGGTCTACCCTTGTTTTCTCCATACTAAATTTCTTTTTCTGTCCTGTGAACTTAAATTTAAGGACTTCATTTAGCTGCATGTTGGGATAGGATATGGGTGGAGGGGTGTTTTTGATTGTATTTTGCCAAATCTAATCTGTGTCTGATTTTTTTCAAGTTTTTTATTTCTAAAAATGCCGCCAGTTGGTGGAAGTTTGGAATCTCTGGTTACCCTGAAATACTAAGAGAAACACTCAGAAATTGTATTTGCAGAGAATTGCTTATTTAACTATGCTGTCCAATTAGACATGGGGAAATGACTTGTTCTTCATTAGTTGAATATTGCACATTTGCTAGCATCTTACTGCCCCCCTGCTGCAGCTCACAATGAGTGCATCCTTCTCTGTAGGCATTCTCAGTTTGTGTTATTATTGTCTGACTGGTCCCTGTCATGTTTGCTCAGGTTCTGGCCATGTGATTAGACACTAAACCATAACTCTGACAAAGTTATGAGTCCTGTTTTGCCACATAGATGCAATTTTAAAGCACACATTTAGTGGGCAAGAGACCATAGATGGGAAACTGGGACAGAGCTCGACTCTTAAGACCCCTTGAAATGGGGAGACGTGGCCTGGAACCCAGCTCTCCTAGAGAGCTCTAAACAAATCTGAACGTGCTCTCGCCTGGGCAGACTGTCTCAGAGTGACTTCAGGGACCCGTGAGTTTCGGTACTGTGCCATGACTTGGAGGAACAATTTTATGTTAAGATGTCTCCTGGAGCAAAGGAAGGAACAAGAGCTTTGCGCTTGAGAGAAAGAACCTTGGGAAATTTCTTTAACCTCTTTGATCCTTTGTAAAATTATAATTTTTAAAAAAGTAATTATATGATGTTTTAAGGATTTAATATCTAATCTCTTTTTTTTCTTTTTTCTTTTTCTTTTTTCTTTGAGACGGAGTCTCGCTTTGTCACCCAGGCTGGAGTGCAGTGGTGCGATCTCAGCTCACTGCACTGCCTCCTGGGTTCATGCCATTCTCCTGCCTCAGCCTCACAAGTAGCTGGGACTACAGGCACCCTCCACCACACCCGGCTAAATTTTTGTATCTTTTAGTAGAGATGGGGTTTCATCATGTTAGCCAGAATGGTCTCGATCTCCTGACCTTGTGATCTGCCCATGTCAGCCTCCCAAAGTGCTGAGATTACAGGCATGAGCCACCATGCCCAGCCTACCTAATCTATTTTTGAAGGCCTATACACATGTATACATTTGAGATAAATATTTCCCTGATAGTTTTATTATGGCCAAATAGTCTGTTAGGTGCAATTTAAGGATTATGGAAAGACATTCTGAGCCCAAAGACTTATTCCCAAAACTGTTCTGAAATGATCACAAAGTTGTAAGCCATGTCTGTGGTCTCCATGAGGTTCTGCCAAAATGACCTTGAACAAGTCATTTAACTTTTTTGGACCTTTGTTTTTCCATCTATAAGATAATAGTGAACCTATCTTGTAGGGTAACTTAGGGATTCAATGAGATAACATATGCCTGACGCATGGCAGATTCACAATAATTGTTAGTTCCCTCTTGCCCCTCCTCTCTTCTTTTATTTTCTGGTCTGAAATGGTCAACACCTGCCTTGACACCAAATACTAATAAGTAGATGGGTAATGGACTACAATACCCTCTTTCTCAGTTGCCCCCCAAAGAGCAGAAAGACAGCCTTTTCTTGTCACCATTAACTTTCAAATATTGGCAAGGAAACTTGCAGTGGACAGCGGGATAAGGGGGTAAAGGTGGTTATTAAAATCTTCAGTTTTGGAAGGTGTAGTCATCAGGAACTTCAAGGTATTGCCTGTACTGTAACTGTGTGTACTTTATTGTGAAATGAAAGAGATTTTTCCCCTTTAATGATGACTACAGTTGCAGCTTTGACTGAGGAAGCAGACAAGAGAAAAAAGGCATCTAATTCAGGAAAGGTCATTACACATTATACATATCATATCTACTTTTAAAAGTCAGAATGTTTAAAAAATAAATGGTCAGTCTTCCCCTGGTGAATTTAGAGACAAAAGAATGTTTTCAACTCATTATAACAGAGGAAACCACACAAAGTCACACCTACCTGCATGCATGCATGCACACACACACTTTGCAAGTAAAATATACATTTTTATGCTTTTACATGTGTTTTCTGTTTTGGTGGTAGCCTTGAGAATTGGGTGAGTCTTGTTAGGTAGTTAGTAGACTTCCATGGAGCTAAATAAGAAGGATTTAAGGACAATTGCTCTTTGATGGTAAGAAAGAATTAATACTAAAGTATTTTCTCCCACCTATACCCTAGTTTTGTCGTCAACCTGATTATAAAGTGGGCAGAAACCAGAGGAACCAAATAAAATGATGCATTTTATTAAATTTGTGTGACCTTTTCAAATCTTAGACATTGTTTTGGTATTCACCAGGAGACCATTTTACTATATTTGAATCAGACCTCTAGAGAGGAGCTAGAGAGTTGCTTAGATATTGCCCTGTCCAACCCCTTTATTTTATGAATGGGGAAACTAAGCCCCAGAGAGGTCACATGACTAGAGTGCCCTCCCTTATTATTCCCTCTCTTTTCTGATGTCTTTATCGTGTTTGTTTGTTTCATCTCTCCCTAAAATTGTTAGTGTTCAAAAGCAGGAATACTGATTTGCGTGAGTAGCTTTCCCCAGCATCTCACAGTTGGTAATGTGAGGTAATCCAGTGAGCGCCACTCTTAATCTCCCAACAGAAATTACAATTACAATAAACAAAGAGAAAAAAGTACTGCATGTAATTCTTTAGTAACTAATTTTTTAAAATTATTTGATGCAAAATTTCATGTCCAAGTGTAATATTTTTGCCCATTTCTTGGGAGTGTAATTAGCAGTAAGATTCCTGTGTTACATTAAGAGAAAAAGATGTGGTTCAGTTCTCATTTGGCAGCTCATCCAATATGACCCAACATTTAACAGTTTTTTTCAGCTGCTTTTATATTCCTACCACTATTTAGAGTCTTGGGATATACCAGGGAACAAAATAAAGATTCCTGTTTTTTGAGACATCTTAATGTATATTTGTGACATAGGAATGAATGATTGCTTTCCAACACCAGATTATTCTTGGACAACATTCTAGTGAAAGTGTCGTTTTAAAAAATTGTCTTCCTCAAAATAAAAGGACTAGTTTCTCCAGAAAATTGTTTTTTGGTCAAGTTGCATGAAATTTGGCACAATACTGCCGCCTTGCGGCTACTTCAATCAGAAAACCACATACATTACAAGGTCACCTCTGTCTTTCAAGTAAGATTTACAGGAAAATTATTCTGCTTCTCAGTGGAAATATTTGACACGAAATGACCTATTCAGGAATATTTAAAATCTAATTCCGTCTGATTTTTAATAGAACGATTGGCAGGCCTCCATTGCTTTTGTGGTTGGGAACCAGATTGAAGATGATCTTCTCATCCAAGCCCTTACCGTGGCTGTCCAGGTCCCTCAGCGTAAACTCTTCAGTATGGTGTCGTGGCAAGACATTCTCCAGCAGGTACCTGTCCCTTCCTACCTCAAAGCCACCTGAAGACTTTTTTACTTAAAATAATAGAATAGAATTATAAAATAAACTATCATATTCTTGGGCTGTTTTGTAAATTTTGATGGATTATTTTAAGTAACTATTTAGCCAGAATAAATTTGAGTTGTTCAATCTGGAAGAATTTATTTTTGTTTATTAATTTTGTTAATTCAATATTCATTTATTTGACAAAGATTTCTGAGGTCATACCAGGCACCATGCTAGGTTCTGTGACAAAATATTTAATTCAAGTTAAATAATTATAAAAGACTAGACTATTTAAGATTCCAGGGAGGTACATGACTAATTGGAAAATGAAGGCTACAGAGAATCATAGCTGTCAGAGGTCAGAGGACAGCAATAATATAGAAAAGATCTGCCAGGTGGCACATACCCATACAATTACTGACAGCTTACGAAGTAACTATAAATATTTTACCTAATTCATGGGTACCTCTTTCTTGCTAGGTTCCCCAACCCTTCAGATCACCTAGATATTTGAAAGTTACATATATCTAAGTATTCTTCAAATAAGGCTTTTTTCATCATAAGTAAATTTAATTTTCTTACAGATTAATGAAATAAATACACTTGTTGGATCTGCTTCATCTAAAAAGGCAAAAAAACCTGTAGGTGGTAATGCTCCTTTATATTATGAGGTAAGTGAAAGTGTTTATAGAAGATATTTTTGTGTTTTTAGAAAAAAGAATTGAAGTAATAATTTGATAGCCATTTTTAAATTTCATTCTTTGAAAATAAATGCCTGCTCCTCATTGGAGATATTTGTTCCTGATGGTGAACACACACAAAAAAAATCTGCCTCCTTTTAAAATTTTAAAATTTCAAAATTTCCCTTTACAAATACAATTTCCTAGATCGTTTATACCATCATTGCATCTAATTGAAATAATTGAAAAATATAAATCAGAAACTTCTATAGACACAAAGTATTGGGTCATACTTTCTCATGATAATTGCTGAGTATGTGACAGCATTAAGGAGAGTCATATGATCAGTATATTACAAAGTGTTAGTTTCTCGAAAAAAACAATGTAAAAATGCGCCAGAAAGTGTTTCTTGTATAAGACAGAGGTACAGCTGCAGTGATTTTCCATCAGTTTGTGAACTTGGTGCACGGTTTATATCCCACTTTAATCGATATGAAAATAATGATACTCTTCGGATTAATGGTCCGTTCCATTTCCAACAGCTGCTTAGTATAAAATCTGGCTTGGCTGACCCAGTGGGCTTGTGCAAAGGACGTAGGACTCATTCTCCGTATAAGGGGATTTCTTCTCACCCTGCCTTGTTAATATCTAACTTACAGCTTTCAAGAAACTATAAAAATCCAGTGATTAATTAGAATATCACTTAAAATTTGTCAGGCACTGTTTTATGGAGCAGCCGACCTAAAACATAAAGAGTTTTGAATCTTTCTAAGACGAACTTGTTTGCACTTTATTTCAGTGATGACTAATAAAGTTTTTATGTGTCTCAGGTCTTGGGTGATTACATACGGTCTATTTAGTATTGCTTGAGTACTATCTGAACAAGTTTCATTGGATTTATTCACAATAGACAGTGCTGTGAATTTTATAGCATTAACTCTTGCTACGCGGCGCTCACCATCATGCCAAAGTTATCTGTGCTTTTGCAGTCAAATAATATACTTTGTCTCTTTTTTATAATGTTCCGAATGTGTGTGCTCCACTTGAAACATTATGTGATACGTGGATTTAAAATACTGGAATTTTTCTTGTGAGTGGCTATAGAAATCCACATCCAATTCTCAGGCCTGGGATCAATTAACCCCCCAAAAGATTCTTTCTTCTTCACAGATACTCAGTAAAAATCAGAAATGATAGCAGCCTAGTTTTGATGTCTAGTCTGGACAGGCATTCTGACTTGGATGTGGGATAGCACAAGATTACAAACCCAGAGTTAAGTTAGAAAGCCATTCCTCTCCAATATGTGCTGAGACTCTTGGTTGCATATTCTTCACTCAGGGGGTCCATTTCACATCTGGCTCTACCACATTCTTCCAGTGGAGCATTTGGGCAATAAGCCTCCCACACTCGCTCACATACACTCTTCTGAATGGTTCCAGAAGAAAAGAGAAGGTGGGTGGAGTGCCATGGAGACTGAACCTGAGGTGCACCAGACATTCATTAATGCCAGTCGCTGAAGCAAAACTAATAAAGACCATAAAACAAATTCAGGCTCCTTGTCAGCATCAGCCAAGGACAGGTTGCACATCTGGAGAAGAGGGGAATATTTCCCATCTCAGTCCCTTCACATTTAGGACCTGCTCAAGCACTCTGCTACCTAGTACCTCTCATCCCAAGACAATTGAAAAGTCACTGGCAACCCCTGCAGAGCTGCATGGTAGTTGCGAGTGGTGGCCATGGAATAGGCCCAGAAAGTCTCTTGGGACTTCTGGACCTTTGAGACATGTGGACAGTGTGCTCATGAATCTATTTCTGTTTAGAATCTTGCATGGTTGTACCAACTAGTGAGAGGTGAAGCTGCCTAGGCTTCTGGGTCGGGTGGGGACTTGGAGAACTTTTCTGTCTAGCTAGAGGATTGTAAATGCACCAATCAGTGCTCTGTGTCTAGCTAGAGGATTGTAAATGCATCAATCAGCATTCTGTAAAAATGGGCCAATCAGCACTCTGTAAAATGGACCAATCAGCAGTCTGTAAAATGGACCAATCAGCGCTCTGTAAAGTGGACCAATCAGCAGGATGTGGGCAGGGCCAAATAAGGGAATAAAAGCTGGCCACCTGAGCTAGCACCTTGCAGCAGGTTCGTGTACCCTTGCCGAGTGTGGAGGATTTGTTTTTTCGCTCTTTGTGACAACTCTTGCTGTTGCTCAGTGTTTGGATCTGCACCAACTTT
The DNA here is from genome assembly GCF_000001405.40 of Homo sapiens. Taxonomy (NCBI): domain Eukaryota; kingdom Metazoa; phylum Chordata; class Mammalia; order Primates; family Hominidae; genus Homo; species Homo sapiens. The sequence continues at coordinate 118,148,303 of NC_000001.11, read as the reverse complement.
AAGAGCTGTAACACCACGAAGTCAGTGGCTTCATTCTTTGAAGTCAGTGAGACGAGGAACCCACTGGAAGGAATCAACTCCAGACACACTAGGACACTTGATAGTGGTAAACTCCTGAGGAGCGAAAGTCTTGCAACATCCCATTTCTCAAAGGAAACTCTGCACTGTGGGAGAAGAGATAAAAGATAATCTAACAAATTCCTTTTGTTACATGGTAACTTTTTAGAAACCTCCATTTTGGAGATAAGGAACTCACGATATAACAGCCATGCATTTAAACACCTGTATTTACTTCTACTTGTAGGGTACTCTCGTTAGCTTTAAATCAAAGCCTAGTTATTCTTATTTTAAACACAATTTTAATCAATTAGGCTTTCTGGTTTCCTAGCCTGTGGTTGATTAGAAGCAGCAAACTAAAGTGAGACTTCTGTATAGTATACTTCATCCATGAGTAGTAAAATAGTGTCAGAGCCACATTGCATATTTCCAATAATGACTCCAAATGTCTGGGCTAGCAAAGACCACATTCCTAAGTGATTTGCTCAAGTTTTCATTTGGATGGCATGGTGTTGTGTACACACAGCCTCATTATGAGATTGTGTAATTTCCCCTGAAACCTTAGAATTTCATCTAGCCATGGCATTGTATATATGAAAGTCTTTATTTATAAACCATAGTTCTTTGAAAAGCTGCTTAGATTTGTGCTAATGTAATTCTGTAGAGACGTAGCTGCAGCTCATTTGTTCATTCACATTCTCTTTTTGGAAAGCATGTTTTGCTCTACTAGGAACTGTTTCAAGAACTCATGTGGGAATGAGAACAGAATATTATTATTTGTGTATATTCTCAGGAATGTTGGCTACTGCTTTATCATCTCATTATTATTTAATAATGAGGATGAAGATGAACCCATGCACTGGCATATAAGCACCATTTCCCACATGTGAATCCTACTTGAGGATATGGACACATTTGAAAATATACGCTTATTGCCTGCATTATATAGTAGCCGGTTTTACCGAATATTAACAAACATACTCGTTAAAGCACTAGTGCCAGGCACTATCAGACGATGAAGAGAGAGGAAGGAATATTAATATTATAAAGACTCTAACCTCAAGAAGCAAAGACTCTAACCTCAGGAAGCTTAAGAACAAGCTAGAGAGAAAAAAGGACAAAATGTATATGGACATAAGCCTGGCGCGTGGTAGGCATTCAATAATAGTTGCTGCGTAAGTGAATAACACAATGCAGAAAATAGTGAAGTTCTTGAGAGACAGGTAAAGTGTATAAGAATTCAAAGGAAGATGAGATTATCATTAGCTGGGGTAGTTGGCAGGGAGGGGTGAGACCCAGAGACATTTTTGTGGAAACATTGCCATTTGAAAGGAAAGGTCCTGATAGTTTTGATCTTTTACATATATTACATCAGTTAGCCCACATCACAATTCTAAAAGGAAAGATAAAATCTCCATTGTGTGCACGGGGAAATGGAGGCATAGAGAAGGTAGGAAGTCTGCTCACTAGCAAAATGAAGAATTTGGATTTAACCAAAGGTAAACCTATAGCACCAAGTTTTTCTACTTTATCACCAACCAAGTAATCTTTCACTGGTCTACCCCTTGGATAGGTAGATCTTGACTTTCAAATGTGGAAGAGGGCATTCTAAGAAAAGGGAATAGCTCAAGCAAGGCCATAGGAATGAGAGAAGACCGAATTAATGTGTACTACATTTGTAGTTATATGGTATAATATATGCTAAATAGGAAAGATGAATTCCGTACATATTTTGATGGCAACTTTAAAATCCTAAAGATGGAAATCTATGAGGAAACATTTCAAACACTGGAAAAAGTACATGGTTTAGATTCATGCCTGAACTTAAGTATACTTGCTACCTATGCACAAATAATTTTCTGTGTATGTATGCTTTATGGCCCACATAGAAAATCTGACCTGTTCATTTACAGGTATAGTCAGTCCTGACCAAAATTAAAAAGGAAAATATCAGTAGTCATTCAAAACCAACTGAAATGTTCTCGATGAGAGAGTTCTACGTGTACCATAGATGCCAAGATTCTCCCAGTTGTGACTAAATCTGATACACAGTAAGTGAACTTTATGGGATAAATGTGCAAATTTTAGGTTTGACATTATCACTTTGGTAAATCAGAAAAAGCTACTAGTTGATAGGGGTTTACTTATCCAATTTATCTGAAATCAGAACCAACCATCCTAAAAGTTTTTAAATTCCACTTCATGTTTCTTTTCATTTCATGATGGTGGTCACCATGCCTACCAACCAGGAAATGAGCCTTCATCCACACAAATGGGCCGTGATTTATGTGCCTGTGACTTATTTATAAAAGACGCATTAGGTCATCACAAAATGAAAAATAAAAAAAATGAAAAGCTTACTGAAACAAAAATTGTCTATAAAGAATAAAAGTTCTTATGCTCTAGTTGATGACTCACTTATTTCAAAACAATTTTCCAAGTTTCTGTACAATAAAGAACTTGAACTATCCTAAACATTATGTGATATGGTGCAATTTTGTAAATGCAAATAATTATTAATTTTTTTTTTACTCCTGTCAGTAAAAAAATTCTCATATTTTTAAGAAAATAATTTTTAAAATAACTTTTTAACAAATATATCTTAAAATATTTCTACGGGCCTTTCTATTGCAACCGGGAGACCATCAAATGTGGAAAGATTTTTCTGATATTAGATTTAAAAATAATGGACCAAATGCAGTTTAATAAAATGTAGAATGCAAATTAGATCTTCAGATCTAATGCATTTCACCATACTTTAAGACACTATGCTAGTGCCTCAGATTAGTATGCCCAGATGTAATAGTTCCATTTTTTGACTTCTGTTTCCTGGATGTATAGAAATTTTTCTCAGGTCTTTTCCAACATGTATTTATTAGTAATTGACAAGTGAGAACACAGGCTTAATTATAATCTATTTTGCCACTCTTTTTCAGATTCCTGATATGAAACTCATTTTTTAAACAGTGCCTTGAATTAATAGTCAATTTAATAGAATTGTAAGCCCTTATATTGGGGGTGGCCCTTGTCAGAATGAAAAATGGAAAACTCATGCTTCAGAGATAGGTACAAATAATATGTGAAAACATTTAAGAGGTTTGAAGTTATTAAAATGGCAGCTCTACTGGGAACAGAGAGAGCAGTATGTCATGGAAGAAACGAAGGAAAAGGGAGACAGGAAGCATTCTCTGGCCTTTTCAATCCCGCGCTTTAAAACAAAACAAAAAAATTCTGGAAGAATTGGAAGCTAGCCAACCTAATGCCGTTATTTCATAGAGCTTAGGGACACACCAGGAAATTGCAGGCCAGTTAGTTTAACTTCACTTGTAGGAAAAGTATTAAAAACTGCTGCAGGAGATCAAGTAAAAGGATGCTTAGAAAAGCACAGCTTGATTAAGGCAAGCCTGGCCAACGTGATTTTCGGAAAGGGAAGGTCATGTCTTAGGAACTTGTTGAAATTCTTTGAAGCTATTATGGCCAGTACAGTCTTCAAAGAATACAGCAAGACTCAGAATCTGCGGATCTTTCCGTTCCACATCAGTCCTTCAGGGATGCCTACAGAACGTGGCCCACACCAGGGCCTCGGCACTCCACATTTAGAAACCACTATCAAAATAGCAGAAATAACCCCTGATGGAACATTTTTTAAAGCTGGAACCAATTAATACAACCTGATATTTATAAATGTAAAATAATGAGACTTGGAACAAAATTTGGGAATATCAAGCTGTAACAAAGAAGTGCTACGTTGGGACTATAAAAACAATCTAGGAGTTCTTGTGCCAAAATCTGGGTTTTGGAGGCATTTCTTACCCGAAGAAGGAAAGAAGAGGAGAAATAGTAATGCTAGAAACGGTTACAAAGGGCTATGAAGAGTTACAAATGAATGACTTTTGTCAAGATGGGGAAAAGAGCAGTCAGATGTGTTAACAGCCCTGGGCCCCCACATTTCTGGAGGGCACCAAAGCAGCTCAGCAGAGAAAGTCAAGTTCAAGCTAGTCACTGAGGGGCAGAAGGTCAGGGCTCCATTGCTTTAGGAATGGGCTCCCAGGGTGTGAATACGTTTGCCTCCCAGATCAGAAACCTGGAGTTCTATTTTCAAAGAAAAGCAGAACTCAAGTAAAGGCATTCAAAAACAATTCAAATCATGCCCCAGCTCTCTTCCACCCTGGGGGTCAGGCAGCTGGCCAAGCCCATGTGGCAAATAGTTAGCAGTCCAGGAGAGGGGAGGTAGACACTGGGGAGGTGTGGTGGTGATGCAGTGGAGCCGGGGATCCAGCAGCAGGAAGCCCATGCCACACAAGGACTGGGTTGCTGGCTAGGACCTGCAGGCAGTGGGCAAGGCAGGAATCTCATCAGGAGTTCCAAGACAGACCTCAGTGGAGGGCCAGCCACAAGAATAAAGTGAGGTTCAGCTAATGAAGAGAAGTCATCACAGCTTCTCCTCCAGGTCTGGGCTGGGGTGGTTTCTGAAACCTCTTAACACCCTATACTCTACAGACACCAGGATTGGAGGGGTGCTGGGGAAGGAATCAAGAAGATTGTATCATTCTGTTTCTGTATTTAAAACTGTGAAAAATCAATAATTACATATGGTGATAATAAAAGTTACCACTTATTGAACACATGTATTCCAAGTCTTGTGTGCTGGGTAGTTCATATATATCAACTAACCTAATCTCTTTTTTTTTGGCTGGCTTTTTTCTTTTTGTGGGGAACAGGAGCGTGCTATGTTGCCTGGGTAAGTCTTGAACTCCTGGGGTTCAAGCTATCCTCCCGCCCCTGCCAGCCCAATTACTGGGATTATAGGTGTAAACCACTGCACCTGGCTAACTTAACCATCTTAACAACCTTTCAGATACCTATGAATGATGAAATTTGAATCAGACTGGTTAGGTAACTTGTTGATTCAGAAGTCTGTTTTTTCTACTTGCATCACACACAAGCTGAGAATAAATAGTTTAAATTCTGGAAGTGACTGTTGTGGTTTAATATGTCTTCAATATAAGCTACTGCTAGTTACTTAGAATTAAGCTTTAAATCTCTCAGTAGTTCTATGATATGTTTATTACTTTTCCTTCTACTCAGGCAAAAACATGAAGGTATATCTGCAGATGATGAAGAGATCAAATAATTTCAGTTGGAGCTTTTAAGCCACTTCGATGAGTGGCTTTTGCCCACATGTTTGGGTCAACAGGGTTTTTTAATTCTTATGGTTAAGATTTATATGGTTAAGTGACCATGTCTTTTCTTTGGAGGATGAAAGAAAGAAAGATGGAAAATAAGAGGGAAGTTAATACATATTCAGCAGAGATCAAAGTGTGGAGAGACCTTTCTAAAATCTCACTAATTAAAACTAATTAGAGGTAAATTCATCTCCAGAGTACCTACCACTAGTTTGGTGAGCGATATACCTAGTGGTTAAAAGTATGGAACCAAACCAGACTGCCTGGGATCATGTCCTGGTTCCACTGCTTGCTAGCTGTGTAATCTTGCACGAGTTACATAACCCTGCTGTACCTCTGTTTTCTCTTTGTAAAATCCTCGTAAATGATAGTATCTATCTTATAAAGCTGTAGTGGTGATTACATGGGATAGTAAATATAAAATACTTATTACCTGGCACAGACTTAAGTGTCCATAAAGTTTAGCTATTACTATTACTATTATTTTTAAAATTTCTATTCTCAGCAATATTCAACATCAGAACATGAAAATACTAGAAACCCATTTATGAGCAGGCTTTAAATTTTTTTTATTATGGTAAAAATATGTAACATAAAATTGCCATTTTAACCATGTCTAAGTGTATAATTCAGTAGTGTTAAATATATTCACTTTGTTGTGCAACCAACGTTCACAACTTTTTCATCTTGCAAAACTGAAGCTCTATATCCATTAAATGACAACTGCTGATTTCTCCTGCACCCTGGCCCCTGATGACCACTGTTCGATTTTCTGTTTCTACGAATTTGACGACTCTGGATACCTCATATAAATGGAATCATATAGTATTTGTCTTGTTGTGCCTGGTTTGGCATAATGTCTTCAAGGTTCATTCATGTTGTACCATGTGTCAGAACTTCCTTCTTTATTAAAGCTGAATAATATTCCAATATGTATATACCACATTTATCTTATGCATTTATCCATTAGTGGACACGTGGGTTGCTTCCACCTCTTAGCTCTGCTATGAACGTGGGTGTTCACATTGTGAGGAGGTTTTTCTCTAAGTGGAGTATGATTACTGAAAGTTAAGTAGACATTTAATTAAGCAAGTAAGGGAAGAAAAGAAGTTAATCAGTGGTCAAAGGATATTTGCAGTGTCCCATTATACTAGTCCTCATGGCCGTGATGGAGACTAATATACATTATTCTTCTTTGTTATGTCATGTAAGGGGTCAATATGACGGAACACCTTAAGAAACAAACAGCAGTAGTAACCATTTCTAAAATAAATAATTTTAAAAATAAAATTTCATGTTTATGTAAAAAGATGATTTTCACACTGCTTATTAAATCTTCACGTGAACTGGGCAGAACAGTTAAAATTAATCTCCATAGTGCAAATGAAGAAATGGAAGCCCAAAAACTTAAATGATTTGTTCACAGTCACCAATGGAATCAGCGTCAGTTCTTCTAATAGTCTAGAGCTTGCTCTACACCTGGCAGAAGGGAGTTCTCATTCATTAAAAAGTTCTTGCTCATTTATTTACCACAAGAAAATTGTATATAATGGATAAAGATTTGCTTTATTACCTAGACATTTATTTTAATGTGCATTAAAAAATAAAATTAGACTAACTTGCAACTCCCCCAACACTGTGCTTCGGACAGAGCTACCTTATTTTTTTAAAACTTGATTTACAGTCAGCTTAGAGAAAATGATTAGGTTTATAGTACAGGTGGTACATAGCTTTGGCTAAATCATCAAATGATAGTCAATGACTAAGGTTTAGGAAATGTTTCATTTTCATGCATTCCATAAATATTCAAAGGTCTATTATGTACAAAATCTATGATTGGATTGACCTTGGTGAACAAAATAGTTATAACTGCCTGGCCTCATATAATTTACATTTGAATGGGGGAGACGGACATTAAGCAAAACTCAAAACAAGCAAACAAATATATACACAATTTTGAGTTAGTTTCATTGCTTTAAATCAGAGAGAATTACTGAGGAAAACACTGTAGGCTGAGTGTTTGGAGATGAATGAAAGGAAAAGAAGATCCAACTGAAAAGAGCAAGGGAAAATATTCAGGCAGAGGGTGCAAAAACCCTAAGGCAGGAATAAAGAAGGCCCGGGTGCCTGTAGCACTGAGAGTGGGAGACAGGAGAAGCCCAAAGAGGCCACATCTGCTGGCTGGTGAGTCCTTGTTAAAAAGGAGTTTGCCGTTTTATTTCATAGGAAATTAGAAAGCCATTAAGACTTTAAAGAGGAGAATGACACAATTAAGTTCTTTTAAAAAATATTTTCTGGCTGCCAAGTGAAGAATAAATTAGGATGAAGGCAGGCAAACATGGAAATGAGACCAGTTAGGAGGCCACTGGGGGTATCCAGGTGGCAATGGGGAGAGCACACAGATTCAAGGAGAATATTTAGAAGGAAGAATTTGGCAGATCGGTGCCCTTGTGAGATGTGAGGGGTGAAGAAGAAGCTATCAAGAGTGAATCCCATAGTTCTGGCCTGAGAGACTGAATAAAAATATCCTTTTTTTCTTTCTTTATGTTTTATAGTTTCATTCCTTTTTATTGTAAATTGACATTTATAATTGAATACATTTATGGGGTAAAAAGTGGTGTTATAATTTATGAATACAATGTGGAATAATTAAATCAAGCTAGTTAACATATCCATTACCTCAAACATTTAACATTTTTTGTGGTGAGAACATTTGAAATTTAACAATTTTGAAATGTACAATTCTCTATTATTAACTATAGTCACTACACTGTGCAAATTTAAAAAAAGAAAAAATGTATTTTTCCTTTTAAACTGAGATTTTCTACCTTTTGACTATTGTCTTAGTCTGTATTCTGTTGCTTATAACAATACCTGAAATTGGGTAATTTATAAAGAAAAGGAATTTATTTTTTATAGTTAAGGAGGCTGAGAAGTCTCAGGTCAAGGGCACCCATCTGGTGGGAGCCTTCTTCCTGGTGCGACTCCATGCGGAGTCCTGAGGTAGCACAGGAAATCACACGGCAAGGGGGCGAATATGCTAATATGCCAGCTCAGGTCCCTCCTCCTCTTTTTATAAAGCTACAAGTTCCCCTCCTGTGATCATCTATTAATCTATTAACCCAGTAATCCATGAATGCAAAGCCCTATCTGGTCACTTCTTAAAGGTCCCACCTATCATACTGCCACAATGGGGATTAAGTTTCAGCATGAGTTTTGGAGGAGACATTCAAACAATAGCAACCATCATCTTTCCATTCCCCCCACCCCCCAGTCTCTGTAACCACCATTCTACTTTCTGCTTCTATGAGTTTGATTTTTAGATTCCCCATGTGAGTGCATGCAATATTTGTCTTTATATGCCCAACTCATTTCACTTAGCATAATGTTTTCTGATTCCATCACAAATGAGAGTTTCCTTCTTTTTTAAGGCTGAATAGTATTCCATTTAATGTATATACCATATTTCTTTATCTATCCATATGTTGATGAACGCTTAGATTGATTCCATACCTTGGCTATTGTGAATAGTACTACAATGAACATGGAGGTGCAGACACCTCTTTAACAAGTTGATTTCAAATCTTTTGGGTAAATACCCAGAAGTGAGATTGCTGGATCATATAGTAATTCTATTTACAGTTTTTTGAGGACCCTCCATAGTGTTTTCCATAATGGGCTGTCGTAACTTATATTCTTGCCAATAATGTACAAGGGTTCCCTTTTCTCCACATCCTGGCTGACACTTGTTATCTTTCATCTTTTTGAAAAAAATTATCTGACAGGTGTGAGATGATACCACATTATGGTTTTAATTTGCATTTCCCTAATAATTAGCAATGTTGAGCATTGTTCATATATCTGTTGTCTATCTGCATGTCTTCTTTTGAGAAATGTCTATCCACCCCAGGTCTCTTGCCCATTTTTTTTAAATTTTTTTTCTTGTCCATTTTTTAATTGACTTTTTTGTTTTCTTGTTATTGAGTTGTCTGGGCCTTTTATATATTTTGGATAGTAACCCCTATCAAATATATGGCTTACAAATATTAAAAATATCTTCTATTACAGAGAAAATTAAAGGAAGTCTAAATTTGGGGGAAGTCTGAAAGTATAGTTTGAGATAGTTTAAGTCACATATGTCTGAGGGGTATCTAAGAAGAGATATCAGGAAGAAAGATATTTTTAGTGTATTTTTCATTTTTTGTATCCTTATGTGCCTAACTCAGTGCTGATACATAGTAAGTATTGTAGAAGCGTTTGTTGTCTGAAAGAATTAACTTACTAAGAACTAATAACAAAATACCATTAAAGACTATAAGAAGTAAATAATGAGCCATTTTAACGGTAGTAATTCAGTAGTAATTGCTGGTGCTTTCCTGGGTACCAGCAATTTTGGTCCTTTCCATTTTCCCTTTATTGGTTCCACATTTTCTACAATGGTTTGTATATGTGGGTGGCATCCCAGTGGTTCACAAAGAAATTTGGTTGGTTTCAACTAGCATGTGTGTATATGTGTGTATATGTGTGTATATGTGTGGTTTGTGATGTAAATAATTTTTCTTCTATAAATATAGGTCAACATTTTTGAAAAAACACTGCCTTAGAAACCTTGAAACCTATTCTCTATTACATTTCCTCTCTCAGCCTCTCACTTAATCCTGGGCTAAATGATACAGTGTTCACTCATCCCCAGTCTTTCCTCACCCAGCAGACATTTGCTGGGTTTCTATTATCTGCTGGGTAATGGGCACAAGATTGAGTTAGACATGGTCTCTGCCCTCAAGAGCGCATAGTCAATAATTTTGCAAACAACGTATTTGTTTCCTATTATTTTGTGACATTTTATCATAAGAAGCCAGATATAAAAGCTGTATATTTAAGCCGTGGTTATAATTGAGTCTGTTCTTCATTGAGCTCTGTGGCTGACCTCACTTATTGTTCACAACTTCCAGCCAAAAGGGTCATGATCCCCAGACAGAGTATATTGGAAAGGAGAAGGAGGGAGAGACAGAACACTTACCCAAATAGTCAAAGATGCAACAAAAATACAGAAGGCCTTGTTTCCTTAGAGGGGGAGAAAATACAGTTGCAATTGAAATATGGTAACAATTTTCATGCTTCTGCATGTTTTTAATGTGACCTCTATTTCTGAAATTCTTTCTCCTCCATCTTCAGCTGCAAGAAAAGGAAGAAGAAATACCAAAGTAAACATGGGTATAGGCTGGGAGGATTGACTATTGGATAGAAATTCATTTATATATTGAAAAGGTACTGTGCATATTATAGGCACTCAATATTAATTTGAATGAATGAATTTCAGATATATTTATACATTAAAATAATTTACTCTTCTATTTCACAAACATGATTGGCCAAAAAAATCACTCTGCAAGGTAATTGAAATATGATTTCTATATTGCTTCAATAAATACTTTAAAAATAATTACGGATTTAGTAGTTTGAAACACAGGAAACAAATCCTACACAAACTCTTACTCAGAAAAACTGAAATTGTTCAATAAATGCCTTCCTTTAAAAGTTTATATTTTAACTTCATACATATTTGGATCACAGTGCTCATACCATTTGAAATCTGCAGAACTCTAATGGTGAGCTAGGCCAACAGGATGCCCTGCATAGTACCTGGTACCCATGAAACACTCTTACACTAACAAGCTTATCATTGTCCTCATGAGCCTTTATCAGAAATTCATATGGAAAGACATTCTATCTGGGCTTACTCATTCATCAGGCAATCCTTAGTTAGAGATTATCCTCATTATCAAATGAATCACCAAATTATTTTCATTATTTTGAATTATTATTGTTTCATTTATCCCTGGAGTTGCAGAGAAGCCAGAACAGTCTAATAACATGTCACATAGTCACAGGCCACCACTGCCAAGACCTACATCTTTTGTGAAGAGCTACTCTTGTTGCATGCTCAAAGATCCATTTTAGGAATATCATTGAGGGAAAAAAAGATACAGGCTCTATCTGGATTTAATGCAAAGGCCTAATATATTACATTTCGTAACTAATGAGATTTTGAGGAATGACAGCAAATTTCTGATTTGCTCTTTCCCCCAGTAAAATGTCTGCTTTGAGTTATGCAGAAAGAATTCTTCTTCCTGCCAACTTGTTTCAATTCCCTATGCAAAAGCATCCACAGAACATTGTCAGGGCTTTCCTATGGAGGTTCATTTCATGATTCCTCCATCATTAAAAACACACACACACACACACACACACACACACATACACACACACACACTTTACCCCTTTCTTTAAAACAAGCAAAGGAAAATGCATTGGTGAGGTTTGTATGTGGTGCTTTCCCTTTCTGAAAGCAGAGACAAGTATTAGTCATCAGATGGGGAAAAGAGTTTCTCCGTTTCACCCTGGGCCAGCATCCTGTTTTATGCATGCAGGCCCGCCCTGTGTGTAGGTGGAGAAGGCAGTTGCCGTGTGATGTGATTTAAGAGGTGCTGGAAGTTCTGCCTGTCCAAAAATAGCCCCCACACCCGCCTGTTGAATTCAGGCACAGTGTCCATAAAACCATGGTTTAAATGAAATGAAACTGCATTTTTAGAATGTTAACCCATTATATTCGTTATCCTTTCAGTATGCATTTATTTATCAGAGATAAAAGCTGGATCCTGAGGGGATGTACATGCATTCGGGGAGAGTGAGGAAGCGGTTAGCAAAGTCTAAGGCTAAGAGTAATGATGCAAGTCACTGGAAGCAATTTCTGCATACCACGAGTGCATTTGTTAAAATTAAACTTCTTCCATATTCATTCAGATGGTCCATCAGTCTTTTTTGAATCAATATTTTCTGGAACATGACATTTTCTCAAACAGGCAATGCTCTTTGCTGGAACCCCTAAAAAGAATTTAAGAATGATAAATAACACACATTTGGAAGATGGTTTTTAGAGTCCAAAATACTTTCACAGTATGTCAAATTTTGATCCCACCAACAACCTTGTATGGCAGATTTAAGGCTTACTATGCTCATGTAGAAAATGAGGAAAGAGCCTCAAAGAGGTTAAGTGACTTGCCCAGTGCCTGCAGTTATTAATGACAGTACCTCGCAATGGAACCCAGTCATTCTGACTCCAAATCCAAAGTTTGCTCTCTTCCTTCAAGCTCTTCAGGACACAATCCCTGCAGTCAAGGAGCTGACAATTAACTTTAACCTGCTTAAAGCTATCTGTCTAAACTAAAGAGCGAGACCTGGAAGCTTTTTCCAGTAGTAGTAGTAAGAAAGTGTTTCCCATTGTCTTAAAATTTCCAGTTGCACTGTGCCAAAGACTCTGCTCACACACATTTGGCCTCAGAAATTTGCGTGAGGTTTTACAAGTTTACTCATAGCATTCCCCATGCAGAAAACATCTCACATTTAGAATACTGACCACTTTTCACAAACTTGTCAAATACAACAGTAAACCAAGTCAGGGAAAATAAAAATGTGAATGGTCAGAAATTAACTTAAGATATTCTCCAGAAACACTTAGAACCTAGGGGTGATTTTGAGAGTGGGGTTAGGACCTGAAGTGACTGCGAAGCCTAGGATTTCTTTATCAAAACAGATGTGCTTTGCTCCATAATTGAACACACCATACCCCACACACACACACACACACATACACACACACACACACACACACACACACACACACACACATTGCTTGAGCTGATAAACCACAGTTTTGTAGTATCTCCAGCTCATTCCTCCTTTGGTTCTGGCACAGTAAGTTCATAGCACTTCCCATGACACCAGACACTTTTTTCTGAACTAGTGAACTAGCACTGCTTGCTTTCCTGGCCTTTCAGCAAGCCTGGTTTGGTGAGAGGAGGGCTGGCTGGATGTCCGCCACCACCTGCTGATCACAGGGGTCCCGTTTATAATACAAAGCATAACCCACACAGCATTTGCAAAGATCTGGGTAATTTGTGTGCTAATTCTTTTATTCAGCACATATTTTACTGGTGGCCTTCCATGTGCCAATCACAAAGTTAATTCCAGCCTTCAAACAGCTTCCAGTCTTATGAAAAACAGATAGGGAAATGAACAGTTGTATCACATTTTAAAAGGTGCAATGAGTGCACCGAGCAATGCTTAAATCTTTTTAAAGTTTTGAGAGTCAAATTTTAGGAAAATGGCTTGAAAGCTGAATGAAGAAGTCATGAAGGAGGAGAGGAATTCTAGGCAAAGGAATCAGGCCATGCAAAGTCAGGCAGACAGACAGCAAGGTATGACCAAGGAACTCTAGATGGTATCTCTGATGTGTATAAGGAGGGAAATTGGAAGGAGTAGCCAGGAGTTAGTCTGGACAGGTGGCTCAAGGACAAATCATAAAGGGCCCTAGTATGCCTTGCTAAGGAGTGTATGGTTTATCCTTTAGGTATGGGGGGCCATTGAGGAATTCTGAGCAGGGGAGTAATATGCTAGGCAAAGATGTTAGAACCACAGTACGGGAATAATTCCATGGGAAGTTGGAGGGGTGGCACTGTTAAAAGCAGTTCATTGCTGGATGCATTTAAATTGTACATATATTTTATTAGCTGTTTTATTATTATAGCAATGCATGTTAACTGCAGAAAATTTGGAAAATATAGAGAAAGCATACCTCATATATTAGGTAGGTACTTAAGTAAGGAAAATATTCCACCACTCAGAGATGTATACTTCTTGTTATAAAATAGGAATTATATTATATATGCTCTATATCATATCATTTCCACATACTGTGATGTTAGCATTTTTCTAAATCCTTATTCAGTGTATATATAATAAAAAGCATGTTTTTCTATTCACTAATTTATTTAACCACTCCCCCTTTTGCTAAATTTAGACTGTTTACCAATAGCAATGACCCTGATTGTTTCCTTATGAAAATTTCATAAAGTAGAATTACTGGGTCAAAGCATATAATTCTTTTTAAAGCTCTTGACATATCTTGCCAAAGTGCATTCAAGACAATTTGTATGAATTTACAGTCCTTCTGATAGTTCCAATTTATCCATGCCCTCTTCAACCTTTTATTTTTATTCTAGTCAATTTGACAAGCAAAAATTATAAGGTTGAACATTTAATCATATTTTGATTGGCTGTGTTTTGTGAGTATGGAATTCTTTAAAGTGAAATGATGGTGTAATTTTGTTTTCAGACTCCTTGAGATAATGGGAGGGACTCTGTATTGTCAAAATTCAGGCTAGGGAATATTTCCTTTAAGTAATTTCACAACAGATATTAGGTGCTGTGAATAATACAAAAAGGATAAGCCATCGTCCGGGCCCTGCACAAGCTCACAGCATCCTTCAGAAGAAGGACATGCAGGCAAAACTTCTAACAAAGGCTCAGCTGCAGGAGGTGCCTCAAGGGAAATATGAACAAGGGCTGTGGCAATGGGAGCAGGGAGAGTGATCCCAGATGAGGAAGTCTGAGGGGGTTGATGCAGGAACCTCTTTGGCATGAGACCATCTAATTTCCAACCTCTTCTTGCCTCCTTGTACCAGTGGCATGCCTCAAAAATCACCTAAAGAGTTTGTTTAAAATGCCAATTCCAGATCTTAGCCACCATGATGGGGATTAGGAGTATCTTCAGGAGAATCCAGGAACATACCTTCTGAAAAAGCACCTAGGTACTTCTGAGCCTGCCCTTCTCCAAGGGCAGCCACACTTACGTCCACTTGCCGCTCACAGTGCCAGAAGGGGGATTGCCCTCCTCAACGATAAACTCTCTCTCCATCTGCACTCTGGGCCCCCTCGCGACCCACCCAGAACTGGACTGTGGCACTGCTTATCAATTTCCATTGCCCATCATGCATTCATTCAGTCTTTCCTTCATTTTTGAGCACTTGTGCTGGCCACTGTTCTAGTTGCTGGAGGATATTCATGCCTTCAGGATATTCACATTCTCCAATCTGTTGGAGCTCTGCCCAACTCACAGTGGTCAGCGAAGGGTTAGAAAATGTTCATGCTGGCTGGGCATGGTGGCTCACACCTGTAATCACAGCACTTTGGGAGGCTGAGGTGGGCAGATCACGACGGCAAGAGATCGAGACCATCCTGGCCAACATAGTGAAACCCTATCTCTACTAAAAATACAAAAAAATAGCTGGGTATGGTGGCACGCACCTGTAGTCCCAGCTACTCAGGAGGCTGAGGCAGGAGAATTGCTTGAACCCAGGAGGCAGAGGTTGCAGTGAGCTGAGATTGCACCACTGCACTCCAGCCTGGCAACAGAGCAAGATTCCATCTAAAAGAAAAGAAAAGAAAAGAAAATGTTCACGCTTTGCCTATTCCCCTGCTTTGCAAGGCAAGGATGGCACTGCCTGCATGCCCAGAGGTACCTAATGTCTTTGTCTTACAGCCTCTGTCTAAATTAGAATACTTCTGCTAAATTAAAATACTTCTGCTAAACATGCATGCTTCCAGTACTAGGTGTAGTTTACCATTACACAAAGCTAGAGGGGGAAGATACATAGTGGAAGCTCTGAAATACAGAAAGATTTTGAAGTTTGCCATGGGTTACCAAAATATCTAATAAAGCCTGGGGTTTTGCTCATATGAAGATAAATAAAATGCCTAAATTCATAAAGAGATTATATATCTGATCGTGTCACCCTTGGTTACCTCCCTCCAGTATCAACCTCATCCCCCAGCCCAACCCGGCACCCACAGCCACTTTCCAGTTTCCTGAATATGCTACTTTCTCTGGCCTCAGTCCTTCTTCCTGGGTCACTGCCTTTCTCTGGCCTCAGTCCTTCTTCCTGGGTCACTGCTCTCCTCTCGTCACTCTTCCCCAGTCTCATACCACCTGACCTCAGTCATAGCCACCCCCACTGATCCTTCACATTTCAACTCAGGAGTGACACCTGCAGGGAGCCTTTGCTGACTCTCCCAGTGTGGAGAAGGCACCCTCTGGGGCCACCACAGCACCCTCGCTTACCTCCACTGCTGGGCACAGCATGCGATACTGTCCTGAATGCTCCATGTGCCTTGTAGATGATCTCCCCAACTCCACGAAAAGCTCACTATGGGCAGGGCCTGCTTCTTTTGTCTTTGAATATCCAGCATTGGGAATATAATGGGTGCTCTGTAAAAGTTTGATGAATTAATGGCAAGGGGAATCCTTAAAGTGTGGGCCAAGTTAATCCATAACCAAGAATGGCTCCATCTCAACAGTTCATGAAAAGAGGACATCACCAGGTTGCACCACAGGAAGAGTCCAGCTATAGAAAATCCTCTGAGTAAGGATGAACAACATCAACAGTGCACCCTTCAGGGGACCACAGTTACCTCAGATTTGATCCAGGCCAACCAGAAAATCCAAGCATGGGGGACTCACAATAGGAAAAGCTCTAGGTAGTGGTGAAATTTGCAGTTAAACAGCATAAAACATGGTACACAATGGCCATCTGATTTCATTCAAAAATTATCTAATCATCTACTATGCTCCAGGCTTTGAATTTAGATCAACGAAAAATAGTAGATAAAAGCCAATATCCTGGCAGGACTTACTTTTTAATTGGGGAGAGGAAGTAATGGAAGAGATAAATAAAGTATGTATTATGTTAGATGGTAATAAGAACTACAGAGCAAAAGGGAGGAAAGGGTGAGAAGTAGAAGAGTTACTAATCTGAGTAGCCAGGGGAGCAAAACTGGATGGTGACACTTGAATAAAAATCTGAAGGAGGGGATGGAGCTATGTGGTCATCTGGGGAAGAGCCTCCCGAGCAGGGGAAACTGCAAAAGCAAAGGCTCTGAGGCACATTTGGTGAACATCAAGAAGGGAGTGGAGCTGAAATGGAGTGATAGAAAATGAAAGCAACAAGAGATGTGGCCAGTCCATGTAGGAACTAATCTGAAGCCACAAAAAGAATTTTGAAAGGAACCTCAACCAGGCAGTATGAGTGCTGGGTTCAGAGTCTAATCCTAAGGAATCTATATCCTAAGGAAGTGTCTAAACTGTGATCTGGCTCACACCTCATAGCTCATTGTGGTTTGAGTCCATGATAGGAGTCCACTAGAGAAAAGACTAGTCAGTTCCAGAAGTTAGAAAAAGGTACACAAAAGAGAAGCAGACATCACATTGGCTGGAAGAGCAGATTCTAAAAACATGGTGCTGTATCTAAAGATTAGTACCACCACTATTTAACCCCTGTGTTCTTGGGAAAGAATCTTGGTCTCTGAACCCCATGAAATAATGTTTGTAGTACGGTGTCTAGCATAGAATATGCACTCAATAATCCACAGTATACTAAAATATTTATCATTAGGTTATTGGATCCTGAATAAGAGATGAATAACCATGTTGGACATGGCCTCCTGGTGGGGGAATTAATGTCTTTGTTGCTTCTGATAAGATTGGCTCAGAAACTGGGGTGAACATGAGGCTCTGGGAAGGTCATCAGTGGATGAACTGGAAGGACTGGGGAAAGTGGGGTTGGGGATGGAGTTAACTAATGCCATTCTACCGCAGTCTTGAGATGGCTCCCCTTGAACTTGCTGTCTCAGGGTGGCCAGCTGTCCTGGGTGCCAGGGACTATCCCAGTTTTAGCACTGAAAGTTCAATCCCTGGAAAACCCCAGAGTTGGTCACCCCAGTGTCAATATGTAAATGACCTTTGCATAATTCTTAAACTCAAAAGTACTTAGGAATCCCTAGAAAGCTTATTAAAATGTCATACTACTAGGCCCAAATCAATTCCAGAGATTGATTTAATAGTTGTGGGGTAGATCCCAGGTAACCCATATCTTTAACTAGGTTCCCAGAGGTTCTGGGGTAGGTGGCACACAGCATACACTGGAGGAAAACTGTCCTATGGGAAACTATGCAGCATCCATCTGCTCATTAAGGGCTTTCCCAGTAGTCAGCCAGGAGACATACCCTGTATGCCTCCTAGAGCTAACTAACAAGTCAAAGAGATTAAGGGGGAGGACAAGGAAATTCAAGGAATAAGCCCTTTTATAAGCAGATTTCATTCAGATTAATACTTAGAAATTAACAACAGCCTAGAACATCATCCACATCAAGCTGGAGAAACACTACAACTTTTTGATAATTGTGGAGAAACCAAGAACTTAGGGTAAATGAAGACAGGGCTGATACACTGAATACATTCTTTGTCTAGCAGGACATTAGCAGAAATCCCACTCCAGGACTCCAGGCTGTCCTCTGAAAGGGGCAGCTTAGTAAGTCTAAATGGAAGAAGAAGAGGAAGAGGAGGAGGAGGAAGAGGGAGAAGAAGAAGACAAAGAAGAGGAGGAAGAAGAAGAAGGAAAGAAAGAAAAAGAAAAAAACAAAGAAGGAAAGAAAAGAAAGGGAAAGAAAGAAAAGAAAGAAAGAAGGGAAGAGGAAGAAGAAGAAGGTAGAGAAAGAAGAAGGAAGAGAAGGAGGATGGGCAGGGGGAGGAGGAGGAGAAAGAAATTAAGGAAATATAAATGCATAACTGAGAGTTAGCAAGGGCAAGGGTGAAACTGACAATATGTGGGCTAAATACATTATTATGAAAGGCCACATAAGAAACCAGGTACAAAACAATGGTTCTCAAATCTAGCGTATATCAGAATCACCTGAGGTCTTGTTAAAAGCAAACACTGCTGGCCCTACCCCCAGAGTTTCAGATTCAGCAGGTCTGCGTTGGAGCCCAAGAGTTACGTTTCTAACAAATTGTCAGGTGATACTGATGCTGCTAGTCTGGGAAACACATCTTAGTATTGTCTGGTTAATTTTTAAAATTCTATTAATTAGAAGGCATAAATCTCTCCATATCAGTATCAATTTGTTCATCTTCTAAGTTAACAACAACAAAAATTAAAGTTGGCTTAAACAATTAGGAAATGTACTGGCATGCAGACGTAGAAGTCCAGGCAGGCTTCAAGGTCAGCTTAGTTCAGGGGCTCCAGCCCACTTCCCTGCTGTGCTCTTACCCCTTCCTTCATCTGTGTAGGAGCTTCAGCTTCCCGAAGAAGGTAAAGTGGCTGCAGCAATCTCATCCCTTAAGACTCTTCCCAGAGCTTTGTCATGACCAAGGAAACCAGATCAAGCAGCCCCAGAAAACCATGCCTCATTCTACTGGCCTGAACAAAATCACATGCACCTCTTGAACCAATCATGGACAAGGGGGGTTAGGATTATTTTTAGTGTGAAGGGGCCCACCCATGGAGCTGTGTTTCCCCTGAGTCACATGAGCTGAATGAGAGAGAGGGCAATGCCTGAAAAAAAGTCAGATTCTCCTATGAAGGAAGGTGACATGATGGAGGAGCAATCAGCAACCTCTAGTCTGAGAAGTGGAACATGGTATCCAAACCAAAGGCTAAATTAACACATCTAGTGCTCCAGTGTTGGGGTGCAGGAAGTTCAGGGACCAGCCATATTCAGATAGCTAAGCAGGCAGCATGAGTCAGTCAGTAACTAGTAGGGTCTCAATCACTAGTCTCAGACTGAAAGCAGGATTTTTAGGAAAATGATTTAAGATTTAAAGAGAAGGAAGGTAGAAAATGGAGGTGGCTGCCAGCCTGAGTCATTTCTACGAAGCAGGGAAATACTGAAAGCCTTTCCTCTAAGAACTGGAACAAGATAAGGATGCCCACTCTCACCACTTCTATTCAACATAGTACTGGAAGTCCTAGCCAGAGCAATCAAGTAAAAGAAAGAAATAAAGGGTATCAAAATTGGAAAATGGGAAACCAAGTTGTCCCTCTTTGCAGTCGACACGATTTTATACATAGAAAAACCTAAAGACTTCACAAAAAACTTTTAGAACTAATAAATTTGGTAAAGGTGGATATAAAATCAACATACAAAAATCAGCTTTTCTATACACCAATAACAAACTAGCTGAAAAATCAAAAAAGCAATCCCATTTGCAACAGCTGCACAAAAATAAAGTAAAATGCCTAGGAATCTTTTTTTTTTTTTCTTTTTGAAATGGAATCTTGCTGTGTCGCCAGGCTGGAGTGCAGCGGTGCGGTCTTGGCCCACTGCAACATCCGCCTCCGGGATTCAAGCGATTCTCCTGCGTCAGCCTCCCAAGTAGGTTAGACTACAGGCATACGCCACCATGCCCAGCTAATTTTTGTATTTTTAGTAGAGACAGGGTTTCACCATGTTGGCCAGGATTGTCGCAGTCTCTTGACCTCATGATCCACCCACCTTGGCCTCCCAAAGTGCTAGGATTATAGGCATGAGCCACTGTGCCCAGCCACCTAGGAATCAATTTAACCAAGAAGATGAACTATCATTACAATGGATACTACAAAACACTGTGAAAGGAACTGTAGAAGACACACAAAAAAGAAAAGATATCCTTTGTTCATGGATTGGAAGAATGAATCTTGTCAAAATGACCATACTACCCAAAGCAGTCTACATATTCAATGCAATCTCTACCAAAATACAAATGACATTCTTCAGAACGAGATAGTTTAGATATTTGTCCCTACCCAAATATCATGTTGAAATATAACCCCCACTGTTGGAGGCAGGGCCTGGTGAGAGGTGTTTGGATCATGGGGTTGAATTCCTCATGAATGGCTTGGGCTATCCCCTTAGAGATAAGTGAGCTCTTGCTCTGAGTTCACATGAGATCGGGTGGTTTAAAAGTGTGTGGCACCTCCCCACACTCCCATCTTGCTCCTGCCTTCACCATGTGAAGTGTCTACTCCCACAGTTGACTGTGAGTTTCCTGAGGCCTCCCTAGAAGCTGCGCAGATGCCAGCACCCTACTTCCTGTACAGCCTACAGAACTGTCAGTCAATTAAACCTCTTCTCTTTATAAATAATCCAGCCTCAGGTATTTCTTTAGGGCAGTGCAAGAAAGGCCTAATACACAGAAATAGAAAAAAAAATCCTAAAATTAATATGGAATCACAAAAGACCCCAAATTCTCTAAAGCGATACTAAGCAAAAAGAACAAAGTGGAGGCTTCATACTACCTGACTTCAAAATGTATCCCAAAGCTACTGTCACCAAAATAGCATGGTACTGGTATTAAAAGAGATACACAGACCAATGGAACAGAATAGAGAACCCAGAAATAAATCCATAGTTACAGTCAACTGATTTTTGACAAAAGTGCCAAGAACATACAATAGGGAAAGGAAACTTCTTCAATAAATGGTGCTGGGAAACTGGATATCCATATGCAGAAGAATGAAAGTAGACCTCTTTCTCTCACCATACACAAAAACCAACTCAAAATGGATTAAAGACTTAAATGTAAGATCTAAAACTATAAAACTAGTAGAAGAAAACATTGGAGAAATACTTTAGGACATTGATATAAGCAAAGATTTTTATGCATAAGACTTCAAAAGCACAGGCAAAAATAAAGTAAAAATAGATAAATGGGATTACATCAAACTAAGAAGCTTCTGCACAACGAAGGAAACAATCAACAGAGTGAAGAGACAACCTATAGAATGGGAGACAATATTTGCAAATTATTCATCTGACAAAGGACTAATATTCAGAATATATAAGGAACTCAAAAACTTAACAGCAAGAAAATCTAATTAAAAAATGGATAAAGGAGGCCGGGCGCGGTGGCTCACACCTGTAATCCCAGCACTTTGGGAGGCTGAGACAGGCAGATCACAAGGTCAGGATATCGAGACCATCCTGGCTAACACGGTGAAACCCCGTCTCTACTAAAAAAAAAAAATACAAAAAAATTAGCTGGGTGTAGTGGCGGGCGCCTGTAGTTCCAGCTACTCGGGAGACTAAAGCAGGAGAATGGCATGAACCCAGGAGGTGGAGCTTGCAGTGAGCCGAGATCGCGCCACTGCACTCCAGCCTGGGCAACAGAGCGAGACTCTGTCTCAAAAAAAAAAAAAAAAAAAAGGATAAAGGATCTGAGTAGACATTTCTCAAAAGAGAACATGTAAGTGGCAACAGCTAGATGAAAAATGTTCAACATCACTAATCAGGGAAATACAAATCAAAACCATAATGAGATATGATTTCACCCGTTAGAATGGCTATTATCAAAAAAAAAAAAAAACAGAAAATAACAGAGGCTGGTGAGGATGCTAAGAAAAAGGAACTCATAGACTGTTGGTGGGAAAGGTTTTTAGTGCAGCCATTATGAAAAACAGTATGGAGATTTCTCAAAAAAACTAAAAATAGAACTACTATATGATCCACCATTCCCCTATTAGGTATTTATCCAAAGGAAAAGAAACCAGTATATTAAAGAAATATCTGTACCCTCCTGTTTACTGCAGCACTATTCACAGTAGCCAAGATATGGAATCAATCTGTGTCTGTCAACAGATGAATGGATAAAGAAAATGTGTTATTTATACAAAATGGAATAGTATTCTGCCATAATAAAGAATGAAATCCTGTCATTTACAAAAACATGGATGAGCCTGAACAATCTAATGTTAAGTGAAATAAGTCAGACACAGACAGATAAATACCACATGTTCTTACTCATATGTGGAGCTAAAAGTGAGCTTATAGATGTAAAGAGTGGAGTCGCAATTATTACAGTCAGGGAAGGGGAGGAAAAAGGGGAAGAAAGGGAGAGGTTGGTTCATGGATACAAAATTACCACTAGATAGGAGGAATAAATTCTAGTGTTCTATAGCACTGTAGGTGAATATAGTCTAATAACTTGTATGTAGTTCAAATAGCTAAAAAAGAAGATTTTGAATTGTTCCTAACACAAAGAAATGATAAGTGTTTGAGGTGATAGATATGCTAATTACCCTGATTTAATCATTACACACTCTACACATGTGTAAAAATATCACTTTGTATCCCGTAAATATTTACCATTATTATATGTCAAAAATATATATATATATATGAATACAATAAAAAATAATACAAATTTTTTAAAAAATTGATATGTGCTCAGGCCAGGAGACGAGCAATAGCTGGAGCTATCAGGACTGAGGGTCCTGAGTCACAGGTCCCCACTAGGTCTCAGGAAAAAAGAAACAGCTCAGCTATTTAGAGTTGAGGCATCAGGTAGGAGCAAAACTAGTAAGGGTAGCAAGAATATTTAAACATAAAAACCTGGGCTAAAAGGCTCTCAGGCTCTTGCAGCTAAGATGGGGATTGGCCATGGAGACTGGGGAGGGACTAGGACACATCCATGCCCAGGAGAAGAGGGACCGTGACCCAAGATGGGAGTCCAGTAGCTCCAGCTAAGGGGTGAAAAGGCCCACTGTGAGGCCACACAATATGTTGACTAGAAACAGGATTCTGGAACCAGATAGCCTGGGTTCAAATCCCATCTCTACTAATTACCGGCTGTGTGATCACCAGGCCTCAGTTTCTGTATCTAATAAAATAGGTGATAGGAATACTCACCTCAAAAGTGTAGGTGAAAATTAAATGGATTGGAATATGTGAAGTGCCTGGAACGGTCCTTGTCCAGCACAGGGTGTGTGCTACATAACCATTTGTGTGTTACACAGTCTGAGCACCTACTACTACTTGAAATATATTCCTAAAGCTTTGTAATTGCAGCTATAAACAATCAAAAACATTTACCTTCAAGCCAAACAACAAAAAGCTCTAGAGATGCCATTCTTATGTTTATTTAAGGAGTGAATATACTGTTTGTCTATATATGCATCAGATTCTGTGAGGGGATTTCAAAAGATGAATCTGAAAGGATTTAACCTTCCAAGCTAGTAGAGGAGACAAACCCTGTGCACAAATAATTTTAATACAAGAGACAGCTAAATCCCTTAGGAAATATACAAAAAACGTTGTAGGGTTGTTCAGAAGGGAAGGTCACTACAACTGCAAGGACCAAGAATGACTTCAGAGGGGTGGGAGCATCTTAGACTAAGGAAAAGATCTTAGTCTAAAAACCAAAACAAAACATTGCCATGATAGTAGAATCGTTTGTTGCTAATACACACCTAAAGAAAAGCCCTTAACTTGGTATGTCATTCTTCCATACGTTATCACATTCAGCTTCATGTGCCTTTATACATTTTGCAAGTATACAAAAACAAAAACACTCCTTAATAAAAAGGAAGCTTTGCTTTTTCCTTCTTTGAAGAGTAATTCCAGCAAACATTTCTAAAATAGTCCTGTGCTTTTTGACATGCACATATTGGTTGTTCAAAATGTACACCTCCCGTAGGAAATTCATTACATTTTAAATTATACATGTCTGTTAAAGCATAGATCTGTTCTACCTTCCATGTATTTGTTATTGCTGCTTCTGAAACTTCCTTACAGCCCCAAAGAGGTCTTAATCCCTGTCAAATGTTATTATGTTACCAACTTTTATGTAGTCTTGAAAGGGGTTGTTTATTTAGTTTCAGTGACTCCTTGTTACTGCCAAATATTATTTCATTTCAGCACAGATGTAAGGGGTCCAATGACTGGAATTATTTTACAGCCCTGACATTGTCGAGAGATGGATACCAGTTTAATTATGGACAGCTGAAAATGATCTAGGAGTCACCTGCTACAGATATTTATCATCATTATGAATTTCTCACCAAGCTGTGGTCTGAGCACTTTCATAACGTTCCATTTGCGTTAGACAGACAGTATGATCTATATGGAACCTATATCTTCAGTCACCTTTAAATTTATGTATAGACAGTTTAATATTGCTTATTTTCTTTTCCTCTTCTCAAAGTGAGAAAATATGTTTCAGTCATTCCTGTTCTTTTTCTTCTCTTTTTTTCTGTTTCTCTCCATAGCCCCCTCTCACTGCTACCCTTATCCTTTCAGCTGTTTTTCCAATTATGCCTCATTGGAAATTACTCATTACTTAAAGAATGTGAATTGGATAGACTAGACACATACAGGATCAAGTAATGCAATAACTACAATATAGTTGGCCCTAAATAAATGCAGAAAGAATGAAGGAGGGAAGGGAGCAGAGGGAACAGGAAAGGAGGCTGTAAAATTACAGAACACTATTGATGGAATTCCTCCATCTCACATTTGAGAAGAAATTAATAGCATATTTTTTCCTCTACATCCTCCCCATTATACACTGCACCAAAATAAAATACATTTTTACACCTTTTCTTTTTATCTCTGCTTCTCTCTAAAGATATCTCAATTTGTCCTTTTCAGATTGGACAAAGGGTTAAATAAAAGGGGTAGCCAGGTTATGGCCAGTTGATAATAAATTCAGGTCACTGTCTCACTGCCCAGTTGCTCCTCATTCCATTCCATTCTCTGCTCTCACAACTTGGGCTGTGGAATCTTCAAGAATCCCAACTCTGTCCTGGATGTATGAATAACCATAAGTACTGACTTTAGTGAACATTTATCATGCATATGTCATTCACCATGCAAAGTATTTACATGGGTCATCTCATTTAATTCTGGGTACTGAATTATGAAGTCAGCACTACTCATATTCTCTTTCTGTAGTTCTTTCTGTTCTCAGTTGGGACAACTTTGCCCCCAAGGGAACATTTGGCAATGTCTGCAGATCCCTTTGATTGTCACAGCTCGGTGGAATACAGGGATTCGCTAAATATCCTACAACTCACAGAAAAACCTCCTATGGTAATTACCTGGCTCAAAATGTCAATAGTGCCACCATTGTAGATGTTAAAAGGATGAGGTTTAAAAGGGTTAAGTAACTTGCCTGAGGCTCTGCAGTGTTACGTGGGAAGACTGGAATGCAAATAGAGCCTGTACTTTTGCATTAAGTTGCACATATGTAGTTATGGCTTCCGCAACTGATTAATCATATCTTGTACCAAAGGAGCTAAAGTTCCCCATTGGAATCTTATGTGAGAACATCTCAATACAAGTGGCCCTTTTCAATCATTTGCAAATTATCTGCTCTTCCATCATTTTCATCAAATGTGCAGAATCGGGCCCATCTAAACAGCCTTTCACTCTAAACAGAAAATTCTGTAAACACACACACACACACACACACACACAGACACACAGACACACATTGGGGCAATAGTTCCTCTGACTTTCTAATGATATAAGCAAATATAACAAGATGTAAGATAAAAGCAGAATGTATATCATGCTACCTAAGCAATAAACTTTAAAGATAGAATATATGGCAACATAGCTTACTATGATGAATAAATTGCATGTATTTAATATGACATATTTAATAATAAACATAGCCCCTTGTATGCTGCAGGATAATTAGATAGAAATGGTAAATAGTCATCAGTATTCTTTTTAAAATGCCAATAAAAAATATTCATAATGTTTTTCTCTTTTTATCAGCTCTTCAATATGTGCAAATCAGTTTTGACAGTGTTTTTAGATATTGAGTATATTTTAATAATCTGAATAAACATCAAAGGCAGCTGTGCAAACACACATATTTTGTGCACACATGGACATGCACTCATGTACACCAGTGATCCCCAACCTTTTTGGCACCAGGGGCTGGTTTTGTGGAAGACAATTTTTTCACAGAGTGGGGAGCAGGATGATTTCATGATGAAACTGCTCCACTTCAGATCATCAGACATTAGATTCTCATAAGGAGCACACAACTAGATCCCTCACACACAGTTCACAATAGGGTCCACACTCCTATGAGAATCTAATATCACCACTGATCTGACAGGAGGCAGAGCTCGGGCAGTAATGCTCCCTCACCTGCCACTCACCTCCTGCCATGTGGCCCAGTTCCTAACAGGCCATGGACAGATTAGGAACTGGCCCTAACCAGGGGATGGGACCCCCTGATATATATCACTAAAGTCACACACCACATGCCCACACACCTATACAGGCACGCATAGATAGGTCCCAGATCTTACTTGCCAGAGCAGATTTCTTTTGCCTTTACTCCTCTCCCGCAATACAGAATTGCTGCCTCCCCTTTGTTTGGCTCCAGCCCTCCACCCACCCTCTCTGATGCTTATCCTCCTCTGACCCTGGCTGGAGGGGAAGTTCCATTTTCCCTTCAGAGCCTTTCCCCTGAATAAGCTAGTCCTAGAATGTAACAGCAACTCCAGGCAGGGAAGCCCAGGGGTGCTGCTCTCACCCCTGGCCTATAAGCACCACAAATGCCAAAACTATGTTTACCCAGAGCCAGACAGGCATTTCAAATTTCCAGATTACCTCTTACCCCTAAATTCTAAACTGCCACACCTGTTACTTATTGCTCGAAAATACTTCATCAGCCACTAGTTCCTTTCATTCTATAATAAATAAAAATCTCAAAATATAGCTAAACCACTGGTATAAATAAACTTTATTCAAAGTGAGCTACCAAGTTAAATATTTTCTATTTTCATGGCAGGAAGGATTTAGTAAGCAAAAAGGTATCTGGTAGCTAGAAGTGGGAGGGGTGTAACAGAGGGATTTTAAAAGGTAACAGAAAGGAGCCAGAAGCAAATTCTGTATTCTTCCTATTCTTGCCCCATACCAGCCCTGTTTATCTAAATCCAAACAAAGACAAGTTTCTTGTGTGGCCACAAGCAATATCTTAGCTTGGAAGCCATAGATTTTCCTTACTCCTCACCTTTAGCACTGTATAAATCTGAGTACGCCATTGTTATTCAATACATGTATGTAAGCATCTCCTGCATTAATAAAATTTGCCAAGGATGGTGCTGAAAAGGTATCATTCCTTTCAGTTTGGGCATAAAATAAGAGGGATAGAGTGATAGGATGATTAAATGAATATTATTTTAAATGAAATACTATATTTCACTTTTCCCTATCATATAGACCTTCTCTGACCAAAACAGTAGCCACTAGCCACTTGTGGCTATTTACACTTTAATTTTAATTTTAATCAATTAAAAACAAAATTAAAAATTTGTTTTTTTTTAATCTCACTAGCAATATTAAAGTACTCAATAGTCACATGTGGTTTAGTGGCTACCATATTGTACACTACAGATAAAGAATATTTTCATCATCACAGAAAAACTATTAGCACTAATATCAACAAATAAAAGTTGGAGAATACTCATTGTTTATATGGGAAGTGGGGGAACGGACCCTTTCATACAGTTTTGGTGGGAACAAAAATGCTACTAACAAAAACACACATGCACTTCATAGAAAAAAAGGAAAACTGAAATTGTTTAAATGTCTGTCAATGGGGAGCTAGTTAAATAAATGAGCAAACACCCACACAATAGAAGACTATGCTATTTATTAAAAACCATATACGTAAGCAAAACTTATCAGCACAGAAAGCTGTCCTGGATGTGTTTTTATGTAAAAACACAAACCACAAAGCACTTAATATGAATAGTATAATCCCATTTGTGTTTGAATATACATATATGTGTGTATATTTTTTACTGTGGTAAAGAACGATTATACTCTTACTTTAAGTAAATTTGATCAATCATATATTAGAGAAATGAGCTACCCAAAAGAATGTGTGCTGAAAGCCTGTTTGCCCAGCCTTGTGCTAGCCTAAATTGAGTCAAGCTCTAGCTTATGGATTCTGCTTCTGTTTGCTGAGGTCTTCATATATCCAAAGCAATCCTAAGTTATTCACCTCCCCAAAATAGGTTGAATATGAAGTCATATGTTGTGAATTTTTACAGTTACTGCAATAAACACCATGGGCCTCCAAGAAAGTCCCTGAAGCCAAAGGATTCTTTTAGTCGGAAACTGGTGGATATTTGGAGCTCCTGGAGGGAAAGTGCTCTCCCAGGCCATCTCTCTTCTACTACCCCTCTTCTCTCTGCTTCACACAACCACAGCTTGCCCTTTCCTCTGCCACCTCACTCCCATAACCTGTTCCAAGCAAGAGAAATCCAGATCCAAATCTTTACACAACCTCAGAATTCACTCGAGATTGAATATGCAGCAGGTTAAGCAATGATTCAAGCTGCTTCATATGACTTCTTGTCAACACACAAGGGAAATCATACAGCAGGCTTCATGGGAGTCCATTCTATCTCTCTCTCTCTATCTTATATATGCACATATATGCATATATGTATAAATGTGCATATGTATATATGTATGCACACACACATACATGCATGCATATATTTGGTTTCCATGAGAGCGCCTAGGGCAATTCTAAGCATTGGGCTTGTGCTTACTAATGTAGGGAGGTTCTAGAGAGAAGAGGAATGCTTAGAAGGAGAGAGGACACTGGTGTCTGTAGGTGGACCTGATCCTCAGGCAAGGAAATAATTTGGCTCATTTGGTATATTTTTGTTGGATCAAATCATTAGATAGTAAATATGATGTAATTCTTTGAGCCAGGACAATGATAAAGGAAATATTTTTATTTCTTAGTGTGTACAGAATTACAAGCTCCCTAACAGAAAAATAGCATCTAGACCCCTTAAATATCTTCACACAATACAACATGAACATGGCTTCTGCCTCAGCTGCACTCTTTGAAGCTTAATTTCCTCATTCACCAATCATTCCTGGAACTGAGTGACCTTTGGTCTTTCAGCGTAGAGCCTCTCTCCGGTCCTGGCAGGCCTCTCTGCCTGGAGAGCTGACCTGAAGAGGTCAGGAGACACAGGCCTTGCCTGGCAACATTTTTCTCCATTTTAATAAGTCTCATTTGCCCGTTAAGACTCGTGCTTTTTTGAGTTCCTGATTCACGCCAAGCACATTTACTTGGCATTTTGGCTTAAAGAGAACTAAGGTTTTAACCCATTCAGGACTATTTTTCTGACTAGTTCTGGAAGCTTAAATTTTTGCCTAATTACTCCCCAAGCACTGCCAGCTCGCTGCTCACATGTTCTCTTATGTCTCTCATCCCCCCTATAACTATAGCCCTGGCTAGCTTACCCCCCAGTGCACACACATATGCACAGGTACGCACACTTATTTTGACATAGATGATGGGCAAATTATCTTTACAGTGCTAGAATGTTGGAGATTTATTCTTTTAATTAATACAACTAAGGCCAGGGAGGAGAAACCTTTGGAGATGTTATGTGAAAAGGTACATTTCCTTTAAATTCTGTCTCTTTAATTTTTTCTTCCCTCAAAAACTTGTCCTTCAAACAGATTCCTGAAAGATTTGTTTTTCATCTGAGACCAAACTACTGGCTACTGATAGGGTAGAATTGTTAATTATGGGACATCAGAAGAAAGAATTTTGAAATGAAATTAATTTGTAAACATTTTTCTTTTTCCGCCTCTTTTGGGAATGACCCATATACCATGAAAATGTTGTCTCAGATTTTGAGTTCAGCATAGACTTTCATTTTCATTAATTATTCCAATAATTCACAATATCATTCCCTTTGGGAGACGCACAGAAAGAAAGTGGCATTTAGAGAGTCAAGCCTTTTCAGAGCAACCCTGGGGGAGGCCAAGTATGCCTGGCCTCTGCCATTCCTAGTGGTGCCAGGGGCAGGCTGTGCCTTTATGCAGGATGTGGCGCATCAAGTCTGCCTCCATGTGGGCCGCCCCAGGGCAGTTCGGGAGGAGGACACCACCCAGGGCACTCCTCAAGGCTGCCTGTCCACCACTGCTCTCTCTCTCTGTGTCTGTATGTCATGAGAGCATGTGTGCCTGGCAAACTGGTGAAGCCCCTCATCTCCTGTCTCCCCATGTCAGGGCAGGACCTCACTGTTACTTTGATGCTGTGCCAGATTTTTGTTTGAAACCACACCCCACAGATAGTTTTAGACAAACCAGTAATAACTATTATGACCTGCAAAATACTTTTCTCTCAGGATGTTTTGTTATGCTTTGAATACATTTTAATACAGTGAGGTAACATTCATAGACTCCTAGAGAAATCACCTCCAGAGACATCCCATCCATTGCCATGACACCAGGCAGGCTTCACCCAAACCCCCCAGACATAGGTGAATATCCTGTTTTCACAGGTCGTCAGGAAAAGAGACTCCACAACCACTCTGGGGTAACACTTTTCAGTGTTGACTTCCCTTCAGCGCTGTCATTATCTTTGTATTAGAGGGAAACACTAGACTGCCATGACCTTTAAAAACCCACATTTGAATGTTTTGAATCAGATGTCACAGAGCCTGATTGTCAGCACAGTATTTAGCTGGCATTGAAAAATGCAAACCAAATATTGACATCTACTCTTGGGGTTGGACCCAGTCAGACAGCTTTCACTTTACAGTAAACGCCTGACCTCCATCCCCTTAGGATCCCCTTCCACGTGGGATCTGGTCATCATTAAATGGTGAGGTTCTGCAGGTGTACTGCTATGTTTTTCTGCTCCCAAAAATCACAGCCATCATGTCTCTTTCCCTAAATTGTGTTAGCAGGAGCAGAACTGCCATAAAAAGCAAAGCACTGTATTTCCTAGAGTCCTTGCAGGGATTTCTGACTTGCAAAGATTTCTGACACTTGGTTAGTTCCTTTGGTTTTTAGAAAAGGCAGCTTTAAAGGAATCCTTTCTCTGGCCTTCCCCTTCTGTGATGCAATGCGGGAACCCCAATGTGATCTCTATGAGGTCCAGTTACATTTTGGCACATGGTAATCCATAGAGCCTTCTGCAGTTAGAAGAAAATAGGTACCTCCCTTTCTTCCGGCTATTTCCCTTGGCGAAGTAACAAGTCAAAAGCAACTGGACTGGTCAGGAAAGTCCTGACCAAGAGCTCAGACAAGACACAGCTCCGTGAGATGCAGTGTGCACAGTCATTGTCTGAGACCAAGGGCCTGAAATTGACACCATATGCGCCCCAGGAGTGATTACTCCAAGGGGGGAGAAAAGCAACATGTCAGAACATTTTAGTAACACCTAATTCATCCCAAGGTTATAAATAAATATGATGCTTGCTTAAAAACAAAAGTCAAAAAATACTTCAACTAGATTACTTCTGTGACAATGCTTCAGGCAGAGGTGAACTTTATTAGGGAGACAACATGAATAAAGAGAAACACATAACAACTTTTTATGGTATATTTTACGTGATTTTATTTTTTTTGCAGTAAATAAAGTGGTTATAGGGCTCCAAGGAAAAGGGCCCAGATGTTAGAGCGTTGTGTGAAATTTAGGGGAAACAAGCTGTAAAAAACACAGTCATAAAACAGGCTGTCAGTGCCACACATCTGGACAATACAGCTGTATGTTCCTAGTGGCTGTCGTCACCCAAAGAAAACTCAATAACCTTATTTCACCCCAATTAGGCTGCATACCAACATGATCAACATTAAGTTGCAAGGGGGAGCAACATTCATATGGCGCCTTTGTGTCAAACAGCTTTTATCTTTCATTTGAATTTAGTTACAAAGAAATAAAAGACTGCTAACATAGTCATTTCCACTATTATAAAACCCTGTTTAATTTATAATATCCTAATAAGTCAAAGTTTGACAGTTTGGACTACTGGCTATGCCAAACAATAGACTTTCTGTAGCATGAATCACCCTATCAGTCATCCTAAAATGGAGCCCAGCCTATCTTTTCTCTACCCTTTTCCTGGAGTCTGAGTCTAACACCATCGTGGGAAGCACTCTGCCTTATTGGAAAAAGAAGTCGATATTCAGACAATCCAATTTATTTAAAGTAGAGGGTAAATGCCCCTCTCTGTAGCATTGAGGCATTTTTTTCCCTAACTTTTTTTTTTCAGCCAGCAATGAAGTATCTTTCCAGTATGACAAATAATATAAAATTTCCTTTCATCTTTTCATCACTGACAGACTGTGCCAAAGGTTATAAAACATCACTTTTTCTAATAATTGTGTTTCTGTATAGGTGTTAACGGCAGCAAAAGCAATTATGGATAGTGGAGAGAAATTAACCTTACCACTGATAGGGAAACTCTTGAAATTTCAACTTCTCCAGATTAAATTTAAGGACCAACAGCGACGGGAAAATGAAAAGAAGGTACTGTACGATCTGGTGGGTTTTCTAAAGAGGGCAAGTGGTGAATGAAATGGAGCCAGGTTTCTCCAGGGGCACTTCCTCTCTTCTTAAGCCTACCATTAAGTGTTACCTGGCAAATTTGGCTGTCACCTCAACTTCTTAGGGAAAGGCTGTCCAAAGATCTGGAGGAATTATGATAAACCCATTAAAAATAGGTTCCGTAAAATATGAAAGTAACAATATTCAAAGCATGTGCCCAGGATTGTTTCTATGGCAGTATATTTATATAATAAAGTTGTAGCCAAGAAGGGACCCAAGGAAGAGACAGGGAGTCGGGAAAACTAAATATGAAAAGGACAGTTGGGGGGAACCCTCACAGTTCGGGTCTAACTATTTAAGATAGTTTATATGATACTCTATAGAAGTGCCTTTTAAAATAATAGGCATATCTGCACCTTCATAATAATCTGAATATTTCAGCAGCAATCCATCACTTCTACTCCTATATTGCACATCTGATAATTTCTTCATACCTGGATTTTTCATTTAATTTGCTTATAGAAATCAATCTGTGTGCTTTCCAAAGACTCATATTTGCATATGAAAAATATTTTAAAATGCTGTTAGCAAACTACTACCAGGTTCACATCCATGTGCTACCATCATAACCCAAAATAAGATGTTTTTCTTATTTTCCAAATCATGCTGAATTATGTTTGGAAAGCCAAATACTTCAGTATATACATATGTAATGTTTGTGTGTGCATGTGTATGTATGAAATGGATTTGCATATGAAGTCATTTCTTTATGCCTTAAGTGGAAAAGGCAAAATCAATTCACGGAAGAAAAAACAGAAAAGTGAAAATGCTCCAATAGTGCCTTCTTCACCTTTGCAAGACCCCCAAAATCTAGGTTTCCTATTTGAATTGGCCCCTCAACAAGGTAATTGTAGAAAAAAATAATAATGCCACCTTCCATTTTCAATATAGGGCTTTATGTTTTTTAGAGATATTTCCCATATAGCATGTTATTAGTGTGGTACATATTGTGCCTAGAAAAATTCTATTCATATTAACATAATTGATAGTACAGTTTTCCATCTAGTGAAACTCTTTCCATCGTGTTGGGGGAGTTGTACCTTAAGAAATACTCAGGGTAATTAAGACTTGACAGAAGAAAAATTGGAAAATTTGAAACTAGTATAGAAACATCTCTTGCCTGTTTAAATTCCAATGCCATATGGGAATCTGAATTATAAAAAGTAGACTGTAATTCTTGCAAAAATTTCTGCACTTTCTGTTTGCTTCGCCCTTTCCCACAGCAGTTAGAAATAGTGTGCTAAAGAGCGTCAATTTACTTGTTTACCACTTATTATGTCACTAATTGTTTATCATAGGAGTAGACTGTAGATTTCCTTTAACAAATTTTAAGTAAAAGCAAATAAAATATTCTAGTAGCTTGGAAAACGTTTTTAAAGCTTGCAACAATATAAAAATATTTTTGCACCATTATTTTACTCAGCATTTCTTTGAAATGTGAACTCTAATAATACAATTAAGAGGTTCTAAAGGTATGGAAATAATCTTTATCTGTTGAAAATTTGAGAGTCCTGGGTAACTGGGGCATGAACCTTAGAGTTTTTATTTTCTTTTAAGTATTAGATACAGTGAGAGAACTTTTGAGCAATTAAGAGCCAATGATTACATAATCTAATATGACATCTCCATTATTTTGGGTTCCCAAAGCACCAACCCCAAATCTCTGAGTCACAACCATATGAGTAAGTGCTAAATAAATTGATGAAAACTCATTGGAATGGAATACAATCGGGAAAATACTCTTGGTAAAGGGGAGATGAAGGCAGTTGTTTGTGGGATGATATCATTGATGTTCATTTCAACCACACTGCCTAAGAGGTCAGTTGAAACAATCAAGGTTAATGCTTGTCAGCCAAGGAGTTTGGCAATAAAGAAAACAAGCAGAAAGTATGTAAAACTGACACCATGCTGTGGATTAGAATATGAAAAAAAGAAAAGAGGACTTTAGCTAATCTTTTCATCTTTCCTGAACCCACAGTGAGATTCCGAAATTTCTACAAGGTTAGTGACTGACTCCTCAACTTTTTAACATCAACATATCTGTGTAGATGTTGTCTTTCAAATGTTAATTAATTGCTTACCTCTGTACAACCCAGAGTGTTTTGTATCTTCTATGTTTAATTTTTGAAATTGTATTTTTAAGAATCAGTGCTTGAAAAATATCCATAATAGAAATTATAGAAAATCTTGGGTGAAAGTGAGGGCAAAAATAAGTAATATAGCTAGGTACCTGTTCTAATGTTTTAAGGTATCACTACATATTTGATCCTGTTTTAATCAATCAAAACTTTTTAAAAAAAGATAAATAATATAGTTTTAATTGCCAAATACAGTGAAGAAATATCATTATTTTCAACTCCACTACTTTTAATAACATTTTAAACTGGGCTATGGTTAACATTGCTTTTGCTTTCTGCTTTGCAAGAAAGCTTGCTGGGTAATTCATATTATAAGAAATACAAGAAAGATATTTCTAAAATGAACAGTGTTAATGCCTTCAGCATGTAAATTTCTGGGATACAAATGCCGGCCTCTAATTGCAAATAACTTAAATCTATCCGAAAACATTTATTTATTTGAAAATACCTTGTTGATGAACTCCAAATATAAATATCATGAAGAAAATGCACTGTATTTCCATAAATATATTTTAGTATTTTAGAACTTCTGAATACGACTTTCTCACACAATAATTCTAAATTAGTTTGATTTTATTATATCTTAAAACTTAAAGTGTTTTGTTTAGAAATATATTTTCTTACATCCTTATCGCAACATTTGCTTTTGCATTTTTATTTCTATCTGTTAATAATTTATCAATTCAACAAACATTTACTGAAAGAAACATTTACAAAAGCAATGTACTGAACAAATATATTCTCATCATGTTCCTTATAATTTTAAAATAAATTGTTTGGTTTCCATTCTGATCCATTTTAATTTAGTCATTATCTGAATATTATATATCTACTCACATTTTTGTTTCTTTTTAACTTCAACTTTTGTATTATATATTAATTATGAACACATTTAAAGTCAAGACAATTTTGAACCCAAATATTTTATTATATTGAGAATTCAACTAAAAGAAAACACTTGATAATTAAAAAAATGAAAAAAAAGCTTCGATACAAAAAGTCATTAACTATTTAAATAATTGGCCAAATAAAATCTAGTCTTAGGTTCCTTTGTGTTTAGTTCAGAATGTTTGTACAGGTTTTGGGAGAAGATCCAAATATATTCCAACTGTGCTTTTAATTTATGAATTCAAATAAGTCGTCCATATTTCCTTAGATGTTTTTAGAAAGCATATCTTTTCTATAAAAAATTAGTTCTTTCTTTTGCTAGCTCATATGCATGGTACAAATTGCCCTATTTCCTGATATACTATAATTGAAGAGAAGGAAGATAGGCGGTAAAGAACTAGGGTAACTTTTTGTAATACTGGTAAACTATTCTTAAAACAATTCAAAATTAAAAGTGCCTACGTTTGATAATACATCATGATGAAGCCACAAGCAACCCAGAGCCTCCTCCAAAAGAGAGACAAAGAGAAATGAGAGTAGTTTTCACAGACACCTTCCAGCTTCCTCCAGTCCAAACTCCGAAACACTGGAAACCAGCCAAGGTAATGCCATTTGTGTGTGTGTGTGTGTGTGTGTGTGTGTGTGTGTGTGTTGTTTTAAAAGAAAAGCCATACGGACATACCAGGAAATTACAGGCTGGTTAGTTTTGATTCAGTTGTGGTTAAAATCTTCAGAAACTATTTTAAGAAATCGAACAGAGAAAGAGCAGGAACTCAGTTTAGAAGGACCCGTGTGGTTTCAGGAAAGGAATAACTTGCCTCACTAACTGGATGGAATTCTTTGAGGGTGGATTATCGAAATGAGGATCCCACTAAAATGGATGTTGAATCTAATG
Source organism: Homo sapiens (assembly GCF_000001405.40). Classification (NCBI taxonomy): domain Eukaryota; kingdom Metazoa; phylum Chordata; class Mammalia; order Primates; family Hominidae; genus Homo; species Homo sapiens. Next base: position 118,111,310 of record NC_000001.11, on the reverse strand, counting down.
AGCTTCAAAAGCCAACAATTCAGGAGAAATAATAAATGACCCCCCCAGATGGCTTATCCATAAAATAGAGTAGTCCTTTCCTAATTGGCTTGCTTTTAATTAATGAAAACTTTTTACAGACTTCAGGAAAAATGCAAAGAAACATACATCTTTAACATACAGTAGTACTTTAAAATATGGAAAAGCTATGATTATAGCAGCTAATAATTATAGTTAGCTATCATTATTGACTATTTGGCACAGAACTAAGCCCTTTGCACATGTTATATCATTTAATCTTTTAAATGACTTTATGAGGTACAGAGTATTATTCTGAGTTTGCAGATGGGGAAACTGAGGGTATGAAAAGTTAAGGAATTTTCCCAAGGCCAAACAGCTACTCTCAGTGGAAGAGCTGGGATTCAAATCCAGAACTGTCAGACTCCAAAGACCATGCTCTTAACCCCCATACATATCCTTCCTAAGTGTGTCTCAATAATTATGAAATGGCACTCTTGGCTCACAATCAGTAGAGTGCTTGCCCAGAGACATTTCCCTGTAGGACCAATGGCTGTGCTCAGTGATGTACTCACAACCATCTGGTTCCATTAATTACATTGCATTTAACATCCTCAGGTTAAATAGGGGGACAGTGGTCAAGGGAAGGAACAAAACTCACCAAGGAGGAATGCCCTGAGCTAACCAGCCACTGATTCCAAAGGAAATCCTGACTTAATTTCCAGTCCTGCCCCCCACGCAGAAATGGCTCAGTCTCTGGGGGAATCTCTTAAAACTGGACATCCAGAGATTATTCCTAATGTCCTTCTGCATGGTAAGGTAGGATAGCATTGGCTGATCTAGTACTAAAGTCTTTCATAGACTACATAGAAAATACAGAGAAAGAAAAGCAAAACATTTGCAATGTGTAACCCTATTATAATTAATGTTAAGATTTTGGCATTTTTCTTTCTGTTTTTTTCTGGGATTTGCTTCTTTACGCAGCTGTAATCATTGTAAAAATGCACCCCTTTTTCAGTTAAGATAGATTATAATTTCTACTCATTATCACAGTGTCCACTCTATCATTATTACTGGTTTTGTGATGTTTTATTGACTATCATAATTTTCTTAACCATTTCTCTATCATTGAGCATTTAAGTTATTTCAATTTCTTTTCATAATAAACCATGTACTTTGCAGTATAGAAGTCTCCATATTTTGGATAATATTCTTAGCATAGATTTATTAAATTGGATTAATGTTTAAAAATGTTCCCATAACCTTGTATGTTCAAAGTGAGCCCTATGGCCACTTAGACCTAGTTCTCCATTTAAAAAAGAAAAAATGGCTCCTGGTCAAATGAGCATGGAAATCACTGTGTATTAGATACAACTCTTGAAGATATTTAAGAACATAATAGCTAATTAAAGATGAAGGAGTTTTGTGAAAACCACTATATTTAATATTGTTTAACCTACGGTCTCTCAAATTTATGTGATCTTATACCTTTGTTTAGCCTATCTCTTGTCCCCTATGATAGCTTGTTTATGAGATAGGGTGATATCTTGAAAGAGAACTAGAGGAACACTCAGAAAACCCAGTTTCTCATAAACTACATAATAGAGTGAATTAGTTACAAACTCTGTGAGTATGTTTTCTTATCTATATCCTCAACAATACTATTCTGAGGATCTTATTATAAATTTTATATGAAACATTGTTATACATGAATATGTATATGCATTATTATTATTATTATTATTATTATTATTATTTTGAGACAGAGTTTCACTCTGTTGCCCAGGCTGGAGTACAGTGGCACGATCTCGGCTCACTGCAACCTCTGCCTCCCAGGTTCAAGTGATTCTCCTGCCTCAGACTCCCAAGTAGCTGGGAATACAGGCACGCGTGCCACAACACCCGGCTAATTTTTTTTTTTTTTTTTTTTAGTAAAGATGGGATATCGCCATGTTGGCCAAGCTGGTCTCAAACTCCTGACCTCAGGTGATCCACCCACCTCAGCCTCCCAAAGTTCTGGAATTGCAGGTGTGAGCTACCACACCCAGCCTACATTAGGCAGGAGAATCGCTTGAATCTGGCAGGCGGAGGTTGCAGTGAGCTGACATCGCGCCACTGCACTCCAGTCTGACAACAGAACAAGACTCCGTCTCAAAAAAAAAAAAGAATAAGATGAAGTATAGATATATATCATCAGTTTCACTGACATTTACCATTTATCTTCCTTTCATTGTAAGGAATTAGGAGAATGAATACTTATTAATTATATTTGAATTTTGACATCAAGAAGTCATTTAGAAATAAAATATGATCTAAAATATTTTGAAGCATCCAATAACTAGGTTGCCCTATTATAGAGAAGGAGAATTTTTTATTTTTCCCTTTAAAAAGTGAGAATAACTTAAGATTAAGTGTTCTAGATAGGTGTCACTTTATATTCAACTGAATATGTGAAATGCCAACACTTTTTTTGGTTATTGCTGAGACAAGAATCTCACATATGCTATGTAACTTAACCGGTTAAGAAATCTCTGTGCCTATCCAAAGCCGTCTCACAGTAGGAGGCATCTAGATGCTTTCTGCACATACTGCATTAAAAAAAAAAAAAAGTAATCTGTGGCAAACTTGACTCTTCCTTCATATGCTGGGGAACATGTGTTCCTCAAACATCGTGGAGAGAGGCACTTTTTGGATATGCCCCTCCTAAAATTTGCCTTGAATTGACAAGAGTTCCCTCTGAATTTTTAAAGTTGTGAGCTAATGACCTTAGTATGGGAACATGCATGCCATGTTATCCAGAAGCAAGAAAGGCCAGAGAAAGAGTTTGTATGAACTAACTTGAGTTTATAACTTAGGGGGTCAGCTTTGCTGAATGCGCCTGATCTGGTTAACTCCATTCCCACTCCCAGATTTCAAGACATAAACCCATAAGTGAGAAGGGTTTACTCAGAATGTGAGAAAAAGGAAATGAAAGATAGGAAATGATTTTCCTATGATTGGGGCTTGGTACAAAAGGATATTTCACTTTGAAACCAAGGTAGAATTCTAGGGGCCAACCAGTCAATCACTCTCCAGAATTAAAGGGACAAAGAGACTGTCCTGGTTCAACTTCAGTATGAAGGATGGGAGGAGTGAGGGATAGACTGAATCCAGGAGAGGAATAAGTAGACCACCATTATGGTCAGCCATGGGGAGAGAGCAGAATGCACTGGGTAGGGTAAAGAACATGTTCAAAAATCCACCAAAGACATCTCGACCTGGATCCGGAACCCAGGAAGACCTAGGTACTTCCATTCAGTTTTATTGTCTACATATATTTTCTCTGCACCAGAGAATCCTTTCTTTACCCAGGAAATTCTTTACATAGTAATACATATTCTACCAACTGAAGATATAACACTGTTAAATGGAAAAATGCAGGACACCAAGTTATATAGAGAGAACAATAACAGTTATGTAAAAATGATGCAGAAAGTTAATTCAAAAGAATGCATTGCACATCTTCTTCACTCATCTTCCCCAAGTGGTAGAATTGTGGTGGCTTTTGTAAGCTCTTTATATTTTTTTCCAAATTTTTAGTAATAATTTTTATAAGAAAAAGTTATTTACAGAAGTAAATAAGGATTTATAAGGGTCCTCTTTAAAAATACTTTTAGCTGGGCATGGTGGCATGCAGCTGTTGTCCCAGCTACTCGGGAGTCTGAGGTAGGAGGATTTCTTGAGCCCAGGAGTTTGAGTCCAGTCTGGGCCACAGAGTGAGACTCATCTATAAAAACTTTAAACATTTTTAATACTTTTGCGAAGGTGGGGGAGGTAAATATTGATAATTTTAATGTTAATGGAAATTAGTTTAAAATATACTGTTCTCCAGTCTCCCAAGTTTGGCCTTGCTAGAGGAATGCAAAGGCAAAAAGAATGGGAGAGAAAGGAGAAGTGAGCAGAGAGAGAAAGGGAAGTGAGCAGGATGAATGGCTGAGGTGGGTGGAGTGCTCTGGAGAAAGAAAAGGGCATCAAGCAAGTGTGATTCAGCCCCTGGGAAGACAGAGTAGAGGGAGGCAGACAGGTATGGAGAAATCAGGAGAGCATCAAAGACAGACAAGAGTATCATGGAAATAAAATGAGTTTAGGGTTTGAAGTCAGACCAGCACTCTCTACCACAGTTGTGTGTCTTCGGACAAACTCTGTATTAATTTATAAAATGGGGATAAAATTACCCATCTTACAGGTTGCCTTGTGAGATCAAATTAAAGATGATGATGTCTGGAAACTATACTCTGCTACTAGAATTTAGCACTTCCTTTGAATGTTTGGTTGTAGTCCGCCCTCCTTTCTGCAGAATCCCAGAATCCCAAGAACCAAATAGAAGAAAGGGCCAGAGAGTTCCTGAGCTTCTAGAACTCCAGTCTTTGCTAAAATGGCTTCAAAGGGATGAGACTTATGTGGCTGCACAGGCTCTCACACCCTACCTAGGAGAACCTGGAGGGCCAGAGGGCCTCTTACTGTCTAACACATGATGGGGAGGAGTATCTGTGAAATGATGAAATGAATGAATGAATGCATAAATGAATTAATGTTTATTCTTCCAGGTAAACTTTAAAATAATTTAATCTAAAATGGTTTCATCTTTTTAGATCAAAAGATCACCCTGAGATTTTATTTAAAATTGCAGTTGTAAAAGTTTCTGGTATGTTTTTGATGGCTACATTGGAACTTTTCTGTAGCAAGGCCAGCTGTCTACCAACATGTTGCACAGGGTGTTGCAAATTAGTAAATTTGCTATGATCCAAAGCTTGGCTGTTAGAGAGCCCTGCATGAGTCTTACCAGTGCTTCCAGGCCAACTGCACTCAGGGGCACTGACTTGTGCCTTACAAACCCATTAAAAAAGAGCATGGGTGACTGGCCTGGCTTTGCCACATATTAGCTTTGAGTTTGAACAACTACTTGCCCTCACTAAGACTCAGTTTTCTCCTCCGTAAAATGAAGATGGTGCTCTACCTATTGTAGTTATTGTGAAGACTTGACGAGATAGAATATTTGGACTATAGTAAGAATGTAATAAATAGAAATGTAATATTGATAATGATAAGGATGATAATAATAGTGACAATGACAGCCATGATTAGAATAGCCCCTTGCTAATTTACTACAGTAAATATTACTGTCAGTTTTGTGGGACAGACCCATCAGCATTAACTGAAAGTTTTCTCCCTGTAGACAAATTGTACATAGGAAGGCAAACTGTCAGAAACTTATGTAGTACCTCAAGTCTTAACTAGGGAGTTAGTTTAAAGGTTTACAGTCCTGATGGCCTGATGCAGCCCCCTGACCACATGGCTGTAACTCCCAGGTTACCCAGACCCTCCTATCTGTCTATCAGGAAATCTCTGCCCTGGACAATTTGGAATTAACACTGTTATTCTCTGCCTCTCTGATTTCTCTGATTCTTCTTTTTTTTTCTTTTTTGATGTTTTTTATTACTGAGTAATGCTCTTCTTACTGGCCTCTTAGTTCTCTAATGATTATTTCCTCCACTCCACCTCAGCCATTGCCTCCCTTGAACCTTGTCATCACTGAAGCCCTCATCACCTCCAAAGTCTTGAGATGTCCTGTTCTCTAACCTTGGAAATTTCCTATCCTTGTCTCTTACTCATAATCCAATATCCTCCTACATAATTTCTTCAACCACATTATAAATCCCAGTCCATAAATCCCAACACTTTCTATTCATTGTCCTCTCCTGCTATTTGTTTGGCTTAGGTTCCATGATCCAATCAGTATTATCGTTTCTCTGCTTACTCTTGATTCCCCTTGCTCTTCTCTCCTTCCATCACAATCATTTCGCAAAACCCCTCCCAGGATGAACTCAGTGATCCATCATTTTCATTTCTATTCCTGAGCAGCTAAACATAAATGGAGGAATTCACACAATTAAACAGACTGATTTCATGTAAAATTAACAATCTCAACATTTTCAATAAGTTCTCACCACTGGCAGAGTCCTACCATATTACCTCGGTAAGCTTGCTCCCCCACTCTCTGACATAAGATAACTCTTACGTCATCTTCCCTATTCAAACCTCCTGCCTCTTTCCTGCCTTTTCTCAGTTGATGACTTTGCCTCATGCTTCACTTGAAAAAATTGAAACATTTTCTCAACACCATCAAGATGTCTCTGTTTCTGGCACCCAGCCTCTTCCTGTTGTTCTTAGTTATGAAACTAAGAAATTCCCTCTCCTTCTATCAAGGTCCAGTCATTGGCACATTCTTTTGTTCTTATCCCATGTTGACTTCTAGAGAACTTCAGTCTCCTCAGCCCCGTATCTTCACTGTCTCCTTCTCTACTGGATCATTCCATCAGCCTGCAAGCATAACATCTCTTGACTTTACATATATACATACCTTGACCTCATACCCCCTTGCATCCACTCACCCACTGAACAACTCAGAGCTCTGGTTCTGCTTCACAACCAAACTTCCAGAAACAGTTGTCCATAAAAGTGGTTTCTCTATTGATACTGCCCTCCTATTTTCCACCTCCACACTCCACCATAATTGCTCTTCTTCATGTTACCTACAACTGCCAATTCTTGTCTTTTTGACCTTTTTGGTTTCTTAGTTCTCTAGCTTCACACTATATATTTTTCCCTATCTTTTTATCCACTTCGCTGTCTCTTTCTGCTGGCATCTCTCCCTATACCCATTGGTAAGCATTGGAGTCTCTAGCATGATCTCGGACTCAATTCTCATATTTCTCAAGAAACTTCACCCATGGTGATTCATCTCTTCCCATGCGATTATCTACTATTTGTATGTTATGCACACCTGCATTTGTAACTCTAGCCAAATTTCTCTTCTAGGGAGAGAATGTGTGTATTGAACTACCTTCTTGACCTCTCAAGAGGCATCTCAAAGTTGACATAACACTGTTAATATTCTGTCCACCTTAAGTAAAACTCATTTATCACCCAGTCTTCTCTATCTCTGTGACACCATCAACCACCCAGTTGCTCAAACTAAAATCCACAGCACTATCTTAATGTACCTTCTTATTCAGACTTCATATCTAATCTTTCAACCCATGAAGTTTCAATATCCAAGATACATCTCAAATCTATCTTTCTTCACTCTGCCAACACTTTAATCTAAGTCACTATTGGGTTTTCTCTGGACTATTGCGAGAGTTTCCTTACTAGTCTTCTGGTTTCCAATCTTGCAAAATCATAGAGCTCCTCTACTTAAAACCCTTTAAAATCTTCCCATTGCATTTTAGTTAAGACATAAACTTGTTATTTCTACCTCCAAAGCCCTGGATGGCCTGGCCCATGCTGTGCCTCACACACCTCATCTTGGGCTACTCTGCACCTCCACTGCTAATTTCCCTGCTGGGCTCATCTCCTTTCAGTTCTTGGAACACACGCAGCCTCTTATGCCTTAGGATCTTCACACACACACACACACACACACACACACACTACATTTTCCCTGCTTCTCATGTGTATGACTCTTGCCTTTGAGATCTTCGCTCAAATGTCACTTCCACAGAGAGTCCTTCATCACCTACTTATGAAAGTGTTCTCAATTGTGTTTCTATAACGACACTGGGTTTTATTCTTCATAGCAGTCACGAAAATTTATAGTTACATTTTTATCTGTTTGTTTGTATTTCTTTTTCTCTTTCTTTCCCCATAGGCTGTGAGCTCAAGGGGCAGAGCCGAGCCCCATTTTAGGCACCAATTTATACCTGGTGCAGAGAGAAATGCTAGGACCCTTTCACTCTTCTGTACCTTACCTGTGCTCTCGTTGCTGCCTCTACCCAGTGTTTGTGAGTGATACCTGCAGCCTTTACTGATGTTTCCCTCTGCTGCTGAGGAAGGCTGGGACAGAAACTGAAGCTCATAAAAATATTCACTGAATGAATGAATGAATAGATGAATACCAGCATCCCATACATTTTCAGAACTTCCATTCTCATTGAAATTCTATTGTTAAGATTACCGCATTTGTGTCATTGGGGATCGACTAAGGGAGATGTGTGTAAAGCCTGGCAAGCTTGACTTTGGCAATGCCCTCTTTTCCTTCCAATCCCCTTTTTCTGTCTGGCATGGAGCGGTTTCCCTGGACCTCCACTTCCACTCCAGGGATGTATTTTCTTCTTCGCCCCTAGCTCTTCAAAGGAGTTAATTTTACCATTTACATATGCTCTAGCCAGTTGGATTTTTCTTCACTTTCTAGAAATGGGTGAGGCCATTTCATAGTCTGTACCTGCCTCCACCCCAGGCTGTGAGTGACACTTGAAGCCCCTGCTGATGATGTCCCCTTCTGCTGAGGAGCAGGTACAAAGGGTGGCAGTTTCATCACCACTAGAGCCATAGGTGCTAGAAGCCATGGGCCCCTCTGGGTGCCAAAGCTAAGAGCCCTTAACATCCAGAAGCCACATGGAGTAGTGTAGGGGAAGTGCTCCTCTCCCCTTCTGCGTTACATTCTGTTAGCTGGATGTCAAAGCAACATATCTTCTCAGTACTGCCACAACATTTCAGTGAGTACAACTAATTTGTATTAATAAACACATGAACTGAAAGTGTAATTACATTATGAAGTACTGCACAACATTTTTGGCAACTGTTGGGAAAGAAAGAAAAGCGGGGTGTTGGGGCGGAATTAATGTTTACATGGTACATGCCAATCTAAGCATGCCCCAGAGCATCATGGAAGGAATTCATCTTGCCAACTGATGTTTTATTCTGACCCCATCTTTGAAGGCATCAAATAGCAACCATTGGTTATGTCTGCACATTCTTCAGTAGGATTATAATAAAAATACTTAGTTAATGCTAAGTTCCCCAAATAATCTTTTAATCTTTATTTAAAAATTGGTCAATACATTACTTGTACTATGAAATGCTTTATCAAGGAGATTTTAGCAAAACATCTATTTTCCTTTTTATTTTTAATTCTTGTTTTGTTTTTAATAACCAACCCCACCTCTCTCTGAGACTCAGACAGAGGCTCCCCAGGGCTAGACTAAAAGATAAACCTAAATTCCTGACACCATTATGTACTCAGAATTATCTTCCCGCCCTGCCTTCAAACCACTGGGGTGGCTTCTTAGGCCACACTTGGCTCTCCCATAGGACTGATTCTCTTCCAGAAGTCTCTGTGTAACCAGCTTTCTGGCACCCACTCCTCCAGTCCTCATGCATAAATGTGCCTTGTCACAACTTAGTCTCAAGCTGGAATCTCCACTATGCTGACTTATATAATGAATACCTAAAAAATAAAGAGTATACAAGTGATTGAATGAGATGAAGAATTAATTCACCTGGCAGTAGAAAAGCCATTGCTTGCTCACTGTTTGATTTGGAGAAAAAAGTGTTCTCTCATTCCAGGTAATAGAAGACAAACCTAAGTTAGAAAAGGATAAAGGGAAAGCAAAATCTCCCAAGGAGAAAAAGGCTCCAAGTGCCAAGCCTGCCAAAGGAAAGGGAAAGGATCAGCCTGAGGCAAATGCACCAGTGAAAAAGACCACCCAGTTAAAGCGGAGAGGAGAAGACGACCACACCAATCGTTACATTGGTCAGTAAGGTGCTGCTGCCGGCGGTGCCTTTCACGAGTGAAACACAGTGGCAATAAAATGAGACCAGTTAATTTGGTGACTCACATAGAGCGCATAGTTTCCTGACGCCAATTCCCCCACAATCATTTTGCCCTAGAGACACTAGAATTTTCCTGCCTCATGAACTGTGATGCGATTGGAGCAGTCATCCCAATAACTATGCTTAGTCTTTCCCAGCCTTTTCACTCATTAGAAACATAAATCACTTACTCCCATGACACCCTGAGAGAAAAAGACTTCTATTTGCAATTCATTTGTGTCTGCAAGCAAATTTTTCTTGAGACAGGGTCTTCCTCTGTCACCCAGGCTAGAGTGCAGTGGCACAATCATGGCTTATACTACAGCTTCAAAATCCCAGGCTCAAGCCATCCTTCCACCTCAGCCTCCCCAGTAGCTGGGAATACAGGAACATGACCATGCCCAACTTATTTACTTATTAATTTATTTTGTAGAGACAGGATCTCTCTATGTTGCCAAGAGTGGCCTTGAACACCTGGGCTCAAGTGACTCTCCCTCCTCAGCCTCCCACAGTGCTGAGATTACAGGCATGAGCCACTACACCTGGCTCTCTTAAACAAATATTTATTAAGCATGTGTCTTGCTAGGCACATTTACACAGTGCAAATAAAGGCTGAGATAGCCAGTTGACTGTGCTGCCAAGGAGCTTACTATCTTGTTGGGCACATATAGGAAAGTCAGACATAATTATAAAGCAAAATAAAAAGTGATTATGGTCATGAGTGAAACACAGTGGTAATAAAATCAGATCAGTTAATTTGGTGACTCACATAGAGCACATAGTTTCCTACCCCAACTCCCCCACAATCATTTTGCCCTGGATAGAGACACTAGAATTTTTCTTTCATTTTAGTTTCTTAATATAAAAATGATTCATCCTAGGCAGCTGTAAGTAATTCATTCCTGCCTTCCCTTGAATGCAAATGAGCTACCTGTTGTTATCTGCATATTTAAATGAGATAGCAGAGGGCTTTCCCATCCTTTACCAGTTGACTCCCCTCATGCATCTCTGCTCTAAATCCAGTAGACTTGGAAGAAGTGATATTATGAAGTCCATGGGCAATATCAACATTGATTAGTTTAGTGATAGAAGAAAAGTCATAACTTAAAAATGAAAAGTTGTGCCTCTGTTGCACTATTTATATATTGATCTTAATGGGCTTTTGTGAAATGTAGTGCTTTTTTGTACCATGTGCTATCAGTATTAAAGTATAACAATTATTCTTACCCTGCAGAATGTCACATTCTAAAATAAGATCATGTCTTAATATTAATAAAATAGTATAACCAGGGCCAAATAAAGGAGAAAAATGTTAGGAAAGTAAGTGCACACTATGTATTTTAAATTTTTAATGCAATAAATACATAGTTACTACATAATCCATACTCGGGATTCACACCCATTGACATAAGTGCATACAACACTTTTTAAGGGAGCATGTCCATATTCATTATTTCCCTCTCCTGTAAACACCTCTACTTATAAAATACCACAAAGCTGTAGCTATTTCTAATTCAGGAGTAAAGCCAGATGTTGCTCAAAAGAGATTAGAACCCAAAAAAGTTACAGGCTAAACTCTTAACAAAAACCCAAGCACACATTTTATATGACCACAAGCCCCATATAGGTTTGTCCTTCTATTACGCCTATGTCGCATTTGCAAAAGTGATTTAATATTTTGTAAAATAGTCACAGCCGTCTTACTGGAAGGGCAATAATGAAAAACAGTCAACATGACTGCATTCCAGCCAACTGGATCATTTTTGGCAAGCCAGAGGGATTATAAATGCATGCATAATGTATATAGCCATTGAACTGGCTGAGTGCAACCTGCTCTCTTTTACAATGATGGCTGCTCTTCTTTATGGTATTTTGAACAGACGATGAGCCAGATGATGGTGCCCAACATTACATTATAGTTGTGGGCTTTAACAATCCTCAGCTATTAGCAATTATGGCTGAGCTTGGCATTCCTATAACCAGCGTGATTAAAATATCTTCAGAGAATTATGAACCTCTGCAGACACACCTGGCAGCAGTTAACCAGCAGCAGGAAGTTCTTCTTCAGTCAGAAGGTATGCAGTCTGCTACACAACTTACTGAGTCCTTCAATATTACCCACTGTCCTTAAAGTACAAATATAATTTTCTGTCCAAAACATAGTCTTACAATTAGTACATTATTAAATCTTTTCAAGACTTTGATTTGCCATTTACTCTGCTTGCACCAGCCAAGTGTTGTAAATTTTGCAAATTAAAATCATACCCTGTATTTATATCCCCTGTATCATACCCTGTATTTATAGCCACAGAAAACAGACTGCAGTTCAGAAGACTTGGTTATCCAACTGCCTTTTCTGGAGTATTTGATCTATAAGTTTTACCTAAAGGATGCGCTGGATGAATCACTGTTAATAATCTGTTCTTGCAGAAGTCACAGTTCAAGTAGCCCAAGGGAGGTCACAGCCTTAGATTCTTGCCCTGTTCTGCTATTGTCTTATTATGAGAAATCACTGGGGTGCTATCTTCCTAGCCTTAGACTAGCAAGTTGTGGGATGAAGTTCCAATCATGCTACCATTTAGCCATTTTGAGCCTTGAGGTCTTCATCTAAGAAGATTATCCTAGATGACTTCTGTTGAAGGGAAGCAAAAAGCCACTGTATACTTTAGGAAATAGAACTAGAATTTGGTGTAAGATTGTGTTACCAGATGCCCAAGTTTTTTCTGCCATATGCTGTTGCTTTTATTGTTATTTATTAATAATATCATTTGCACAGTGTTTTGTATCTTATGCAGCCACATCCCAATTTTTATAACACTACATTTTTAAATTGCTGCTCTATAAAGTTAGAAATAGCTACCCTTGATAATACTAATAGGTCTCATATATTGGGCACATGTCTTGGGACTAGGCTCAATGCTAAGGACATTAAGTACATTGATTCATGTGGTTTTCACAACAAGCCTAGGAAGTATGTTTTATTGTTTCCATTTTACAAAAATGGACTCTCAGTCTAGAGGCAGCTATTAAGTTAAAAAGTTGAGGTTCAAACCTAGGCTATTCCTGATGATCTCAAAGGATAGTTATAATACTAAATGGTTTATTATTGAAGTGAGAAAATGCTGCATAAGCTCCAAACACAGTCTCTCTGTAAAAATATTTAATATATAAAAATAAAATATTAAAAAATAGACTTTATAATAGAATAATGAGATCTTAGTAGTAGAAACTACTATTTAATTATAGATGTAATAAGCATAAATATTTCGGGCAAATTTTTAAGCATAATTTTATGGAAATCTGTCATTATTTTACAGTAAAAGTACAAATACCCAGAGAAGCCTATTGCTATTTAATGTGACCAAAAGGTAACTGAAACATACAACATTGATCCACTCTGTTTTCAGCAATATAAGAAGGAGAACCAGATAAACTGCATTTGTAATCAGTTATGTAGCAGACACTAAGTTGATTTAAAAAGTGATATGGCAGAAAAACTGGTCCTATGTAGATTGTCATCTAAGAGTGATGGAAATCTTGAACATATTTAGCTCCCAAAATGTGTGACGTAGTCATAATCTTCCTGGGCCTCAACTATAAAATGAAGGCATGAGATAAGTTCATATTTAAAATGAATCTCAGAAATAAAGTTCTCTGATTTCACAATTGTATACTCCGACTTCAAAAATTTATCAAAATTACATTCCTTTATTTACATTTTCTGGTACTGTACAGATATCTTGCAATGCATATGACTCACCATGTTCACTTAAAGTGGGAAAACATTTAACACTCTCATTTGGTAATATAAACATGTTGCTATTATTAGATCTAGAAGCAGAAAAATTGAAGAAAGAAAATGCCATAAAAGAGCTTAAAACTTTCTGGAAGTACTTGGAACCAGTCCTGAATAATGAGAAACCTGAAACAAATCTCTTTGATGTTGCTCGACTTGAGTACATGGTCAAAGCAGCTGATTTTCCTTCTGACTGGTCAGATGGTGAGATGATGGTTAGTACACACATTACTGAGAGTGCATGGTTTTAACATGTGACACAGTGGTTCTATTTGCTCCATTTATTCATCACATAGATAGTTACTGAGCGCTGATTACAAGGCATTGAGCTAGGCTCTTTTATCTTCAGGATAATGATAATATGGAATGCTCAATGATAGTTATAGTCTGATTCATTAGCTTTTAGTGTGTGAATTAACAACAAATAATAAGATGTAGTAGATGAGGATCAAAAGGATGGTGATTCTTTTATATGGTGACACGTGGCTTTGTTTTAAAACTCAACAATGTTCTAGACAGTAATTAGAATCTTCATATGTATTAATTTTAAAATAGTAAATTTCATAGTTTGTTAAATTACATGTCTGACTTTTTATGTTTCAGTTCATACATTGCTTTTCTAAGCCCTTGCTTTTATTCCCCCCTTTTTTTTTTTTTGAGACAGTCTTGCTCTGTTGCCCAGGCTGAAGTGCAGTGGTGTGATCTCACTGCAACCTCCGCCTCCTGAGTTCAGGTGATTCTCTTGCCTCAGCCTCCCATGTAGCTGGGACTACAGGCACGTGCCACCATGCCCAGCTAATTTTTGTATTTTTAGTAGAGATGGGGTTTCGCCATGTTGGCCAGGCTGGTCTCGAACTCCTGACCTCAGGTGATCCACCTGCCTTGGCCTCCCGAAGTGCTAGGATTACAGGCGTGAGCCACCATGCCTGGCCCCAAAATCTTATTTTTAATATATTTGGCCAAGAAGGTCTATCCTAATAGGATGACTTGACTTTGGCCCTGTAGTTATCAGGCATTTCCCAAGAGTGGGGTTTACTGGCCCCTGCTATTGAGGAGTTTGCAGAGAGGCAAGACTAAAACCGTGAAACAGAGAAGCAGTGGTCAAGGACCCACATATCTGGTGCTCAGTTATGTGAAACATACTCTAAGTTTCCTACTAATTCAGACAAAGAAAAAATGGAATGATTGGAAAAGTAGTGAATGACAGATGCATGATGGCTTTTTAACAAAACGGAAGGTCAAATGACTACTTATCGAAGATGTTGTGGAAAGTATTCAGGCATCCCTCTGCTACAGAAAATCTCTCAGGTCTCTTTCTAGTTGACCCTTATCCCAACTAACAGGGGCCTCGGAGTGTTGAATACCCTGCAGGACGATATATTTCAGCGTTAAGGGAGCTGAAATGAAAGCAAAGTCCTAGGGAAGGACCATATCAAGTGAGTGCTCTGAAAAAGGCTGGGCAAAGTGGAGTGTGGAGGGTGGATGGGTGTCTGCACAGTGACTGTGGGTAGCTGACAAGAAAAAAAAAAAAGCCGACTGTCTAAAAGAAGAGTGAGATCAAAGCCTGGAACTGTTTCTACAGCTGAGGGTAGGCTATGGGGCATGGACACTTCTGACTCTGAGTGTCCCTGGTTCTATTACCTTGAGATGGATATGCACTTAATGAAGTAAGTGAAAACGCTGAAGAGGGTGGCCAGACTTGAACCCTGAAGGATGGACAGGACTTGAATAAGTAGTAATGGAGAGATCAGTTTGAGTTATAAAGACTCTCAGCACAAGGCATTAGATGTCACTATGTAGAAACACCACACTTAAGTCTGATATCCTGGTGAATCTCAGCCTTGTTCTCTGCGTGGAAAATGAAGCTGAATGTAGAAAAGCTGTGATAGAAGGCAGAGCTGGTTCTGGGAAAGACTAGAGACTCCAAACTCCCTTTGTCCTTGCCCCTCCCCACCCCTTCATCTAGATGTGTTCAGCTTTCCTGCTTTGTCTTCCACTCTCCTGCCTCCTAAACCTGACCTCAGAGAAGGACCCACTGTCCTCTGTCCTTCACTATTTCATGTTGCCTTGGGTCAGTATGTTTCCCTATCCTGGAGATATTGGCATTCCAAGTAACATATGAACATTCCACCCTATTTTCTTGAAACTCTAGATTATACTAAAAAAAGTGACATATTTAGGGGGAAGAGGCTATTTCCTTGGGATCCTGAAATCCCACCTCAAATCCAGCTTCTTACTCTCTCTTCCACAGACCAGCTGTTCTCCCAAGCATGTAAAATCTCTGGTTAATAAAACCCACATCCACAAATTTAAATTTTGGAGAAACACTGCTCCTCTCATTTGGGCCAAGGCCTGGCTACATACCCTATCAGGAACTTGTGTATATTTTTTGTTCAACAAGACACAGGAGATCCCAGCCTTATAATCCCTGAACCATAATTCATTCAGAGGAGGCTGCTTCTAAGTCAGCCTCAAGCCAAGTACCTTTTGCTCCATCTCTAGCTAGGGCTCCCTACTGTGTGTCTTCTTTACTTTCCAGGCACAGGCTGCATAAAGCTGAAATGCAGAGTCTAAAATCGTGTACAGTCCATTGCATCATCAGAACATAGATGTGAACACTGTGGTATACAATGGCAACTTCAAAGGACCGAGCACCATTTCTAGCACTCTGCTTCTCACTGCAGTGTCCACATTTTAATCACTTCCTTTTAAAGAAAGTGGTAGTGGCTATATTTTACTTTTAAAAATACAGAATGGAACAGTTTAAATGGCAATTAAAGTTCAGAAAAATTATTTTATGTGGAAAAATATTACCAGTCTAGTTATGGTAGAACATTCCTGACTTCAGAATTGAAACATTAATGTAAAGGGTCTCTAGTTGGGCCATGAAGGTAACTGTCAACAATGAAAACATTCAGGTCTCTACAGAGCCAATTAGGTCTGTGTTGCCCAGCTTCCCAGACTGATCTATTAGTCAATTTGCAGGTATTTACTGAATGTCATCTTATACCAGGGCTGTGGTCTGGGTCCAACTGTAGTAATCTTTTAAAGCCCATGCATGCTTCTGTAAGATATGGTTTGTGAGTGAAGCACTCAGCATTGAGGATGATGGGGAGGGAAAGTCTTGAAAATGGTTCAGTCATTAAATTGGATTCTAGAAGAAAAGGCCATTGAATTTAATAGGTAAGATCACAGTTCATTTTAAACAAGATCATTTAATAAGCATAAAAATTATAATCTACCCCTAGTAGAAGCAGATCAAATGCATAGTGTCACACTTTAAGCTATATCTGTAAATTGATAATGGCTTCATATCCAAGATAGGATCCATCCAAGGAGCCCTCTTCCCCTTTGATTGGCGGAAAGCATTTGCAACCTTTCCAACCTTTGGCTGCAAACAAGCAGGCTATATTTCTGTTGAACCAAGGTAACAAAAGCTTTACATCAAATAAATGCCCTTCAATGCATGATAACTGTCCCTGGAAGACATTGGCAACATTTCAAGTTAAGACCCTGGTTGCTGAAATAATTTGTTGTCCTTAGCATGTGATTTGCTGTTTCATTTTAAAATGAATTAACTAGGTTAAGCTAAGGGATCATTGGGCAAAAGCTTTCTCTATTTCCTAGAAATAAAAACAAAAACAAAAACATATTTCTATGCCAGAATTTGGGCAAGCAATACCAGATTGAAGCTTGACTGAAGAAGCCTTGGTCTTAGTGGGAATGGGAAGCCAGCCAGCAACCAGGTGCACCATAGTGATTGGCAGAGCTGTGCACGTCACTGGACTTCTGCATACAAGGAACCATCTCATACCACCTTACTTCTTGAACTCAGACATAGGATGAGCCTATTTCATTCTTCTTTGCTTCCAGGCAGACAGACCCAGCCATCACAATGCTTTCCTACTTCTGGAAACAAAAGCCCAAGTAATAGAGGTATCTGAGCTACAATTTGCTTGTCAGCTCATAAAACTTGTGGGTATTATAGAAGCAATAGTCTATTAGGATTTCTTAGTGTTTTGCTGTAGAGGTAGAACAGGTGAAAGGAAAGAAGTGGAGCTTGGAGGAAAAGAAGAAATACTGATTGCCCACATACTTGTGTAGATGCAACGTACTTGGGTAGATGATCCACAAAGCAGAGTCAGTGTTTCCATTGTGTTCCTTGCATAGCCAGGTAAGAAATCATCTATAGCTTGTCACTGGCTGAGGATATTAAAGTTACCTAACGTGTTTAGGATTTGAGATACTAAGAATACAGGCCACACTGCTGAAACTCATGACTCAGTTATATTTCTTTTAGTTGAAGCATTAATTAGGCTCTTAAAACATTAGGCAGCCATACGGCCCTCCAAAGGAAACAGTCCATATTGCGGTAAACAAAGAAGAAGAAGAAAGGTTCAGGAATATAAATGGGGTCACCATGGTTGGGATTCAGTGGTTTGGAGATTTAGGGGTTTGCTTTCCTGTATAAAGTTGATGGGCATAACTGTTAAGAGATATATACCATATATCTGATTCCAACAGTGTAAAACTAGTAACCAATTGCCATTAAATCTCTCACTTGTAGCTGAAATTGGGCACTGATATTTTTGAAAATATTGCCTGCTTGATGTATGACATCCTGGATTGGAAAAGGCAGCACCAGCACTATTTGGAAAGCATGCAGCTTATTAATGTTCCACAAGTGGTTAATGAGAAACCTGTATTAGAAGCCATGCCAACTTCAGAGGTAGGCATGGGCTCAATGTCTTTAGTGGGATGAATGATTCACTGAACAACTTTATTTTCATATTTATAAGGCATATGAAGAAAAAGTTACATAAATACTTACATTAAGGTCATACTGCCTACTGGCATAAAAGATAGCTACATGATGGGGGCTTTGTGAAGCTCCTCAACTACCAGACATTTACAAAGGCAAGGATGGAACCTTCTTGTCAGCACTTGGTACAATGAATAACATCTGTGACAGGAAAGATATTGACAAAGTAATTGCAGTATTTATTTAGCACCTGGCTATGTGCTAGAGCTGTGCAAGATGCTGGCAATACAATAATGAAAACTCATTCCCTGTCCTCCTCATTGAGGTTAACTTTTAAAGAGGATGGCAGTCAAGTCAACAATGATTTCAACGTAGCATGATGAATGCTGAGAGCAGTCATCTCAGCTTGCAGTAGAAGAAATAAACTTGGTCACCTGATCTAAACAGGAGTAGAGCAAAGAGAGGGAAGTCAGGAAAACTGAACCAGGATTAGCGATGTGGGGAAAGATGAGTATGAAGTGCCTAATGGAAAGCATGATAGGGGAAAGGGATATAATGATATTCTCAAGACAGGGGCAAAGATGTACAAAGATATGGAGGTCAAGGAAAAGCAGTATTATGGCACAAGCCAGGAGCACAGGGTAGTTCAGTGATCCCAGGCTGCATGTGCAAAGTGAAGAACAACAACAGAAACTAAACCTGGAGAGGCAGGAGCCAGGTCATGAATCTCCTTTGGTGCTAAGTTGAGAGTCTGGTTTATATCATGTAGGCAATGGAGAACTGCTGAAGGATTGGGAGAGGGAGAATGGGATGACTCTGAGTCACCCAGGGGAAAAAAGAAAAACCTGTTTGATGCTCAGTGCCCCATCACCCCATCACTTTCTCCACAATTGCTCAGTGGGTTCTGGTAGGAAAAACTGAATAATGTCTATACCATTACCTTCTTTCCTTCATCAAGCAAAACTCTTTTCCTTTGGTTCTAATATTAGCAGATGATTTTGTGGTGTGAACATAATTATACAACCTGAGTATCCTGTTGGATCTCATCATACCAGCATTTGATGAGGGCATCTCTCAGCTGGGTATCTCAGTTGTTTCTTTTTAATTATTCTTTTTCTAGGCTCCACAACCTGCTGTACCAGCTCCTGGAAAGAAGAAAGCACAGTATGAAGAACCGCAAGCTCCACCACCAGGCATGTATGAAATCGGCTGCTGGAGGATCAACACCATGAGCTGGCACTTTAAGAGATAATGACTGCCCTCCATATTACTTTCAGCCTCCCTTCACCTACAGCTCCTGCATTTATTAGTGCATAGTCATAGTTTGAAATTATGCATGAAATTTTGATGGAAATAATGGAGAACACAACTTAATTGGGCAATGGTATTTTCTATATTTTACAGTGACTTCAGTCATCACAACTGAAGTAGACATGAGATATTACAATTATTTGCTGAATCCAATTCGAGAGGAATTCATTTCTGTGCCCCTGATACTGCATTGTATGCTGGAACAGGTGGGGAGGCTTTTTCCCAGGTTGTATACTTGAGTAAGTCGTTTCATCTTTCCTGGCTTCTGTTATTTTTACACTATTTTAAAATTATACTCATAATACCTAAGTGCATTCTCCTTTATAAAGATTAGAATAGTTCAGATGAAACTAAAGTCTGCTTAAATCTTCAGCTTCAATTCTCTTTTCTTTTGCTATGCTCTGAAGCCATTTATGTAACATTCCCTGAAGTTTTGGTAGAACATATCCTCAATACTCTGTGTCTGGTGTCATTTTAATGGAAGAGGAAAAGGAAGAGAACATGGACAAGTGGGTGAGGTTGTTAATAGTCTTTATCTTTAAAATTTCTTTCATGCTTGTAGATTTAACTAGATTTTTGTATTTCTGAGGCCAATTTTTGTCATCAGCTTTTTTCTTAATGAATATGTCTTAATAAGTATTTTATTGGAGTTTTAAATCTGATACAATGTGCTTTACACTATTCACTTAAATATGTTTTAAAATTTCCTCTGTATCTGGTCATGTACCTTTCCTCATGACTGATGTTATTTATTTGTGCTTTCCTTTTCTTGATCATGATTGTTAAGGGCATAGCTATTGTATTGGTCTTTTCAAAGAACCAGGATTTGGTTTCATTGATCAACACCTTTTTACTTTTTATTTTATTAATCTCTTCATTAATTTCTTCATCTATTTATTTATATATTTGTTATTTATTTAATTATTTTTAAGACAGGGTCTCTCTCTGTCCCCTAGGCTGGAGTGCAGTAGCACAATCATAGTTCACAATCTCAAACTCATGGGCTCAGTGTTCCTCCCACTTCAGCCTCCTGAGTATCTAGAACTACAAGCATGCACCACCATGCCCAGCGAATTTAAAATAATTTTTTTGGAGAGACAAGGCCTTGCTATGTTGCCCAGTATGGTCTTTAACTCGTGGCCCCAAGCCAACCTCCCACCTAAGCCTCCTAAAGCACTGGGATTATAATCATGAACCACCGTGTCTGGCTCATCTCTGTCATTTCCATCTTTCTACTTTCTTTGGATTTATTTTGTATTTCATTTTAATTGAAAGCTTACTTCATTTATTTTTAGTCTTTTTGCTTTATTTAAGGCTATACATTTCTTTTCGAGTGTTTCTTTGTTTGCATCCTGATGCTTTCAGTGTATTCAATTCTAAATCTTTTATTTATTTACATGTTTAACCCATGAATTATTTTGATTTCCATTATTTACTGATGATTTCTAATTTTTTAACATTATAATCAGTAGGCATTTTCTGCAAGTTAGCAAATTCAAATTTCCTGAGGCTTCCTGTGTGACCTGATGTAACATGGTCATTGTGAAGGTTCTATGTGTATCTGAAAGAGTTTGTGATTCATACTAGTAGCACATATGTAGCACTTACAGGCGCCAGGCACTGTTCTAAATGCTTTCAATATGTTAACTCATGTAATCTTCAGAACAATCCTATGAAGTAGGAACTGTTTTTATCCCCCATTGTATTAGTCCATTTTCACACTGCTGTAAAGATACTACCCCAGACTGGGTAATTTATAAACAAAGGAGGTTTAATTGACTCACAGTTCCGCATGGCTGGAGAGACCTCAGGAAACTTACAGTCATAGTAGAAGGGAAAGCAGGCACCTTCTTCACAAGACAGCAGGAACAAACTACCACTTTTAAAACCATCAAGTCTCATGAGAATTCCATCATTATCATAAGAACAGCATGGGGGAAACCACCCTCATTCTCCCATCACCTCCCTCCCTCGACACGTGGGGATTACAGTTTGAGATGAGATTTAGGTGGAGATACAGAGCCAAACCGTATCACCCATCTTACAGATAAGGAAACTGAGGCACAAAAAGTTTTTCAAGTTTGTTCAAGTAATAAGTAGCAGAAATGACTTAAAACCTAGTGAATCTGCACAGAAAAGTATTTGGATGCCATTTCTGCATTGTCGTCTTCCTTTTAATGTTGCTGTTAAGAAGTCTGATGTCAATCTGATACTTTTTTCTTTGAAGATAATCTTTACTTTTCTTTCTAGCAGCTGTTAGGGTTTTCTCTTTATAATTGATAACACAAGACTATGTCTAGGTATGATTTTATCATACTTGTCCTTATGGTGTAAGGGAATTATCATCTGATTTCCAGTCACATTCTGTGTGAAATAAAAATTCCTTACACTGTCCCATAAAGGCCCTAAAAATAGGGTTCTGAGATGTACCTGTCATCTCACCTCCTACCTGCCACCACACACACACACACACACACACGTCATCTACATAGGCCTTCTGGTTTTTCCTCAAATATGTTGCTTAATTCTATCTTAACCTTTTACTCTACCTTCTCTGCCTAGAAAGCTTTCTCTCTTTCTGGAGGGTCTCCAGTAGAAGTGTCAATCCTTAGAGAGGCCTTCTCTGACCACCTGATCTAAAGAACCCTCTCCCCACACAACACACAGCACTCTCTACCACATCACCTTGTTTTATTTTCTTATCAACAGCTTTTCTTTTTGCAATATATTGATCAGCTATTTTTTTCTTCCCTTCCCCGTCCTCCTACTAGAATATAAACTCCATGCAAGCAGTAACAATGTAGTCTTGTTCGTTGCTGTATGCTCAGCACACAATAACCACACCTAACCCATAGTAGACACTAAATACATATTTGTTAAATTCAGAAGATTCTAAGAAAGTCTTCTATCTTCAAATATCATTTTTCCTATCGATTTACCTTAATTATTATTGAATGGGTGTTGGAGTTTCAGGGTTTTTCTCTTTGTCTTTTAAGTTTTCTTTCAATTTTATCCCTTTGGGAATTCCAGCTTAACTTCCTACTAATGCTTTCTTCAGGGAGTCCAGTCTGCTATTGAAGTTTTGTTTTGGCAGTAATGTTTTTAATTTGTAAATTCTCTACTTTTTTTTTACAATTGCCTATTCTTGTTTTTAGTGCATGGATGTGACACATTTTTTCTGTTAATACATAAAAGGTTTATTTTAAAGTCCTTTTCAGACTCTATCATCTCTGATACCTCCCATATACATTTTTCTGGTTTTTGATTGTCTTAGTTTTCTAACCAATTAGATAATCACACTAATATTTGCCTTTAATTGCTCCATGAAGTTTTTAGAAGATCAATAGTTTTATTATATCAATAAATGATAAAAGTACAAAAGCTCTCTAGAACTTGCAGTATCATTATTTTATTTATCTTATCCTTTCTTGTTTTATTTTACTAAACTTAAAGCAACAAACATTTATTAACCATCTACTATGTTCCAGGTACCAAAGAAGACAGTTAATGAGCTCGGCGCCTAACAAATAGAAGTCAACCAGTAGATCCATGTTGAATGAACGAAGGCTTAATAATAATAAGGGGATGAAAAAACTGAAATATAGGAGTGATGGGATGATACTTTATAGGATGGGATGTTAGAATTGGACATTTCAGAGAAGAAACAGATTTGAGTGATCTTTTATGATTGAAGTGGGTCAAAGAAATGATCAGAGGATAGAAAGTGGAAACAGTGAGTGACTCTTCTGACAGTAGGGTGTTTCTACAAGGTAAAGAATAGGATGCAATTTTGTTATTCTAGAGCAGTGGTTCTCAACAGGAAGTGATTTTGTTCCCAGAGGACATTTGGCTATGTCTGGAGATATTTTTGGTTGTCACAACTGGAAGGGTGCTACTTGCATAAAATGGGTAGACACCAGGGACATTGCTAAACATCCTATAGTGCACAGGACAACCCCCCACAACAAGTAATTATCTAGGCCAAAATGTCATTAATGCCAAGGCTGAGGAAACTTGTAGAGGGATAGGAAATCATAGAGGATGATTATAGGATATAGGGTAAAGGGAAAAGCTGTAAATTAGGTGCCTAACTTGATTATGTTTCAACCTCTTTTACTTGTTTACCATGAAAAATTGAACAAGGCACTTAATCTTTCTAGACCTCACTTTCCCCACTTAAAGGAGACACTATTACATTTACTGATCTCATAATCTAATAACTTTTCTATTTTTGAAGAAAGAATGAGGATTGGGCCTGAACCCCAGTTTCTTCCACTCAATATCCTTGAGCTTTGGCCAGTCACCCTAGTTTTCTCCTCTATACAATGGAAAATAATATCTGTCCCCACAAGATTGCTGTGAGGCTTAAATGATCACATGTGAAGATGTGTTACATAGTACCTGGCTTGTGATAGACACTTAATAAATATTTAATGAATCCAAAGTTATATGAGCACTCTTTCCACTGCTTTAAGATAGAGTAAATATTAAGAAAAAATGTTATTATTCTATTTGACTAGAATCTTCATGAAATATTTTTATCAAAAACTTATTGTTACCATTTTCATGTTATCTATTTTAATAGAAATATTAAATTTATATCTACCTTAATGCATGGATTGCGAACACTTTTCCTTTTACTTGGTGATCACTGATAGTTTCCTGCCATTTTGTGTCATCAGTGGTACTTGGGTCCCAGAAATGGACTGGTTCTTACTAAGCAGTGGGAATGCAGCAATGAGCAGTGAGTATCACTAAAGAGCGGACCCTTACACCAATTCCTCTCATTGTTGATTTCAACAGGTTGTTGCAACTGAAGAAGATCTCGTCCCACCCAGTCTGCGGGAGCCATCCCCCAGAGCAGACGGGCTAGACCACAGAATCGCAGCTCACATTGTGTCCCTTCTGCCCTCACTCTGTCTCTCAGAGAGGGAGAAAAAGGTCAGATAGCCTGAGATAGCAGAGTCTTCATGCTTTGGAAAAGTATAGATCCTCTCTTTAAATCAATATTGTTTCAATTTGCATAGAATCTTCATGACATATTTTTATCTGAAGAAGAAAATGAAAGCAAAGCAGTGCCCAAAGGCCCCCTCCTACTGAACTAT
This sequence comes from Homo sapiens, assembly GCF_000001405.40. Lineage (NCBI taxonomy): Eukaryota > Metazoa > Chordata > Mammalia > Primates > Hominidae > Homo > Homo sapiens. The sequence continues at coordinate 118,086,706 of NC_000001.11, read as the reverse complement.
CATGATGCACACGCCCACAAGAAGTACGCACTACAGGTAATAATAATCAGGTTAGCCCAAGGAAAACCGATGTGGGAAAGTGTGTTTATAACTATTCAGTTGAAAGAAGCTAATTAGATAACTTCATCAACACTAATTAAAATGTAATGTACAAAATAGATACTTGCATACAAAGTAGGACCTGGAAAATGGACCTAGATACAGAGAAAAATGATGTCAGCCGAGGAAATTTGCCTGATTATTGAGGTCTAATTAACAATTCAATTAATTGTTACCACCACTAAATTTTCATTAAAACCTTATAATTATTTGCTTCAAATATCTGCTGCTATGAAAAACTAGTAGAAGCCAGAAAAGGATCTCAAAAGAGAGAGATGAATATATATGAGACTTTGGCAGTTTGTCACTGTGAATGAAGAATCAGTCATTTTTGTGCACCAGGAAATCCTGGCAACATAGGAACTAGCTTTTTGACCTTCAGCAAAATCCCAAAAGTTTGTCTTTCCCAATTACCATTGATTTCCCCTGTTCCCAAATAATGAGGGTGAAGGTATCATGTTTAGCCTTCTCCATATGCATAAGGCACTTAACAGCTTACTCTAATGTCTTCTGTCATGTTGCTCTTTTTCATCAGGACCAAAAGAATTTTGATCCAGTTCAAATTGAGCAGGAGATGCAGTCCAAGTTGCCACTGTGGGAATTTCTTCAATTCCCTCTACCCCCACCATGGAACAACACTAAACGTCTAGCTACAATTCATGAGCTTATGCACTTTTGTACGAGTGGTGAGTCCATTGCTTTGTCTTAGCTTAAACTCAATTTAATTAATGGTCATATATGCCTCTTAAAATTACACCCTTATTTACAAAAAGTATTTTCATTATTGAAAGACCTTTCAGAGGCTAAGGTGGGTATTTTGATTGACTACAACTTTCTTGTTTGAATAATGTCATTAGCAATGTTATCATAGCTATAATGCATAACACTCTTCAATTTGATACACTGGGGTTTTTTTCCCGTTGTGTTTTCTTAACCACAATAATTCCCTTTTTTCCTCGTTTTCCCCCATCTCTGTCCCAAATACTCCCATTGACGTCATTGGAGATGATGTGGTAATCCCATCCTACTTACAGAGAAGTAAAGGGCTGTGTGTGTGTGTGTGTGTGTGCGCGCGCGCACGCGTATGCACGCACGCATGCACGCATATAATTTCCAGGACAATGCTGTCCTTCTGTCTTCTGCCTGACCACTGCACTCTTTTATCATCATTGCAAATCATGTAAAAATTACAGTAACATTGCAGAGACATTATCTGGAAAGAGGGAAGAGCAACCTGGACCATGCAACTTTGCTCCAATTCAGCGATACCTGTCTTTGAATTTTCATCTTATATCCTCTTGTTGCAGCCACCCACAATCAATAAAACACAGGTTCCAGAAGAATTTTTCTTCTGTCTCTTTCCATTCTGTCCTTTCACAGTTCTTTCTTTTTTTAATTAGAGAAGAAAAAAAAAGAAGAGGATCGAGATAATCTGAATTTGGCAGGAATGTTCACCAGGGTAAAACTAATGTGAGCACTACCGTGGACCATCTCTGCACATGAGGACAGGAAGGAACTAAGAAAGAGTGTGACTTGGGAGGCAGATGTAGATATCTTGTAACCAGTGCTACTGGAAGCTCATATTTAATCCTATCTTGAGAGAAAATTCTGAGCACACTATTTATAACCAGAAATTAAATTTGTATCTAGAAAGATGAATCATAGAACCATAAAATTTCCTAACTGAAAGAAACCTTGGAATTAATCTAATCGAAATCTATTTTCAGATAAGAAAGCTGAGATCCTAGCAGGGTTAAATTATTTGTTTTAGGATTATAACAGTGGTGGAAAAAAAAAGAAAACATTCTGGTCTCTGGATACCCAGTAGAACACAATTTCCTTACATTACTGAGCAGGAGTCAGGAAGAAAGCCACCTCAGAAGTCTGATGGTACAATCTGCAATTTTAAGCACCCGCTCTGCACCTAGAGATACACAGATGAATAGAGAGCCCACTGTCAGCATGTTGCTGAGCAGGAGTTGACTCAAGCTAACAGCTTCTCACAGCAGGAAGAGCCATTTTATGCTCTTTGAAGACAGTGGGAAGAGGGGTCATTAAGATACAATATCTAGAATCACGTCTCATCTGAGTTCACTGGGATTTTGTGATATAGGCAGTCATTTCCCAAAGCAAATTCTCATTCCCACTTAAGGGAATATGTAGATACTACCTATAAGAAAGGACATTAACTTCCACAGACATCTTTACTTGACAAGGAAGCATTTGACCTAGAAAAGAAAAGAGCATGTGCATATTCTTCCTTACCATTTCCTTTGTAAGCCTAACCGAACTAAAAAATATTTTTATCTTGATTTCTTTTTCCACTTTTAAGTAGGCTTAGTAATAGAAAAAGCCAGGAACTTCTGAGTCCTACCATTGACTCCTGGACATGCAGGGTATAGCCTCGAGGGCCTGGTATGTCATTTCTGTTGTGCACATAACTACCCCCTTCCTGAGTAGGGGGTGAACTTCTGTCCTTTTTCTGTGTCCTGCCACCCTCCACTTCTCCTTCTGGCTTAAGATGTGACTCCATTCTCCCTTCAGCTCAGCTCTCTACGCAGCACAGCATTTTTGTTCCTGCTGCCACCATTGAAACCTCACACATATGCTGCTTACATGCCCCATCCTGGACCCTTGGTGCTCCTCCCCTCTTCCTCTTTTCCCTTTTGCCACATCATGCTTAACAAGTCCAAAACCAAGCTCTTGATTCCTCATCCCTAAATTTGTCCCTTCACCATCTCCCTTATTTCAATGAATGACAACTACTTTCTATCGAAAACCTTGGAGTCATCCCTGCTGTCTCTGTTTTTGTTTTTGTTTTTTTGAGACAGAGTCTCACTCTGTCGCCAGGCTGGAGTGCAGTGGTGTGATCTCAGCTCAATATAACCTCCACCTCCTGGGTTCAAGCGATTCTCCCACCTCAGCTTCCTAAGTAGCTGGGATTACAGGCGCACGCCATCATGCGCAGCTAATTTTTGTATTTTTAGTAGAGATGGGCTTTCACCATGTTGGTCAGGCTGGTCTCGAACTCCTGACCTCGTGATATACCCACCTCGGTTTCCCAAAGTGCTGGGATTACAGGAGCGAGCCACCGCGCCCCACCGCTGTCTCTGTTTTCTCACACACTGCAATCAATCCCACCATACTCCTCACTACCATCCCAGCCCAGTCCCCCACCACCCCTCAAGTGGACTATTCCAATAGCTTTCCAGCTGGTCTACAGGCTTTCAATTTTTTACCAACAGTCTTTTTTCCACACAACCACCTGAATGGCCCTTCTAAAATGTTGGTTGGATCATGTGCCTTTGTAACTGAAAACTCTGCAGCAGTCACCCAGAATAAATCCTAAACTGGGCCAGGTGCTTGGCTCATGACTATAATTCCAGCACTCTGGGAGGCCGAGACGGGTGGATCACTTGAGCTCAGGAGTTTGAGACCAGCCTGGCCGACATGGCAAAACCCATCTCTACAAAAAATACAAAATTAGCCGGGTGTGGTGGCACGTGCCTGCAGACCCAGCTACTTGGGAAGCTGAGGTGGGAGAATCACCTGCACTCCAGCCTGGGTGAACCTGTCTCAAAAAACAAAACAAAACAAAAAGCAACAATAAGAACCTAAACTGTCTGCCACCTACTTTTTGAGCCATCACCTATCAAGCTGTCATGTTCCATTCTCCCTCATCTACACTGGCCTCACTGTGATTCCTTGAACATGTAAGTCACACCCCTGCCTCAGGATCGTTGCATTTGCTGTTTTCCCTTCCTCAGTCACTTTCCCCCAGATATCCATACAGCTTGCTCCCCTACTTCCTTCACATTTTTGCTTAATTGTTCAGAGGACTTTTCCATGACTGCTTTATATAAACTAGAAGCCCCTCCCTGACTATTATCACTTTTTGTCCCCTCAGCTGGCTTTATTCTTTTTGTCATCTCTTTTATCTCTTACATTTATCTGTTTCCAACGACTAGAATGGATATTCCATGAGAGCAGGGAGCTCACTATTTTGTTCACCATTGTGTTCCCAGCTTTCATTATAGTTAATGATGCCTAATAGGGGCTCAAAAAATATTTGAGAAATGAACAAATGAGCAATCTCTCCTTCCTTCTGTAACTCTTTTACCTCTTCCTTGTCTCTCTTCTGAATCTCCCTGTTTTTTCCCAAAGGACCTGCTGCTTTTCTCATCTTTGCTGGAGAGAAAATGGAGGTTACTTCTGAATTATTGATCTGCATCATTTTATTTTTTTCTGATTGAATTCCATGTTTATTTGTTAATTCTACTTCTCCTTCCTCTACCTTGGAACTTCTAAAGTGTAAGAGCCAAATCTTGATTCTTTCAAATCCCAGGCACCTGTGACAAAGCCTAATACGTAGAAAATAATAACCAATGAAAGAGTGAGCAAGTGAATAAATGCTGTAAAAAGGTAAATACACAATTATAAAGCCTGCTGAAAGCTGATAAACTTTGAAGTGCAATTATGGAAAATACTGCAGCAGTTTATGTGCACAGGAGGAAGCCTTTCCTGAGCCCAAATCAATAGAAAAACTCAGTCAATATAATAGCCTATATTAGGCATAAGTAAATAATTTCTCTGTTTTAAATTACAACAGGAGAAAAGGGTGCTTTCACTCAAAAATAATAAGTTGTGTAAGCATATTCAACCAATATGGTACCCTGGAAAGTCCATGCAAATGAATCTGGACACCTAATATTGATTGAGCTATGAAGCAGTTTGGGAGCATTATAATTTGCTAAATTTTATCTTTACTGTGTTGTTTGCTTATCCTCAGGTACCTTTGATATTTGCGGCAGACTGGGGAGCCAATGTTTAAAATCAGCTCAACAGCCATTGTGGCGTGACTCTCTTGTCTTTCTGGTAGACAGACTCCCTGGTTATCCCTCTGTCAACCCTGTACCATGTGCTAATAAGAACATTTCCAGCAGCACTGGTTCTGCTTTCTTACAGATGTCTTGAGCTGGAATGAAGTAGAACGAGCCTTCAAGGTGTTTACTTTTGAGAGCCTGAAGCTCTCTGAGGTTGATGAAAAAGGGAAACTGAAACCTTCTGGGATGATGTGTGGGTCAGATTCTGAAATGTTCAACATACCGTGGGACAACCCTGCCAGATTTGCTAAACAGATAAGGCAGCAATATGTCATGAAAATGAATACTCAAGAGGCCAAGCAGAAAGCAGGTACACTGCATGGAGGGAATGGAAAGCATTCTTGTATTTTATGATCGTCAATTTTTCTCATATTGTATCTCATGGATGTTCCTTACACTGAATAGATATTAAAATCAAAGACAGAACACTATTTGTGGATCAGAATTTGTCAATGTCTGTGCAAGATAATGAAAGCAACCGAGAACCTTCAGATCCTAGTCAGTGTGATGCTAACAATATGAAGCATTCTGACTTGAATAATCTCAAACTCTCAGTCCCTGATAATAGACAGCTGTTAGAGCAGGAGAGCATCATGAAGGCTCAGCCCCAACATGAGTCTCTGGGTAAGTTAAAGTGTGTGTGTGTGTGTGTGTGTGTGTGTGTGTAAGACACTATTATAGTACACATAAATCAAAAAATGTTTAAGATGCATTATTTGAATTTAAGTTATTTGGTTAATTAAACTTTCTTACTGAGTATTGTTGTTCCATAAGTTCTCTTTATTTCAACCCTTGTTTTTAAAAATATCTTAATTCCTCTTAGTCCACACTTAACCTTAGTAAATTTAGCACAGCAAACATCATTAAAACTTTCATCATTAGTGTTACACAGTTATTGTGATTGTGTGCTAAAAATTATAAACATTCATCTGCAAAACAGAATGAAATGTCCAGTACAGAGCTTGGTTCAAAATCAATGCTCAGTGAACATCATTTCCCCTCCTCTCCCACTTATGGCTCAGGCTATTACTGTCATTGTAGACTAGCATTAAAAACAGTGCTATATTAGTGCTATATGAGGAGGTGCAAAAGAAGGATATTGGTCTAAATTTATACTGAGCTACCTTACACATCACTGTCAGATTAATCTGTGTAAAATATAGCTATTTTGTTTCTCTACTTACAGCTTTCAAAGGCTTCCTACTATCTGCAAAATAGAACACAATTCCTTGGCCTACTTCTCCAGTAGTATCAAATTACTTTTCCCAAAACCTTTTTCCATCTTTTTGCTGTTGCTCACACACTCTGTGTTCTAGCCCAACAGAATTAGGCCTATTTACTCTGCACAGCCTGCTCTTTTCAATCTCTGTGGTACCTTTCCCTCACAATATATCCTCCACCCTGAGTTCTCTTTTTGACTATGACTAGGATTCAGTGGCACCTCCATGAAGTCTTATTGGATGTGTCCATATGGAAATGCCTCTCTTAGCATTCCAGGGTCATAATTAAGCTACACTTCTGGTGAAGTGCTGTGGCTCACTCCTATAAACCCAGCACTTTGGGAGGCCAAGGCAGGAGGATTGCTTGAGGCCAGGAGTTCAAGACCAGCCTGGGCAAAATAGCAAGACCTCACCTCTATAAAGAAAAATAAAAAAATTAATCTACACTCTCGTTATGGCATTAGTTATTTTCTTTCAATTTTATAATTATGTATATGCCTATATTAAGGCCTCCATTATACCATAGCGTCTTAGTGATTATAGGTTTATTTTAACATATTAAACAACACCTAAATTTAACACCTAGGTCAAACATTAAACAACACCAAATTTAACATATTAAACAACACCAAATTTAACACCTAGGTCAAGGAAAAATTACAATAGAAATTGGGAAATATTTCAAACCAAATGATAATGAAAAACTGAGTATCAAAACTATAGAATGCAGCTAATGCAAGAGGTACTCCAAAAGAAGTTTATAGCTTTAAATAAATATTTTTCTAAAAGAAGCTAAAGATTAATTAACTAAACATCAACCTTAAGTTAGATAAAGACAAACAAAATAAATCAAAATAAAGTGGAAGAAGGAAAACAACAAAAAATATTAAATCAAGGAAATAGAAAACATAGATGAAAATTACGTCAATGAAATAGAAAACATAGAAACATAGGAAGAACAAAAATGCAAAAACTTGGTTCTTTGAATAGACTAACAATATTGATAAATCTTTTATATAAGGTTAATCATAAAAACCCATGAATAACTCTATCGAGAATAAAACTATATCAGGAATAAAAATCATATAAGGAATAAAGAAACAGAGACTTCCCTCAGATTCTACAGAAATTTAAAAGATTGCAAGATAATATAAACAACTTTGACTAAATGTGAAAGTAAAATGGGCTGTTACTGGAAAAGAATAACTTACCAATAATGACCCAAGAAGAAATAGAAAACCTGAGTAGTCTTATATCCAATTAATTATATCAGTAATCAAAAATCTTCCCAAATAGGGCACACTTAGCCTGAATGATCTCATTGGTAACTGATACCAAACACTAAGAAAGAAATAATTCTAATCTTAACAAAAATTATTCCAGAAAATAGAAAAGTAGCATATCCTCCTCTATTCATTTTATGAAGCTAGCATAAACTTTATAAGAATACTGACAAGGATAGTGGTACAACTGAAAGTTAAAGTAATTCATTAAATTAAACTCATTCACGAACATAGATGCAAAAATTCTAAATAAAACATAGGAAAACTGATCTAACATATACTAAATGATAATCATATATCACAAACAGGTTGCATTTATAACAGGGATAGAAGGAAAATATATACATTGTAAAATCAATATAACATCAATTAACACATTAGTGAGAAAAGTCATATAATCTCAATAGAGCAGAAATAGCATGTATAACTCTGTAGCAATTTATGAAACAAATCTTATTAAACTAGCAAGAGAAGAAACACTACTCAATCATATAAATGTTATTTTTCATATTACTACAACAAACCTTATATATCAAGGTGAAAAGTTGAAATAATTCCCTTTGAGATCAGGAGAATATCCACTATAAACACTTGTATTCAATATTGCATCAGAGGTGTATGCCAACAAGCAAGACTTTTTCTCTTTTAGATAAAAGCATAAGGTTTGAAAAGGAAGAAATAAAACCATCATTATTTGTAAATACTGTGTATGTAGAAAACTCAGAACAATACACAAAAAAATTAGAATTAATATGAAAGTTTAATAAGGAGGCTGTGCTTGTTAAATGATACACATAAGATGTCTGGAGTGCTGAGACTTTACTGTTATAATTATTCATTGTATTAAACATTTGTGTTTCATGCACTTTTCTTTGTGTGTTATATTTCATAATTTTAAAAACATTTAAAAAATAAGTGGTTATGGGCCAAAATTGGATAAAAAAAGAAAAAATAAATTTTAAGAAAGTGATAACATGAGAGAATAAGTGTTAAGTTAGTATTGACTAATGGTCATCTTACCCTTTTCATTAATCTAGAGGTGGGTCGAAAAGGAAGTAATCAATGGAATAGGATTGGTAGAGGAGGCAATTGGAGTGAATGGAAGAGGGAAGAAAATAACATTTATTTAATATTGCTCTGCTATATCTCAAGTACATTAACTAATACTTACATAAACATCAGCCTATGACAAAGATACTATTATCCCAATATCCCAATTCTACAGATGAGGAAACCAAGACTTAGAAAGTTTAAATAATTTGTTCAACTACATACAAGTAGGAAGTCAGGATTTGAACAGAGGGCTAACTTCAAACCAGTGCTTCCTCCACTGTGTCTTGCAGCTTCCTGAGTTCCAGAAATTCCTGGTGATGCAGCTAATGATTTAGCCATGCTCCTAGTCTCATTCATGGTGATTTTTATGCTGATTTTGTTGCCTTTGGGATTTCCTTCCTTCTAACTAGGGTAGATTCCCTATTTCTTTGTCCTAAGTACCCTTACCTATTAGCCTACCTCTCAAAAAATTTAAGCCAATAAATTAACCTGAGTTCTTATGGCGATAGTGTATCCTATGGGACTACAAATGAATGACAGGGAAGTCACTCTGGGTTAATATAGAGTCAGAATAAGCCAGGAGAGGTGTAAGGCCCAAGGTGTTTTCTTTGTTTTGTTTCATTTTTTTTTCTTTAAAGCAGCTGGATAGTTTTCCTTAGGCAACTTTTGCCACCTGGTGGTCAAACTACATAAATTGGTGTGCTGGATTCTGGAATAAAGTAGATTATTATATGAATAGTAACTTCCTAAATTCTCAGGGTTGAAAATGCTATAGTGGACAGTGTATCCTAGAGGCCACGCAATCTGGAGGGTGGATCTCAGGGCCATAAGTGTTTCTCCGTGGTGCATTTTGACCTACTTCCAGGAGCCATTCCATTTGAAAGGGGGAGGGCATCTGGGCTTGGTGTCACATTGTAGCTGTTGTGAGTATGGGACTTTGTTGTTGTTGATGTTGTTGATTTTACATTTCTTTCCCTAACTCTGAATCATACTTACTTCAAAGCCGCCAACTTTAATTCTCTTTAAACAAGGCAAAAATCATTCATGTATTTCCTGCACAACCATTTTAGCATCAAATACATATAAAAGCCTTTTCCTGGACATAAAGGGCTGAATATTTGTGCTTTTCTTAACCAAATACTGGATTTCCATCTGAGACTATTTTTGAACTTGACAGGGCCTAGTGGATATTTATGAAAAACCTGAGAGTTGATAACCGCGAGGTTTAGATGTGCCCTTTATGCTTGTTGGGTGTTTTTTTAATAAAGTAACTGCTTTGCAGAGGGATCTTGTTATCTCTAAAGTAAAACAGATTAGGAAAGCTGTTTTTCAAAGGGATGAGAAAGCATCCATTTCCAGATGTGTCAAAAACTACTGAATCACACTGTCAAAGGATTATGTGGTTGAAAGCAAAAATCAGAAAAAGAAAAAAAAATGATTTTTACTCTACTATTAAATAAATAATTCAGATTACTTTTAGAATGTTCTTTCCTTTGACAAAATAACTGATGCATAATTTTTAGAACATATTTTCTAAACTGGAGACTTTTTCTGCTGGATCCTTAAACATAGGAGGGAATATCAAATCTCCCGGAAATCTGGCAGACCACAGAATAGAATAATTTTTATCCACAGATTTCATATCAATTGCTTCAAGGACACATGAGACATCATGGTCTATTTAGAGTTATAGTTGGCCTGAGTTTTCTCTTCAGTGGATGTATTTATATAAATGCTGAACTGAATTGGCTGTATGGTTTTCCCCTAAATCAAAATGGAACGTTCATGCTGTCACCTTCACCAGCCCAAGGCAAGATGGAACTAGTAGCAAAAATGTAAGTAGCTGTGCTCCTGAAAGAAAGAAAAACACTGGCCTGTCCTTCATAGGCACAATCAGCTTCTCCCTCTAGAAGCCCAAATATGGTACTCTTTGCCACAGAATAAAAAGTTGTCTTATGCTTGCCACAGAATAAGGCTTTGTTGTAGGTTTTTTCCCACATTTCTAATTTCTCTATATGGCTCTAGGTTAATTTCCACGTTTAATATATGATGTAGATTCTTCTCATTCAATCAAAAGGAAATATTTACTGAGTTCCTGCCAGATGCTGGGTGCTCAGAGTACAGTTAAAAATAATAATAATAATAAGATGAAGTTTCTATTCTCCAGGAATTTACATATGAGGTGGAGAGACAGACCATAAACAAGTAAGTAGCATTAGGCATAGATACATGCTATGATAAAAAAAACAAACAAAGCAGAGGATGAGGCAGAAGACTCTTGAGAAGGTGATACTCGACCAATATGAATGAAGTCAGGGTCTGAAAAAGGTGAACAGCTAAGGGCAAAGCATACCAGAGAGAAAGAAAGTGCAAGACCCTCAAGACACAGCAAGCAGGCCAGTGTATCTGGAGTAGAATGAGCAAGGGAGAGTCAAAGAGTTGTGCTTAAAGAGTTAGGCCAGAGCCATTTCCTGTACAACTTTGTCAGACATAATCTTCATTTATTCTAAGAGTGATAAGAAGTCAGGGCTGTTCAGTTGTTCAGCAGCATCAAAGTATATTCCCACAAAATCCACCTCCCACACACACATACTCTATTTCTGTGATCAAATTTGCAAAATGCTATATACATTATCCATTTCTCAATTAGAGATTCACAATAACAAGAGCAAATTACAAATTCTAAGACATTCATAGTGAGATGTTCGTTGATCTATGTTAAACTTATTTATCATGGAACTCTTTCTTCTGGTGATGCAGAAATCAACAATATGAATGTGTTCCTTCCCTGTTCATTCACATGGCTGTTTGCTTCATAGCCAAGGATGATATCACCATCCCAATCATCATATAAGTATACTCTGTCATTACTAGGAAAGCTAGTGTGCATGACTCATATTGGTCCATAGTGTGCATGACTCGTATTGGTCCATGGAGTCCAGGTACCGCTTCATTTATTTATTTAACTTTTGTTAAGCTTCATTTGTAAATTAGCAGATGCTCATTAAATAATTTTTAAGTTAATAAATGATTAATGAATGGAAGGGAAGCTCTGCAGAATGGTGAAAGCGTATCATTTTCCAATAGGAAGTGCACTTATCTGCCAGTGCCTCTTTGCACGCATGGCCTGCCCCCACCCTAGTCTGTCATCCACAAGATAAGATCCACAGAAATTTAAAAAGGCTTTGTGATAGTCACCAGCACAAGAAGACAAATCATGTGTACTAAGAAGTTGATTTAATCAGTAAATAATTACAACTTTTAAAGATAAAGGTATATTGTTAGAAGTGAATGATACAGTCTGAAAGCAGAATATCTGGTATGATTTAAGATATATCACACAAGAAGCTAGGTTCTTTTCAAAGAGCTTAGTATAATTTTTCTAGGTAGGCACAGATTTAGAATTATGGACACAAACACCTTTCTGGAGGCACAAAACATGCCTTTCAGGCATTGCCTTTTCAGCACAGAAACATAGATCATATGGGCAACAAAAAAGCACAGCATTAACCAGCAGGGCAAGAACAAAGCCAGAACACAACTGGATGTTGGTGTCTTTGATTTGCAGAGCAGACCACAAACAATGAGATCAAAGATGATGCAGTCACAAAGGCTGATTCTCATGAAAAGGTAAGGAATTATTTTTCTGAAAATGTAGATGACAAGATGATCTGAGAAAAACCATGACTTGGAGTAAGAAACACTGAAAAAGAAAAAAGAAGATACTTAGAAGGAGAATACTGAGGCTAGAAAAGAGGAACTATTCGGACATCCCCAGAGCAGCTCCAACTGGACAGAAAGGAGTTAATATTGCTAGGCGGCTTGCGCATAACTTCCCAGCTCCTTGCTCCTCTCTAGACAGTGTGGCTTGGCAACCTCACAAACACCTGCTCACCATACAGCCCTGTAGAGCTAACGTTGTCTTGAAGAGAGTTCAGAAAACCTGCCTGTAATTGCTAACAGGACTCAGAAGAGTATAACCTAACAATAAAAATATTTAGATTATGTTGCCCATAAAAAAAAAAGTCAAAGGCATACTCTTTTTGGCAGCAGCTCTCCTAAAATGTTGCCATATGGATTTATACATATGCAGATTTCCCCAATTAGATGGAGTACATACTGGTTAGTTGACGGAGCCCAAGAGGGCTCCATTTGGACTTAAACAAATTAAAGCTGAAATTGTGTTCCTATGATATTTTAGAAACCCAAGAAGATGATGGTGGAAGCAGATTTAGAGGACATAAAGAAAACACAGCAGCGCAGTCTAATGGACTGGAGTTTTACTGAACATTTTAAACCGAAAGTACTGCTTCAGGTATTTATGGACTGTGATTCTCTAGGAGACGGTCAGATAGGTCTGGAGAGTCTGCTGTGATTTAGAACAGTTCACCTCCAGGTCATTCTCTCAGATCTAGTTCAGATCAATAGTCTCCTTTACTTCAGCTATAAAATAAATTTACTCCCAGCTTGAGCTATGCATTCCCAGCGACTCTCTAAAATAGTTTAAAATATACTTTATGAAAGAATGCTTTTATAAAATATTTTAAGAAAAAAAGAAATATACAAGACTGCTGCATATATATATTTTTTTGCTGCTGCATGTATTTTCTAAAAACAAAGTAAGGTTTTATTGGGAAAAACCTTATTTTTTTCCATATTGTTTATCCATTCTACTCAATTTCACCACATTTCACAGTATTTTCTGTTTTGATTAACAGTTCAATGGAATCTGTGGTAGCCAACATTCATTGAGCACTTACCATGTGCCAGGCACTGATTAATATGTATTATTAGCTCATTTAATCCTCACAATAACCCTGTGAAGTAGAAACTATGTAAGCAGTAAGAAACTGAGGCACCTTGACCAGTAGTGACTTTTGTCCAAGGTAACATGGCAGCTAAGTGAGAAGCTAGATATAAACCCAGGAAATCTGGCCCTGGAACTTGTACTCTTAACCACTCAGCAAAATAACAAGTAATCCCAAACCTAAATCCTTTTGTTGTGTTTAGCTTTTACACAAAAACTTGTCCTCTTTTGGTTTTGTCTTTTTAATTTGATTTTTATTTTTATCAAAGTTTTACAACGTTTTTTAAGCCAGAAAGTTCTACAAAGTCTTACTATGAAAAATAGCAGCCTCCTTCCCCCATCCCCACCCCACTCCACCAAGCCGCAGTTCTCAGAGGCAAAAATCTTCAGTGCATTTACCCCTTTCTTTTGTTACTTTACTCGGTGATCTCTAAATAGCAAGTATATTTTGTTTAGTTTTAGTTTTGTGACATCATTACCAATTGATTCGCTCTTGAGAACACAGCTTTGCCCACCCCCATCCAACACACATGTGCATGTACAGGTACAGGCTCACCCACCCCCACATTCACATTAGCACTTCTCCATTCTCTGATACTGTTAACAATATCGTAATTTTTGGTTAGATAAGTATTCAGAACTCACTTTATTTCAGTTATGTAAGTGCTATTCACAGCTGAACTGTGTGGTATTCTATAATTACATTTCCTGTATGGGTACCATTTTTATTTTCTCTGCAGTTAATAATTGCCTCTTTTTCTATTTGTTTAGTTTACTATGTATTTATTATTAACTTATCCCCAAATTCTCTACTACTGAGTAAGTCACTCAATACATTCAAACATAACAGATATTCTATTAGTTTTATTGTATTAGTGATATCTCTCCCATATTCCCTAAGCTTGCTGCACAGCTGTGGTCCTGGGCCTCCCTTTACCGTCATCCGGGCCACACCCATTCCCTTCCTTTCCAGTTAGATACCTGTTGCCTTCATCCCATGTGTTCCCTCTCCGGTTACTCTCTTTTTTGTAGAGAATCATCTCTTCCAGTAGCTTCCTTAATTAAGATAGACGGGAAGTAAATTTTTGAGGCATTCAATATTTGAAAACAGCTTAATTCTATCTTTATATTGACTGACAGTTGGGCTTTATAGTAAATGCTAAATTAAAAAGCATTTTTTCTCAATACTTTAAAGACAGTTTTTGACAGTGTTCTGACTTCCCAGATTGTCCTTAGAAAAATAAATAAATACAATTCTGATTCCTAATCAGTTGTTTGAGTATGTTGTGATCCTCTCCCTGGAAGATTTTAAGATCTTCTCTTTGTTCCAATGCTCTTGATTTCCTGTTGATATGCCTTTGTGTGGTTCTGTTTCTATGTATTGTTCTGGCAAGCCGGTGCAATCCAGAAATTCCTGTATTTATATTTTGGGAAATTTTCTATAATCATTTCTTTGATAATCTCTCCTCTCCATTTTCTCTGTCCTTTTTTTTCTGGAAATCTTATTACTCTGGTGTTGGACCTGCTAGACTGAACCTGCAATTTCCCTTTCTTTTTTCTTTTAGTTTCCATCAATTTATCTTTTGGCTTTGCTCAATTTCCATTCATTTCTTATATTGAGCCCTTTATTCCTGTTATTATCATTCTGATTTCCTAAAGTTATATTTATAATTTCAAATTACCTTTTTAAAGAATCATTTCACTTTTTCTTTTTTTTGAGATGATGTCTCGCTGTGTCGCCCAGCCTGGAGTGGCATGATCTTGGCTCACTGCAACCTCTGCCTTCCAGGTTCAAGTGATTCTCCTGCCTCAACCTCCCAAGTAGCTGGGATTACAGGCACTTGCCACCACACCTGGCTGATGTTTGTATTTATAGTAGAGATGGGGTTTCACCATGTTGGCCAGGCTGGTCTTGACCTCCTGACCTCAGGTGATCCACCCGCCTTGGCCTCCCAAAGTGCCGGCATTACAGGTGTGAGCCACTGCATTTCTGATATAATACCTTCTCTTATCTCTATGAGGATATTAAAGTCCTCTGAAGTTGTCTTCTCCATGAATTATCTCTTTTTCCTCCAAGTTTCTTTTCTCATTTTTTGTCTTTTTTGTTTCGTCTTCATTTTTCACATTGGAGGGTAATATATAATATTGTCCTCTTTGCTCATATTAATAATGAAACAATAAAAATATGATAGGAAGTGCTATATGAGGTGGGGTGGGGGGTTGTCAATAACTGAGTTCATTGTTGGGTGATTTGACTGGGAGATTTCCATAGGAGACTCACCATTGTTGGTATGTCAGTTCTGTTTTCTTGGGCCATTTAAATTCTCCATGAAAAAAAAAAAGTCTAATTTTCTGTCTGAAAGACATAAGCCTTCCTGTCAGTGTTTTGAGAGCTAGGTAATGAGGGAAGGGTATTAAGCTTCTGACATTTATTATCTAGATCTGCATTATCCAGTGTGGTAGCCACTAGTCACATGTAACTTCTGAATACTTGAAATGAATCTAGACCAAATTGAGATGTGCAATAACTGTGCTATACACTATATAAGTGCTATTACACACTCAATTTCCAAGACTTTAAAAAGGTGGCATTGATTACTTTTACATTGTTTATATGTTGAAATGATAAGAATTTTTATCTATCAGGTTAAATATAATATATCATTAACATTTATTTTACTTGTTTCTTTTTACTTTTTAAAATGTGGCTACTATAAAATTTAGAATTGCACATGTGGCTCACATTTGTGGCTCACTTTATATTTCTATTGAGCAGTGCTGATTTAGGCTTTTACACAATTCCCTTTTTTTCTAGAATGTACTTCTCTGTCAGTGTGCGTTGGGTCCACTGTTCTTAGAACCCATTCATCTACCATCTGTAGTTACCCTCTTCCCCTCTGCTAGAGTGGGAGATAGGCAATAGCCCAGTTGCTCAGAATTTTAATGGAATCCAGGGGCCTAACTGCTTCTTAAAAAGATTTTAAACTAATCTTCCTATTTTCAGTGCCACTTTCACCCCACTTGCAGAGGTGACTAGTATTTCCATATCCTGAGACTTTCTATATTTCTGCACACAAATGGGGTTGCCTGTGGTCTCTCCTAAAATTAATCTTAGGACTTGGCTTTCTGTATTCTGCTAAGTCATTTAGCATTTATCCTTCTGCTTTCCAGCTTCTAAAATTCCGGTGCCTTTATCTCCTCTCCTTCAACAAGTTGAAGTTGGCTTTCAATTTTATGATATTAAAAAAACAAACAAAATGTTACTGTTCTTTTAATGAGGCGTTAGAGAGTGCAAATGTTCAATCTTTTCTCTGTAACTGAAAGTTTACTTCAGACTTTATACTATTTCAGTTTTTCTCAGTCCTTACTGCTCCATGAAGCTGCACTTTTCAAGGTAATCAATAATCTTTGTCTTGCCAAATCTAATGGACACTTATCTTTCTTCATCTTCCCTGACATTTTAACAGCATTGCAGAGCTTATCCCTTCCCCCATGAAACACTCTGCACTCTTGGTTTCCTCAGTGTTGTATTTGGAATTTTGTTGACTTTTCCTCCTTTACCCAGCATCTAATATGGAAGTGCCTCAAGGCTCTGGAGCCTCCAGGAAGCCCTAGAGCATCTTCTTGCCTCTGTAAACACCCTTCTTTGATGATCTCATCTGTTATATACTATCTAATGCTGATGCCCATATCTTTTAAATTATCTCTCTCTAGAGATTCACATTATTATACCTTACTCAAAATTCTACCTGAATTTCTGATCAAATTTAGTATCCATCTCAAATTTAGTATCCTATATGACACTCATATTTTTCCCACCTAAGCATTTCTTCCCTTGTCCATCTCAGAAAAGGTCACCATCATTCAAGTGCTCAAGCAAAAAGCCAGAATCATCCTTTGTTCCAACCTCTCCTTTATCCCTGATACCTAATCCATCATCAGTGTTTAAGGGGTATACCTCCAAATATATCTTCAAGCTCTTCTGCACCACAGCTACCACCACTTTTTTTTTTTTTTGAGACGGAGTCTCACTCTGTCGCTTAGGCTGGAGTGCAGTGGCATGCTCTCGGCTCACTGCAACCTCCGCCTCCTGGGTTGAAGCAATTATCCTGCCTCAGCCTCCTGAGTAGCTGGGACTATAGGCACGTGCCACCATATCTGGCTGATTTTTTGTATTTTTAGTAGAGACAGGGTTTCACCATGTTGGTGAGGATGGTCTCAATCTCCTGACCTCATGATCCACCCACCTTGGACTCTCAAAGTGCTGGGATTACAGGCGTGAGCCACCACACCCGGCCTACTTTTATATGACTACCACCCTCTAATTCCACCACAATATCCTCCTGATTACCTGCTTCCACTCTTGCCCTGCTCTAATCCATTCTCTATATATCAGATATTCCATTAATTTCATCTTTTCGGACACACCTCCTTCAACTCCAAAATAATCTATAAAGCCACAGGTCTGTAGTCCCAACTATTCAGGAGGCTGAGAGAGGAGGATAGCTTGAGGCTAAGCTTTAGGGGCCAGCCTGGGCAACATAGCAAGGTCCCGTCTCTAATTAACAACAACAAAAAAATCTTTATCATATTTTAGAGGAAAATCTTATCTATTTTGTTTATTTTTGTTTTCCTAGTACCTGCACAGTGCCTGCCACACAATAGGTACTCATTTTTAATGAAAAACTTAACTAAATAACTAACGTAACCAATAATATTAATACAGAATAAAAGACAAGCACCAATTAGTAAAAAAGGGGAAAATAAGATATGAAAACTTTACATATTGATTGAGAGCAGCTATAGTTCTGTGAAACTTAGTGCTGTATTTTTAGCACCCCCAAAGCAATATGAAAACCCAAAGATTTCAAAGCTCTTATTATCTAAAAGAAAGGATATATATTCATCATAAACGCAATGGTTTTCTGGGTTTATAGTGTGAGCAGAATTTGCTTTTCAAAAAAACATCAGTAAGTACTAGATGATACCCTACATAACAATATTTTAAAATGCAAAGATATTCACCACATGTATGTTTCTTATGTTGGCTCTGAGGAAACAGATGTAAAAGTGCCACTCCATAAAGACACTCATTCAGGGGACTAAATTGGGGAAGCAAATGTATTGTTTTGATTATGCTACCAATGTAGAATTGAAAGCAAAATTAAAGCAGCCCTTTTCTAACATTATTATGTTATATATATATATATTATATATATATCACTCCATGCCTTCAGATATGCAAACAATAGAAAACCAAAAGCTGCCTCAGCAAATTGATATTGAAAACAAAAACGAAAGCCCACAGCTGTCTAATTTATTTTTCCTATTGACAATTTCCTTATTGTTGATTGGCAAAGGAAACAGGATAAGCAGCTGCCCACTGTGTCTCTCTACTGGTAGCTACCACCGCAGTGCATGCTGAGGATGGTATGTTTTAGAAAGGGCCAGAGTTGGAAGGCAGGTAGAAACGGTATGTGTCAGAAAGACCACTCACTTCACTTCATCTAACACAGCATGGTATAGTGGAGAGAATGCAAAATGGTAAAATTTAGAGTTGGAAAACAGGGATGAGCCCTGGCACCATAACACACAGTGTTCTTGGACAAGTCCCTTACTCTCTCAGCCTCAATTTATGCTGAAAAAATGAGAATTCTAATATTTTGATATGGGAAAAATAATCATACCTACTGATTTAGTCCGCTTGGGCTGCCATGCCAAAATGCCATGCCTGAGTAGCGTAAACAACAGAAATTTTCTCACAGTTCTGGAAGCTGCAAGTCTGATGTCTGGGTGCTGGCATGGTTGAGTTTTGTTGAGGACTCCCTTCCTGGCTTGTGCCTTTGCGTTGTGTCCTCACATGGCAGAGAGAGTAAGAGGGAGTGGGGATGGAGAAGGGAAAGAGGGAGGGAGAGCAGGTTATCTGCTGCCTCTTCTTATAACGGCACTAATCTTATCTTGACGGCCCTAGTCTCATGACCCCATCAAACCTAATTACTTTCCCAAAGCCCCATCTCCAAATACCATCACACTAGCAGTTAAGGCTTCAACATATAAATAGGGATGGTGAACACAATTTAATTCATAGCATCTATTTATGTGGAGTTTTAAATGATGATAAAATTAGATGGTCTATATCAAGGCATGGAAAATGCTAGATAAATGACTGCTGTGCTTAATTATTACCTACCAACCTTAATGAAGAACACTTGTAGCAAGCGCCGCTCTGCCTGATGCCTAGTATTTGTTTTTCTAAAGTGTTGCTGAAATGCTTCCCAAGCTAGCTACCATTTATGCTCTCACCTTCTAGCAGCTAGGAAAGAAACCTCTGGGAATTTCAACTTGACTAACAATGTAGAGGTGAATGTAGGAAAAAAAGGGAGTAGAGAAATGCCCTAGTAGGAGACCCTTCTCTTGGGGAAAATAAAAAAGATTCTACAATGCAATTATTTTGATTTTCAGGTCCTTCAAGAAGCCCATAAGCAATATAGGTGTGTTGATTCTTACTACCACACCCAAGACAACTCTTTACTTTTAGTCTTTCACAATCCAATGAATAGACAACGTTTGCATTGTGAATATTGGAACATTGCTCTCCACTCCAATGTTGGATTCAGGTAACAAATTTGGAAAGTTTAGTTAATTAGTTAGTTGGGTTTAGTTAGCTTGCCAGTTACTTAGTTACTTAGGTGTTAGTTCCTTACCCTAAGCTAGGGGGTTCAGCTCAATGAAAACATTTGTGTAGTACTATAGATTCAATTCAGCTCACTAAATTGAATGTCAGCATGTGCTGGGCACTGTATGGGCATTGGAGCTATACCACTAAAGAAAACAGGTGTCATTCTTGCCCTCGTGGAATCTAGTGAGGATGTTGTTAAATTACATTTGATTCATTTAGATTCCAGTAAAACTGTCTCCAAAAGATTTCAAGTAGGAACTATAAAACATGACATTCTGCATGTTGGGTTTTTTTAACTCTATTTTATCTGGGGAACATTCAAAAATAGGTCAGCTGAGTAATATACCAACAGAGCAGTCAGGTTTCCAGCAAACTGAGAGCCTAGGGGTTAGTGATTTTTTCTTTCCAGCTCCTTAGTTATTCCCTTTTTCTCTTAGAACTTTGTTCTCTCTTCTCATTAAGTATGATGATATTTCACTGTTATTTCAATACTGGTTAATGTATTTTCAGTATTATTTGTATAGCATTTTTTTTAGTTTTAAAGAATACAGAAAGATTTACAGAATGGACTTACATAATAATTGGGGGAATATACTGTATGTGGGCACACACACATTTTAAAGTCATAAAATGACTTTAAAATGAAGGAATTTGGTAGATATACTAATATAACACCTTGAACAGTTAAGCTGTGTTTGTCTTTGTTTTGTTTTTCGTTAACAATAATTACGCATTTTATCCCTTTGCCTTATGTCTTGGCTAGGATCTCCAATTTAATTTTGAGGAGAAATCCTTGTCTTATTCCAGATTTTAAAGGCAATGTTTCGAATATTCAACAATTAAATTTTTTTTTTTGCTCTAGGATTTATGTAAATATTCCTTATTAAGTTAAAAAAACTATTTCTAGTTTGCTATGAGTTCTCAATGGTCATTAAGTCATATCAATTAAATGATTTTTCTGGATCAATTTAGGTGTTTATATTTTTTTCTTTAATCTATGAAAGTGCTAATTTCATTAACAGATATTCTAGTGTTGAACCAAACTTGCGTTCCTGTAGTAAGCCAGATTTGTCCATTATGTTATCTTCTTTATAATTGCCACATTTGCTTTGCTAATGTATTGTTTAGAATAGTTACATGTGTATTCATGGGCAAGATTCAGCTATAATTTTTCCTTGCTTTAAATATTCCTATTTGGTTTTAGTATTGAGATTATGTTAACCTCATAAATTAACTGGAGAATGTTCTCCCTTTTTATTTTTATTTTTTCATTTTCTGAAATAGTTTGTGGAAAATTAAGGTATATGTTCCTTTGGCATTTGGTAGAGCTTGCAGATAAAAACATACGGCCCAGGGAAGATGTTTGATTACTGACACGACTTCTATCATGGTTATTAGACTCTTCATGTTTTCTACTTAATTTTAATTAGGTTTATAATTTATATTTTTCCAGATATTTGACCATTACACCTGTTTTCAAAAGTATTGACATAAAGTTCATTAAAATATTCTTTTACCTTTTAAACCTGTGTTACGTGTGTCTATATTCTTTTTCGTTCTTAACATTTTTAATCTGTGATTTCTCTATATTTTTCTGGATCAAACTTGCCAAAGGTTTGCCAGTCTTACTAATATTTTTAAGAAATCTGTTCTTGCTTTCTAACTCTTTCTCCTTTTATCTCATTTAATTTTGCCAGCATCTTGTTTATTTCTCCTCTTTAATTTCCTTGGATTATTCTGATGTTCTTTAACTTCTTAAATTAAAATCCTATCTTGTGATTTTGAGTTGTTTTTTGTTAGTTTTTGTTGGCTTTTTCCTTATTAGCATTTAAGGCCAAATCCCTCCCTAAATACCGCCTTAGCAACACCTCAAAGTATCTGACTGATAGTATTTTTATTATCTTTCTTTTTTTATTTTATTTTATTTTATTTTTAATTTTATTATTATTATACTTTAAGTTTTAGGGTACATGGGCACAATGTGCAGGTTTGTTACATATGTATACATGTGCCATGTTGGTGTGCTGCACCCATTAACTCGTCATTTAGCATTAGGTATATCTCCTAATGCTATCCCTCCCCCCTCCCCCCACCCCACAACAGGCCCCAAAGTGTGATGTTCCCCTTCCTGTGTCCATGTGTTCTCATTGTTCAATTCCGACCTATGAGTGAGAACATGCGGTGTTTGGTTCTTTGTCCTTGTGATAGTTTGCTGAGAATGATGGTTTCCAGTTTCATCCATGTCCCTACAAAGGACATGAACTCTTCATTTTTTATGGCTGCATAGTATTCCATGGTGTATATGTGCCACATTTTCTTAATCCAGTCTATCGTTGTTGGACATTTGGGTTGGTTCCAAGTCTTTGCTATTGTGAATAGTGCCGCAATAAACATACGTGTGCATGTGTCTTTATGGCAGCATGATTTATAATCCTTTGTGTATATACTCAATAATGGGATGGCTGGGTCAAATGGTATTTCTAGTTCTAGATCCCTGAGGAATCGCCACACTGACTTCCACAATGGTTGAACTAGTTTACAGTTCCAGCAACAGTGTAAAAGTGTTCCTATTTCTCCACATCCTCTCCAGCACCTGTTGTTTCCTGACTTTTTAATGATGGCCATTCTAACTGGTGTGAGATGGTATCTCATTGTGGTTTTGATTTGCATTTCTCTGATGACCAGTGATGATGAGTATTTTTTCATGTGTTTTTTGGCTGCATAAATGTCTTCTTTTGAGAAGTGTCTGTTCATATCCTTCGCCCACTTTTTGATGGGGTTGTTTGTTTTTTTCTTGTAAATTCGTTTTAATTCATTGTAGATTCTGGATATTAGCCCTTTGTCAGATGAGTAGATTGCAAAAATTTTCTCCCATTTTGTAGGTTGCCTGTTCACTCTGATGGTAGTTTCTTTTGCTGTGCAGAAGCTCTTTAGTTTAATGAGATCCCATTTGTCAATTTCGGCTTTTGTTGCCATTGCTTTTGGTGTTTTAGACGTGAAGTCCTTGCCCATGCCTATGTCCTGAATGGTATTGCCTAGGTTTTCTTCTAGGGTTTTTATGGTTTTAGGTCTAACATTTAAGTCTTTAATCCATCTTGACTTAATTTTTGTATCAGGTGTAAGGAAGGGATCCAGTTTCAGCTTTCTACATATGGCTAGCCAGTTTTCCCAGCACCATTTATTAAATAGGGAATCTTTTCCCCATTTTTTGTTTTTGTCAGGTTTGTCAAAGATCAGATGGTTGTAGATAGGCGGCATTATTTCTGAGGGCTCTGTTCTGTTCCATTGATCTATATCTCTGTTTTGGTACCAGTACCATGCTGTTTTGGTTACTGTAGCCTTGTAGTATAGTTTGAAGTCAGGTAGCGTGATGTCTCCAGCTATGTTCTTTTGGCTGAAGATTGACTTGGTGATGCGGGCTCTTTTTTGGTTCCATATGAACTTTAAAGTAGTTTTTTCCAATTCTGTGAAGAAAGTCATTGGTAGCTTGATGGGGATGGCATTGAATCTATAAATTACCTTGGGCAGTATGGCCATTTTCACGATACTGATTCTTCGTATCCATGAGCATGGAATGTTCTTCCATTTGTTTGTATCCTCTTTTATTTCATTGAGCACTGGTTTGTAGTTCTCCTTGAAGAGGTCCTTCACATTTCTAATTTCCATTATCCTTTCTTACTTGACCCATTAATTACACAGAAATGTGAGTTTTCATTTTAAACACTTGGCTATGTGTTACATTTTTGTTAACAGTTTATAGTTTAAAGATATAGTGGAGATGTAACATATTCTATGGACTACTGAGGCTATGAATTCATTAATACTTGCTCTGTTGTTTAATATGTAGTCAGTTTTTTAAATGCTCAAGGTTTGTATGACAGGAAGGAATGTTCTCTAATTTCTGACCGTAGTGATGTATTTTTTAAATCTTCCACAATCTTTTGGATTTTTGAGGACTTGGTCAAAAATTCCATTAATTAATGGGAAAAAACATTTTTAAAAAAACCACAATATTATGGTGAATTTTTCAGTTTTTCATTATAATTATATCAGCTTTTGGCTTCATGCATATGGAGGTTATATTATTAAACAAATACAGTATTAGAATTGTTATATCTTCCTGATGAACCTTTTATCCTTAGGCATGTTCCTCTTTATTTCTAGGACTACTATTTGTTTTCAGGTTTATTTTGTCTGATAACAATGTTGATATGTTTGACATTAATGTATCTATATAGATTTTATGAGATATATTTTATCTGACATTGATAAGTTATACAAACCTTTTTCTTTAATTTTTTTTTTTTTTTTTTTTTGAGATGGAGTCTCGCTCTGTCGCCCAGGCTGGAGTGCAGTGGCGGGATCTCGGCTCACTGCAAGCTCCGCCTCCCGGGTTCGTGCCATTCTCCTGCCTCAGCCTCCCAAGTAGCTGGGACTACAGGCGCCCGCCACTACGCCCGGCTAATTTTTTGATTTTTAGTAGAGACGGGATTTCACCGTTTTTAGCCGGGATGGTCTCGATCTCCTGACCTCGTGATCCGCCCGCCTCGGCCTCCCAAAGTGCTGGGATTACAGGCATGAGCCACCGCACCCGGCCTTTTCTTTAATATTATATCTAGCATATCCTTTTCCACCCATATATGCCTTGTAAAATAATATGTGTACCTGGGATTTTTTAAAAAATTTAGTCTGACAGTATTTTCCTCTTGGTTGAGAATTTAGTACATATTTTTAGATTGATTTCAACCACCTAATTTTGTCCTTTTATTTTCTCTTTTTCAGTTTCTTTACTTTGTTCGAGTTCCATTTTGTTTATTCTCACTAGTGACAGTTATATGCTATGTTGTTTGATTCATTCTTTAGAAATCGTGATAAGTATTTTTTAGCTTTATTGAGGTATAATTGATATACATAAAATTGTATACATTTAATTTACACATCTTGAGAGGTTGAACATATGCATGAACATATACCATCACCACAACCAAGGTACTAAACATACCCATTATGTTAAAAAAATGTCCTCATGTCCATTTGCATTGTGGTTTTTTAAAAACATTGAACACGTGATCCCTTCTTTTAACATATCTTCAAGTGCACAATACCATATTATTAATGATAGTTGAAAAACAATTCCATACACCCATACCAGCCACTGTAAACCACCATTCTCTTCTCTGCTTCTATGAATTTGACTGTTTTAGATAACCTGTATAAGTGGAATCAGCCGGTATTTGTCATTCAGTGACTGGCTTATTTAACTCAGCATAATATCCTCTAGGTTTATACATGTCACAAATGGCAGGATTTCCTTCCTTTTTAAGGCTGAATGCTATTCTATCATATATACCACATATTTAAAATCTATCATCAGATACTTAGGTTGTTTTTTTATCTTGGCTACTGTGGAAAACATTGCAATGAAGATGGGGGTCCAGATAATTCTTGAAGATGCTGATTTCAATTTTTTTTGCATATATACTCAAAAGAGGGATTGCTGGATCATATGGTTGTTCTATTTCTAATTTTTGAGAAACTTCTATGGTATTTTCCATAGTGGCTGCACCTTTCTACATTCCTACCAACCATATATAAGGGTTCCAGTTTCTCCACATCCTTTCCAATGCTTGGTATCTTTTGTTTTATTTTGTTTTGTTTATAATAACCATCCCAGTATAAGTGAAATGATATCTAATTGTCATTTTGATCTGCAAGTCCTCGATGATTAGTGTTGAACACCTTTTTATATACCAAATCTAGCCAGTAAAGACTGGAGGAGGGAACTGCTTCTTAAATTGCAAAGACAGCAACAGAAAACTTCAAGGAACATGACGAATTCAGGAAATATAAATGTGACCAAAGGAACACATTTATAACACAATTGAGAATACTGTACCCAGCAAATGTAGCCTTCAGAAATGAAGGAGAGATAGTCTTTCCCAAACAAAAGCTGAGGGAGTTCATCACCACCAGACCTGCCCTTCAATAAATACTCAAAGGGAGTTGTCAAGTTGAAATGAAAAACACTAAATAGCAATGTGAAAACTTATAAAAGCATAAAACTTACAGGCAAAGGCAAGTATACAGTCAAATTCAGGATACTCTAATACTGTAATGGTGTTTCATAAATCACATTTAACACTAGCATAAAAGTTAAAAGACAAATGTATTAAAATAACTAGTTGTGATGATTCATTAATGGATATGCATTACAAAAATATGTAAATAGTGATGTCAATAACGTAAAATGTTGGGAAGGAAGAGCTGCAGCTACATGGGAGTCTTAGGCTGGAGTATCATTTGAGCCTAGGATTTGGAGTCCAGCCTGGGTAAGATATCAAGACCACATCTCTAAAAAATGGAAAAAGAAAAAAAAAACTTCTACAAATATGTGTTTTGTGTAAAATCAAAGGCAAGTTTTATCAGCTTAAAATGGACTGTTATGCATGTAAGATGTTTTATGTAACCACAAAGCAAAAATCTATAATAAACACATGAAAGATAAAGAGAAAGGAATGAAACAATAACACTGCAAAAAAATCAGCCAGTCAAAAAGGAAGACAGCAAAAGAGTAGGAAAGAAACAAAAGAACCATAAAACAAAATTGAAAATTATTCAACATAATCAAGTGGAATTTATAACTGGAATGCAAGAATGGTTCAATATATACAAATCAATAAATGTAATATGCTATATTACAGAATGAGGGTAAAAGAGGAAACAATGAAATAAATGGCAATAGTTTATTAATAATTACTTTAAATGGATTAAATTCTCTAATTCAGAGTGGACTAACGGATAATAAAACCATATCCAACTATACTCTGCCTGCAAGAGACTCACTTTAGATTTAAGGGCACAAATAAGGTGAAAGTGAGGAGAGAGAAAAAGATATTCCATGCAAATAATAACTAAAAGAGATCAAGGTTGTCTACACTTATATCATATGAAATAGGCTTTAAGTCAAAAATTGTTACAAAAGGTAAAGAAAGACATATAATGACTACATCATTATATAATGACAAGGTCAGTTCTCCAAGGAGATAGACCAATTGTAAATATGTATGTACACAACATTGAACAGCAAAGTAATATAAAGCAAATATTAACAGAACTAAAGGAGGAGTAAACAGTAATACAATAGCACTAGGATTGGATTCCTAATTTTAAGTGTTCTTACCCCACAAAAAATGATAAGTATGCAAGATAGTATGTATGTTAATCAATTCAATTTAGCCATTCCACAGTGTGTACATATTTCAAAACCACATGTTGTACATGATAAATATTTACAATTTTTATTTATTTAAAAATAAATTAAAATTCAAAAAATGGATTACTGTCTTAAAGTATACACAAAAATCAACTCAAAATTGGTTAGAGATTTAAATATAATTCCTTCACATTACTTCACAGGGAAACTCATTTTGAGCTTATGGCTTCCTAGGGGCTAGATGATATGACCAAGGAGAGAAATGGTAATATGAAGAGATCAAGGATCAATTGTCTGTAACTTTTTCAATTCTTCTAAAAGTAATCCTCTATTTAGATTTGTTAATTCTTCAATCAATTTGAGTAATTTCTGCTTTTCTAGGGAATCATGCATGACATCTAGATTTTCCAGTCTATTGGCATAAAATTAAACAGAGTATTCTCAAGATTAATGTCTGTTTATGAGAAGGATGTGTTCATATCTTTTTATGATTATGGATTTATCTACTCCCCTTTCTATTATTTTGACATGTGTAGCATGTGTGTGCAAATTTATTTTTGAATCCTTCTTAATTGAGGATTTTTATCAATCTGATAAAATGTCCCTCTGTTCCCTTTAATACTTTCTACCTTGTATTTAATAATGTTTGATATTAATATTTTTAGATGGTCTTTCTTTATATAAGAATTTATTGGTATAACTTTCCCAATCATTTTATATGTCAGGTAGGTATTGTATTTCACTAGGTTAGTGTAGAGTTGATTACTGGGGTTAAACTAAGAAGAGGATTACTTTTCTCCTGTAGCAAGAAATCTGGACTTGGGCAGTGCCTCAGAGCTAATACAACCACTTGTAAAAGTCATCAAAGACCTAGGCTTCTGGCTTCTTAGTCTGCCATCTGCCACACTTCTATCTTTCTGCATAATTTCGTTTGTATGTACATCTCTTTTAAATAGCACTTTGAGGCCAGCCCAGTGGCTCATGCCTATATTCCCAGCATTTTGGGAAGCCAAGGCAGGAGGCTCGCTTGAGAACAGGAGTTTCAAACCAGCCTGGGCAACATGGCAAAACCTGTCTCTACAAAAAATACAAAAATTAGCTGGGTCTGGTGGTGTGCACCTGTGATCCCAGCTACTTGGGAGTCTGAGCTGGGAGAATTGCTCAAGCCCAGGAGTTTGAGGCACCTGTGAGACATGATTGTACCCCTGCACTCCAGCCTGGGTTACAGAGCAAGACCTTGTCAAAAATAAATAAATAAATAGCAGCTTGCATTTTTTTAGTTACTCTGATAGCCTATGTCTTTTAAAGGATTTTCATAATAATTAAAAATAAAGTTAAGTATTTTAAATGCTAAAGAATTTAATCCATTCACTTACTTTTATTGAAAATGCATGTGGTTTTATTCTTACCATTTAATTTTATAAATAAATTTCTATGTAGTATTAATCTATTTTCTTTCATTAGACTGAATATTCTAAGTTTATTCTGAGTGTGTGATTTTTAAAAAGTTATACATTCTATTCATATTCTGCTAGAGGTTATACTTACCCTTTTAAATAACATTGAAATATTTTTATCTTATATCTGGAGTTAATGAGTATTAATATTATTTTACAAAAAAAAAATTTTAATTTAACATAATTCCATTTACCCCCAACAAATCCCTACTTCTCATTTTGAAGTTGTCTAGAACTATTGTTTCTCATTGTAAAGTAATAGTTTTTAATCACAAATAAGTAGCATAGTTACATTTAATTGTAAATCATACTGCTTTTTTTCTTGACCTTTTAACTTATATCCAATGTTGTCTTATTTCTCTGATTTATTTTTTTAATGCAACTGGAATACATTTGTGAGTAAATAGTTCAGAAAGTACCTATGTGTGATAAGCTTTCTGAATCATTGCATATTTAATATTTATTTTGTTCTCTCATTTGAAGACTGATTGAGCTGTATATGTAAGTCTATATTTCCTTGGTGTAGGTTACTTGTAAGTATTCTGATTTTTATTTGACATGCAGACTCATTAAAAAGGTCTGAGCAGAGGAAAGACATGATCTGATTAAGAGTTACAAGGATCACCCTCATTGCTATGTTGAGAATATACTTTGGGGGCCCAGGGTAGGAGCAGGGAAACCAGTTGGAGGCTATTGCAGAAATCCTAGCAAGAGATGGTAATGGCTTAGACCAGGCCAATAACAGTAAAGGTGGTGAGAAGTCAGCAGATTTTGAATATATTATAAATACATGTCTTTTAAAATTATTTTTAAATAATTTACAAAATAATTTAGATTTCCTGACAGATTGGAAGAATATAAGAAAATAAGAAGCCGGGCATGGTGGCAGGCACCTGTAATCCCAGCTACTCGGGAGGCTGAATCAGGAGAATTGCTTGAACCCGGGAGGCGGAGGTTGCAGTGAACCAAGTGGTAGCGCCACTGCACTCTGGCCTGGGTGACAGAGCGAGACTCAGTCTCAAAAAAAAAAAAGAAAGAAAATAGAAAATAAGAGTAATCAAGGAGAACATCAGGGTATTTGACCTGTTTAACTGGAACTGTAGACTTGCCATCAACTAAAAATGCCAGAGAATTTGGATGCTGCAGGTTGGAGTAGATCCAGAGTTCATTTGGGGACATGTTGAGTTTGAGATATCCATTACCTTCTAAATGAAGATGTTGGGTACCCCCATAATTCATAGTTTACATTTATGGTTTATTTCTCCAAAAAGGATGAAGAATTAAAGAAAACTATTAAACAACCTGAGTATATAAGCCATCTAGCTTTATTTTTTCAAAACCTTAAGCTGCACTTTCACATAATTTGACAATAACCAATTTTTATTGTCAAATTTAAATCTTATAACTAATGTCCTCAGAAACAACTCTCTTTGGACGTTCATATAAGTGTATATAATATTTAATTTAAATAATTACACTAGTCAGTATAAGTGATGTGAATGAATTTGGGAACAAATATGACTGCTGGTAAGCAACAAATTGCCAATGAAAGCATAAATGCACAAGCAGTTAGAGAATAGTATTTAAGATGTTCATATTCATAAGGTCAGTGAGTTTCATAGCAAAGCTATAGTGGTTTAGTTAATCCAGTGAGTATTAATTGGTCTCAATTTTAAAAGTTCCTAATGTGCTATAAAATTGCCCAAAAAAGAGATTGCATTGTATTATTCTCCAACTAACAGTGGTGAAAGTGATCATCTCTTCAAACTGTCATTAACTCTTGGTATTATTAAACTTATTAATCCTTCACTTCAGTGGAAAGATCTTATTTCTTTTTTTATTTCTTAAACCCAAAGCCTAGTGAGTCAGATGAAAGATCTCATTTTTAAATTTACATGTCTTTAACTGTTGATGAAGGGCAGTTTTCATATGTTCACTGGATATTTGTATTTGACTATTTTGTACAAAATACATCTAGGATGTATTCAAACTCATTATATTTTTGACATGAGCAAAAAGTTTATTTGCACAGTCAATATCCTTAGTATTTATTGACTTTCATAGTAACTCAATTGACGTCTGCTATTGGTTTGTTTAGGAATTATTTGGAACTTGTTGCAAAATCTATTCAAGATTGGATTACAAAAGAAGAAGCTATATATCAGGAATCTAAAATGAATGAGAAAATCATCAGGACCAGAGCTGAGCTGGAATTGAAATCTTCTGCTAATGCCAAACTTACTTCTGCTAGCAAAATTTTTTCCATTAAAGAATCTAAAAGTAAGTAACCAGTTCAACTTATACGTAGAATAAAATTCAAGAACGTTCTTCTCTCTCTTAATTTAATCAAGACTGTGAATATTTTCAATATTAAAAAGAATTACCCAAAAAAGTTCCTGTGACTCTTCACTTTCTCTAGTAAATAGAGTAGCTGCATTCCAAATATGGGATTGTACCTGAGTGCAATAATAGAGTATTTTTTATATTGACCCCCCACTTCTTGTCAAATCTGGAAGATTCCATCTGTTGTGCAGATCAAATGTTACATGTTAGAGAAATGCCAAATGCCTTTATTGGTAGGATTGGTAAATTAAGCTATCTAAGATTTGTTGACAATATAAGAGGTAAATTCAGAGTTAGTAGATATCTATTTGAATAATTATAGATTCCAAAATTGAGACTAAAACAAGATATTTCTTAGAACAGCAAACAGAAGGGTCCCAAGACTAACTGGGTGTAGGAATCTAAAGATAATGGGGAAAGAGATTTTTGGAGGCCTCTGGCAGGGACTTGACAGGATATTGGATCAATATATATACCTTTGTTGTTGATGATGTTGTGGTGGTGGTGATGTTGTGTTATTGTGGCCTTGAGGCTGTGGGCAGAAGGGGAAGATGGTGACAAAGAGAGTAAAATAGACTTTTAGAAAGATACTTGATAAAGAAAAGAAGTGAAACGTTGAGATAATTCATCTAGAAAATAATCATGTTTCATTAAGTTTGTGCAAAGGAAATGGACTCCTTGTTAATAATATTCATTTATTATAGCCAAAGTGAGAGGGATTTCTCATAAAGAAGCAACGCTACATAATTTCCAAAATTTTGGCAACCTCTATCAATTACCAAAGGAGTTTGTACATGGCATGATTTTAAAGTAAACCATATAAAAGCAAGTTAATGATGAAACTTTTACCATATTGACCAAAATGGTTGTATAATCTATCAATTCTGGGTCCTGATGGGGACCCAGAAGGAGAGCATTAAGTACCCCCCAAAAAAAGAAAAGAAAAATAAATAGATAGGACTATATTTTTTAAAAAAATGGGTAGGGCTGCCCTCTAACACTCATGTCTAGGGCCACACCTCCCTATTAGTAAGAAAAAAATGTGAGTTTACTGCCTTTTCTTTATAATTCTACTGAAAAGACCAAAAACCTGTGAAAATCTAGATAATGGTTAATTTGGGATTGGATGCACCTGATAGATATTGCATTCAATTTCAGGTCTCTCAAGTACGGAAAAGTATAAGTCTTCAAAACAGAATGACTACAATGGCAAAAGAAGGGCTTCAATATGGATGGAAATGTTAGATTTGTTCTGTGTAGTCTTAAAGTGGTAAACTAGGATTATTAGGTGAAAGCTTTAGAGAGAGAGAGAGAGACTACAGTTCAATAAAAGCTGCAACATATCAACACACTGAGAATGGAATGCACTGTCCCCAGAAACTTGAGTTCCCCATCACTGATGTGGCTCAGTCCCATTTCAGATGTTCATTCTAGAGATGGCAAGAAAAAAACCAGAGATAAATAAATGAGAAGTTGAACTTGAAAGCCTTTGAGATCTCATCTAACCCAGAGATTTGGGCCTTCTATGATATCTTATTTAAGAGTTACTAAGAAGTTTAATTTTATCTGATTATAGGTAACAAAGGAATCAGCAAAACAGAGATATCAGATCAAGAAAAAGAAAAAGAGAAGGAAAAGATTCCTTTCATTTTAGAAGGCTCTCTCAAGGTAATCCAGCTTACATAAAGTTTAAAAAACAGGCAAAACTAAAGTATTACACAACAGGATAGTGGTTGACTTTGGGGCAGTGGGAGTGGATAGTGATTGGGAAGAAGCATGAAGATGGCTTCCTGGAAGCTGGAGACCATCTCTTTTTGACCTGCTGATATTTACAGGAGTGTTTGATTTGTGCTATTTGTGCGTTTTTGTGTATATGTTATAGCTTATTTTTAAAAGGTTTTTAAAAACGCTGTCATTTTTTTCCCATTATGGTTTCAGGGCTTTTATGTTATTGATTCTACCGGGTTGATTCCACTTTGAGATATACATATATATTTTTATGCATTCTCTTAGAATATTTTTATAGATTTATTTTTTATATTCAGATATCTATCTGAAATGTATTTTTATATAGTATAATGTAAATGTATTACTTTTTCTTTGTCCAGATAGGCTATTTTACTAGTACTTTTAAATTAAATATAACATTAATTCTCCCCACTGAATTTGGGTGTTGATTAGATCACATATTAGGCACCCATTTATTCCTTGAATTCAATTTTGAATGTTGTGTTCTGTTTCAGTCACCTACTTAATTATTCCTATGCATGTACCATGATATTTTAATTATGATAGCTTTGTTGTAAGCTTTAATATTAGGTAAGCAAGAGCCAACTTCCCAACCCCCATGAGCATGCAATAAACATTTAAACAAAGTTGATTAATTTTGGTAAGCCTCCGGTTTCTGGATATTAATAGTAAAGAAAATTACATGCCATACCATCAACTTTATTGTTAATTGCTGCCAAACTTTATTAATTTTTAAACTATTTGTTTTGAGACTAACATTTGTTAGTTTTCCTCTTCTGTTGATATATTGAATTATAGAGATTGATTTAACAACACAAGTTGCATTTGCATTTCTATAAAAAACTCATCCATTGTTTCCTTAAGTTCAGTTCTCATCCTACATAACTACATATATCATAATCTCCTAAGGGTGTCTGGTGGGAGGAGGGTCTTAGTAAAATTCACATTCCTTTACTCCATCCTAACTGCATCTTTGAGAGTAGAACCTAGTAATTTTAATTTTAATAATCTCCTGGGAACATCTTTATGTACATAATAGATAAAAATTACAGTACTATATGTTCATGGCATATTATTATTTCCATAAAAAACTGGGTTTGATTTGATAGCATTTTATTTGGAATTTTTATATCCATGGTGAATGAAATTGGTCTACAGACTTTTGTATTGTCATTAACAAGCATTGTTATTAAGGTTATGTTGGCTTTTAAAAACATATTTTTATTACTTATTTTTTAACTGAGAAAAAATGGTATCTATTTCTGGTGTACAACATAATGTTTTGAATTATGTACATATTATAAAATGGCTAAATCAAACTGATTAACATATGCATTACCTCACGTAGTTATTATTTTTATGTGGTAAGAATACTTAAAATCTAATTTCTTAGCAATTTTCAAGTATACATTTCACTGTTATTAACTATAGTCATCATGTTGTACAATAGATCTCTTGAATTTTTTCCTCCTGTCTAATTGAAATTTCACATCCCTTGACCAACATCTTCCCGATCCCCTTTCCTGCAGCCCCTGGTAACCACCATTCTACTCTCTGTTTTTGTGAGTTCAACTCTTTTAGATTCCACATATAAGTGCAATCATGTGCTATTTGTGTTTCTGTCCCTGGCTTATTTCACTTAATGTCATGTCCCCCAGGCTTATCCATGTTGCTGCAAATAACAGATTTTTCTTCTTTCTAAAGGCTGAATAGTATTCCATTGTGTGTGTATGTTTATTATATATATAATAGTTTATATATTATAATAGTATATATTATATAGTTTATATATAATAGTATTATGTTATATTGTATTATACTATATATAATATATAAACCATATTATATATTGTAATTATACTATATATTATAACTATATATACTATTATATAATACTATTATATATTATGTATTTTGTGTATATATACATACATAATACATAATGTAGTATGTACATAATGTAATATATGTATACATAGTATTATATATATTATAATAGTTTATGTATTATAATAGTTTATATATTATATTATAATAGTTTATATATTATAATAGTACATATTATATATTATATATAGTTTATATATTATAATAGTTCATATATTATAATAGTATATATTATATAGTTTATATATTATAATAGTATTATGTTATATTATATTATACTATATATAATATATAAACCATATCATATATTGTAATTATACTATATATTATAACTATACATACTATTATATAATACTATTATATATTATGTATTTTGTGTATATACACATACATAATACATAATGCAGTATGTACATAATGTAATATATGTATACATAGTATTACAGAATATATACATAAAATAGTATTCCACTGTGTGTGTGTGTGTGTATCTCAAATTTTCTTTATTCATTTATCTGTTGATGGATGTAAGCGTCCTAGATATGGTTGATTCCATATCTAGGCTATTGTAAATAATGCTGCAATAAACATGGGCATGCAGATACCTTCTCAGGATACTGATTTCAAATCCTTTAGATATATACCCAGTAGTGGGATTGCTGGATCATATGGTATTTCTAATTCTAATTTTTGAGAAGCCGCCATACTGCTTTCAATAGTGGCTGTAGTAATTTATATTCCCATCATCAGTGTACCATGGTTCTCTTTTCTCCACATCCTCCCCAACATTTATTATCTTGTCTTTTTTCTCATAGCCATTCTATCAGGTGTGAAATGGTATCTCATGATGAGTTTAATTTGCATTTCCCTGCTGATTAGTTATGCCAGGCATTTTTTTTCATGAACCTGTGGGACATTTGTAAGCCTTCTTTTGAGAAATGTCTGCTCGGGTCCTTTGCTCATTTTTTAATTGGGTTATTTGTTTCCTTGCTACTGAGTTGAGTTCCTTAGGTATATTTTTAGATATTAACTCCTTATCAGTTGCAGGTTTTCAAATATTATGTCCTATTCCATAGGTTATTTCTTCGCTTTGTTGATTGTTTTCTTTGTTGTGCAGAAGGTTTTAGTCTAACGTGATGCCATTTGTCTATTTTTGTTTTTGTTGCCTGTGCTTTTGAGGTTATATTCAAAACATCACTGCCCAGAACAATGTGACAGAGATTTCTCTTGTGTTTTCTTCTAGTAAGTAGTTTCATAATTTCAGGACGTACATTTAAGTCTTTAATCCATTTTGTGTTGTTTTTGTGCATGCACATTAGAGTCTAATTTCATTCTTTTGCATGTGGATATCCAGTTTTCCCAGCACCATTTATTGAAAAACTTGGTCTTCCTCAATTTTGTGTTCTTGGCATCTATGCTGAATATGAATTGACTGTACATGTGTGGATTTATTTATGGGCCCTCTATTGTATTCCATTGATCTCTGTGTTTATGCCAGTACCATGGTGTCTTGATTAGCATAGCTTTATAGCTAACCATTTTGAAATCAGGTAGTGTGATACTGTTACCAGTGGTGAATCCATATGGGTCTGCAGCAACCTCAATTCTTGCCTCCTCAGAAGAAAGAATTCAACTGAGGGGCATAAGGCAGAAGGAGAGTCTGAGGTAAGTTTTAGAGCAGAAGTGGAAGTTTATTAAAAAGCTTTAGAGCAAGAATGAAAGGAAATAAAGTACAATTGGAAGAAGGCCAAGCAGGTGACTTGAGAGATCAAGTGCACAGTTTGACCTTTTGACTTGGTGTTTTAAATGTTGGCATACTTCCAGGGTCTTGCATCACTTCTCCCATGATTCTTCCCTTGGGGTGGGGCTGTCCACATGTGCGGTGGCCTGCTAGCACTTGGGAGGGGAGCATGCACAGTATGGTTTCTAGAGTTGTACACATGCTTACTTGAGGCGTTCTTCCCTTACCAGTCTAGCATTCCTAGAGAAAGGTCATATACCAGTTAAACTCCACTATTTTGCCTCTTAATGCACATATTTGAGCCCACTCACCCAACTCCTGAGGTCTCGCTGGGAAGCTGCTGATCACCAGTTTCAGGTGTTTTCCATCTATTGGGAGATGCCTCCTTCCCTGGCACCAGCTGTGACCACCTATTATTTTAGAGAGACAGTTAACAACTGCCTGGCCATCACCTGATGGTCATCTGGCATTCCTGCTGTGTGTGATGGGGGGCAGCCCACATCTGCCCTGCTCATGCCTGACTAGCTACCTACTGTAACAATATCTCTAGTTTTTTTTATTTTTCCTCAAGATTGTGTTGGCAATTAGGAGTCTTTGGTGATTCCCTACAAATTTTAGGATACTTTTCTATTTATGTGAAAAGATGACATTGGAATTTTGATAGGGATTGTATTGAATCTGTAGATCACTTTGGGTAGCACGGACATTTTTATTGTGTTGAGATACATTTCCTCTTTATCTACTTTGTTGAGAGTTTTTATTATGAAAGGATATTTGAGTTTGTCGTATGTTTTTTCCACATCTATTGTGATGACCATGTGATTTTTATCTTTCATTCTGTAATATGGCATGTCACATTTATTGACTTGAATAGGTTGAATCATCTTTGCATCCCAGGAATAAATCACACTTAATCATGAGGAATGAGCCTTTCAAATGTGCTGTTGAATTCAGTTTACTAGAATTTTTTGGAGGAGTTTTGCATCTAACATCACCAGGGACAACGGCCTGTCATTTTATTTTCTTGTAATGTCCTTGTCTAGCTTTGGTATCAGGGTAATGTTGGCCTCATAAAATGGGTTTGGAAGTATTCTCTTCCCTTCAATTTTTTTCATAGGGTGAGAAGAATTTGTATTAGTTCTTTAAATGTTTGAGAGAATTCATTAGTAAAGCCGTCAGGTCCTAGGCTTTTCATGATGGGAGACATTTTATAACTGATTCAGTCTCTCAGTTGTTATTTGTATGTTCAGTTTTGTATTTCTTCATGACTCAGTCTTGGTAAGTTGTATGCTTCTAGGAATTTATCCATTCCTTCTAGGTTATCAATTTGTTGATGTGTAATTATTCATAGTACTCTCTGTGATCCTTTGTATTTTATTTTTTATTTTTATTTTTTTTAGATGGAGTCTCGCTCTGTCGCCCAGGCTGGAGTGCAGTGGTGCAATCCCGGCTCACTGCAACCTCTGCCTCCTGGGTTTAAGCAATTCTTGTGCCTCAGCCTCCCGAGTAGCTGGAACTACAGGCATACACCACCATGCCTGGCAAATTTTTGTATTTTTAATAGAGAGAGGGTTTCACCATATTGGCTAGGCTGGTCTCGAACTCCTGACCTTGTGATCTGCCCACCTTGGCCTCCCAAAGTGCTGGGATTATAGGCGTGAGCCACTGCGCCCGGCTGATCCTTTGTATTTCTTTGGTACCATTTGTAATGTCTCCTCCTTTATTTCCAATTTTATTTGTTTGAGTCATCTCTCTTTTTTTTAGTTTAGCTAAAAGTTTGTTCATCATGTTTATCTTTTTGAGAAACAAACTTAGTTTCATTAATTTTTTAACAAAAAGTTGAATTATTTTATTTATCTTTTCTGGATCTGAAGGCTTCAGCCTGAAGCCTGGGTCTGCTGAGGTGGGCCTGGAGCTTAGGTCTGCTCTGACAAGCCTGGATCCTGAATCCGCAGCAGCCAGCCTGTCACCAGAGTCCACTGGGGTAAATCTGTTGACTGGGTTCATGGAGGTGGGCCTGGAGTCTGGGTCCTTGAGTGCTGACCTGACACTGAAGCAGACCTTGAGCCTGAGTCTGCAGGAACTGGTCAGAGACTTAGATGGGCCTACAAATAGGTCCACAAGGATGGGCATGGAGCCTGAGTCCATGGAGGCAAGCCTGGGTCCACTGGAGCCTGGGGCTTTCGGCACCAGCCTGGAGCATGGGGCTGACTTGGTGCTGAGCCATGAGGACAGGCCTGGGTCCTAGAACCATGTAGCCAGCCTGCACCTGACTCTGCAGAGGTGGCCCTAGAGCCAAGGTTCACAGGAACCAGCCCAGTGCTCAGGTCTATTGGGATGGGCCTGGAACCTCAGTCTGCTAGAGCAGGCCTGGACCTTTTGTCTGCTGGAACATGAGGCCTCGGGCTGGTCTGAAACCTGGTGCCACAGGGGTTGGCCTGGCACTGTGGAGTCTGTGTCCACAGGGGCCAGCCTGGAGGCTGGGTCTATGGATATTGACAGGTGCCGGGGGTTCCTGGAGGATAGGTTTTGCACTTGCCAGCCTGGAGTCTGGGGCTGCAGAGGTTTGCCTGGTATTAAGGCAGACTGGGTTCTGAGTCAGCAGTGGCCAGTCTGGAGCTGGAGAGCATGGGTGCTGGCCTGACAATGAGGAGGGCCTGGAAGCCGGATCTGCATGAGCCAGACTGAAGTCTGGGATCTGAGGACTGTCCTAGCACCAGGAAGGACCTAGAGGTTGAGTCTGCTGGGGCAGGCCTGAAGCCTGGGGCCATGGGGAGCCAGCTTGATGCTAGAGGCAGCCTGGAGTACGCGACCACTGAGGTGGGCCTGGCAGTGAGGTGGGCCTAGAGCCTGAGTCTGCAGGGGCTGGCCTGGCATTGGGGCAGGCATGGAGGGGTGATCTGCAGATACCAGCCTGGTCTTCTTAATTCCAAGCTACATTAAGATGCTATACTCTCTCACCTGGTTTTCCTGGCTCTTGTGAAGGTGTTTTCATGTGTGGGTAGTTGTTAAAATCTGTGTTTCTGTGAGGGATGAGTTCTGGAAAGTCCTATTCCACCATCTTGCTGATGTCACTCTGTGTTGACTTTAAAAAGAATTGAGGAAGTGCAGGTGTAGACAAGATCAGCATTGAAAAAAATCACTGGCATTCCTATTCACCAGCAATAACCAATTAGAAAATGTAACAAATAATAAATTTTATTCACAAGAGCAACAAAAACTATATTTTTAGTGTGTTTCTTGTAAACAAGGACTATAAACTAGATTTTTAAAAATCTTGTCTGATGAACACACGTTTAGCAGGAGAGTAGATTCCATTTATATCTATTCTGATTAATGACATGTTTGGGATTTCTTCAACTAACCTATTTTATATATTCTCTATGATCCTTTCTTTTCCTCCTTTCTTGCTTTCTTTGTATTAAGTTTATTTTCCTCTTTACATTTTGCATCAGTTTGATAATAGGAAACATTAATATTCACTCTAAATAAGTGAAATGTTATTCCCCCCACACACAAAAAAAGAATTCTATTTTTCTTGTTACTAAAAATTGTACTCAATTATTTGTCATAAAATAATTGTATAAATTTCTTTTCTCTCTCATTGCATAAGTACCTACATGGATGTCCTTGATTTTGCCTCTTGGCCCTAAAATATTGACTCTCTGGCCCTTTATAGGAAAAGTTTAATATGTAGGCACCTTTTTTTTCCTCCTAGTGGTTGCTCTAGAAATTTAACTTGTTATATCATTTCAATTTAACTTAATTTCAGTATAATTTAATAAAATCTAAACTTAATGAAATATTTTTTTCTTTCAGAACAATACCAGGAACTATTAAAATGATTTAAACTGAGGCTTAAGTTTTATCTTGATTTTTTTGTGTTGCTACAAATTAAACATTATCATTGTAATTGTTTCATTTATTTATTTATTTATATTTTATTTTTTGTTTTGGGAAAAGGGTCTCACTCTGTCCCCCAGGCTGGAGTGCAGTGGCGTGATTATAACTCACTGCAGCCTCAAATTCCTGGGCTCAAATGATCCTCCTGCCTCAGCCTGCCAAGTAGCTAGGACTATAGCAGTGTGCCACCATGCCCAGCTAAGTTTTTAACTTTTTGTAGAGATGGAGTCTCACTATGTTGCCCAGGCTGGTCTTGAACCCCTGGCCTCAAGCAAACCTCCTCCAGGGCCTCTCAAAGTGCTGGAATTACAGGCGTGAACCACCGTGCCTGGCCTCATTGTAATTGTTTTATATAGTCCATGTTGTTTTAACTTTGTCTCCGTGCTTACCATTTGTTTTCTTGGGCATTTCTTCTTTATGTTCTGGGAGTATTTGCTCTAGAAGTTCTTTTACTGGGGTTTGTTGCTTTGAACTGTTTTACTCACAATACTTCTGAAGTAAATTTGTGGGTGTTTTTTTCCCCACACCGACTGAATCTGCAACTTTCCGAACACCAACTGGGTGTCCTACAATTAAATTCCATTCTGATACTAACTACCCAGAGTTAGCACAGACCTCGTAGATTAACTCACTCCCACAAGACTGCTTCCTTTTCAGATGCCAATCACAAGTATTGGGTGCCTAGAGTATGCACACTTCTGTCTGACTTGACTACTCATTTGGAGGTTTCCACAATCACCTCCTTGGGTTCGATAACTAGCTAGAAAGCTTATGTCTCATAAGACTCAGGAAAACACTGTGCTTACTATTCTGGTTTATTATAAAAAGATATTATAAGGATACAAATGAACAGCCAGATAAAGTGGTAAATGCAGCAAGGTCCAGAAGAGTCCCAAGCACAAGAGCTTCTGTCCCCATGGAAGTGGAGTGTGTCATTCTCCCAGAGCATGGATGCATTCACCAACTTAGTTCAGAAGCTCTCCAAACCCTGTTGTTTAGAGGTTTTTACGGAGGTTTCGTTATGTGGGCGTGATAGATTATTAACTCAATCTCTGGCTCCTCCTCCCTCCTGAGGGGTTTGGGGATGAGGCTGAAAGTCCCAAACTTCTAATTAAGGTTTGGTCTTTCTGGACAGCCTACATCCTATCCTGAAGAACATGACAAGAGTTGCCTCATTAGAGCAAAAGATGCTCCTATCACTTATGAAATTCCAAGGGACTTAGGGGCTCTGTGCCAGTAGCCAGGAATGATGACCAAATATCTGTTTCTTATTATACCCCAATATCACAGTTGCTATTAAACTCAGTTTTTGCTTATCTGAAAAATGACTTTATTTTGCCCTTACTCATTAAACATAGTTTTCATTTATAAAATCCTTGGTTGGCTTTTTAATTTCCTCTTATCACTCTTGTGTTAGTCTGTTCTCACATTTTTATAAAGAACTACCTAAGACTTGGTAATTTATTAAGAAAAGAGATATAATTGGCTCACAGTTCTTCAGGCTGTACAGGAAACGTGGCTGGAGAGGCCTCAGGAAACTTATAATCCTGGCTGAAGGGGAAGGGGAGGCAGGCACATCCTCCATGACTAGAGCGGGAGGAAGAGAATGAAGGGGGAGGTGCTGCACACTTTTAAACAACCAGATCTCCTGAGAACTCACTCAGTATCATAAGAACAGCAAGGGGAAAATCTGCCCCCATGATCCAATCACCTCCCACCAGACTCCTCCTCCAACATTGGAGATTACAGTTCCACATGAGATTTGAGCAGGAACACAAATCCAAGCCGTATCAACTCTGAAGATATTTTTCCACATTTTCCTTGCTGACACATTGTGGCTGTTAACAAGTTGATTGTCCATCTAATTTGTCATTCTTTTATGGACAGTTTATCTTTTTTTTTTTGGAGATGGAGTCTTGCTCTGTTGCCCAGGCTGGAGTGCAGTGGTGCGATCTCGGCTCACTGCAACCTCTGTCTCCCAGGTTCAAGTGATTCTCCTGCCTCAGCCTCCCGAGTAGCTGGGATTACAGGCGCCCACCACCACACCCAGCTAATTTTTGTATTTTTAGTAGAGATGGGGTTTCACCATGTTGGCCAGGCTGGTCTCGAACTCCTGACCTTGTGATCCACCCGCCTTGGCCTCCCAAAGTGGACAGTTCATCTTTTCTCTCTAGCTGCTCTGAAAACATTCAGCGGTGTGCTGGTAAATGCTTAAGCAGTAGCTCTCTAGGAAAACAAAAGTATACATATATGTACATAAGTTATAAATGTTTCTGACACACAGTATATATAGTACAAAATTTACATATAATAATAAAGCATATAATATTATTTATGTAAATTCCATATAGCTACCCATAAATTCCAGATAGCATTTTGATTTCTACAAACTGATTTTTGCTAAATTGTTGTATCCTTAGCCAACCTATGATTACAATTGATAAATACATGTAGTTCTAATATGAATGTTGATATTTTTATTTATGTTAACAAGTAAGACAAAAGTGAAACAAAGAAAGGATATGTCTCACTCATTTGTCAATAACATTAGCAACTTTTTTGCTGAGTCAAGTAATAGTTTTTTAATACTGGACGAATATTTCCTCAACTTTCTGTGCTAGTAACAATATAACAGCTAGTCTGCATTATTAACATGATCTCCATCACTTCCTTAAATCTAGATAATAAACAATCAATCAGTCCTGACTTGTAGCATTTGCTGATATTTCTAGTATAAGTACCCCTACAATAGCTGATTTGAAGCTACCATGTGACAACACTGAAGTTGGCAGTGCTATGCAGTAGCACACCATTATATAATGTTGTCACGATACCATTACAATTGACATAAATAAACTCCAGAGCATAGACAATAGTGAAATGTCACAAAATACTTACGTTGTGGTAAGTTTTGAGTCTTTATTGCCTTTGTTTTTAATATTTTGCTTAATTGCAAATTTATATAATTTTTAGATGATGGTCATGTTTAACAGTTGGCTCACAAAATTTCTAAAAATTTAACAATAATCTCTTTTAAGTTAATGTGAGCTAGGTCCGATACACCAATGTTATTTCCTGTTTTTGATTTATTGGTCTTCCTTAATGTTAGGATGAACGTCTTTCTTCAACTCTCGAAATGTCTCAGGCATTATCTGTTCAAATACTGCCTTTTCAAAAATTCAATTCCATTTTCAGGAAGTCTTTCAAACTCACTTTGCCATTTTTGATAATCCTCTCTTTGTTACTTATGCTTTTAATACTTCTTTTTATTTATTTGAGCATGTTTTAAAACTTACCTTATATTCTCTATTTGGCAATTACAATATCTGTAGTCTTTGTAGATATGATTTCACAGTTTGTTTCTTACTCAAAGTGGTTTATTTCTGCATGTTTTGTGATTTTCATTTGTGAGCTTATATCAAATCATAATGTTAACGGTGGAAGGGTCCAGGTTCTTGGCGTCTTAACAAAGAACTGAACAAAATGCATAAACAAAGCAAGGAAGGAATGAAGGGATTTATTGAAAATGAAAGTACACACCACAGTGTGGGAGTAGTTCCAGGCATAGGAGCTCAAAGGCCCCACTACAGAATTTTTGAGAATTTAAGTACCCACTAGAGGATTCCATTGGTTACTTGGGGTATGCT
The DNA here is from genome assembly GCF_000001405.40 of Homo sapiens. NCBI lineage: Eukaryota > Metazoa > Chordata > Mammalia > Primates > Hominidae > Homo > Homo sapiens. The sequence goes on along the minus strand of NC_000001.11, from coordinate 118,042,742 downwards.
CTATGTAAATGGAGAGAATGAAGTAAAGTTATAAAGTCGTTCACTTGGCCTACACCCTAGGAGAGGATATTTCCTGTCATAACTGAAGTGTGAATCAGCCTTATGTTCCCTGCCTCTAGACCCTATTTTCCTGCCTCGATGACTGTTTTAAAATAAAATGTTAAGGTAATCTGTATTTTGGCCACAAGTCTATGTGAGGACAGGCTTGTGGTTAGGAGTGCTTAGGGGAGACTTACCCTCCATCATTTTACCTATGTTATCCATCATTTTTGAATTATTTTATCCCAGGAATGTTTCTCTGAACATCTAGTCTTCCACACTGCTAATAAACTATCTTTAGGACCTAAATTAAAGATCGGACTCATGTGGAGGATAGGAGACTGGGAGACCAGTTAAGAGGCTGCTGCAATGGTCCAGGCTAAAGATAATGAAGACCTGAACGAAGGAAATTGCAAAATAAACCCTGAGAGAAGAAGCTGAAGTGAGGAGAGATCTCAAAGGGGGAATTGACAGGATTTAGCAGACAGAAGTTGAGTGAGAAAGAGAATTAAGGATGACGTCAAGGCTTCTAGTTCAGTATTTTGATTTGTCAGAGATACACTAACAAAAATCATGTTAAATATTCTTCAAAATGAACCTGAATGGAACCTATGTTTAATTCGTTTAAAAATCCTGTTAAATTTCTTAAATGTGTTTACAGGCATGGAAAGAAGAGCAACATCGATTAGCAGAAGAGGAGCGCTTAAGGGAAGAAAAGAAAGCAGAGAAGAAGGGTAAAGAAGCTGGTAAAAAGAAAGGCAAGGATAACGCAGAGAAAGAGGATAGTAGGTCTTTGAAGAAAAAATCACCTTACAAGGAGAAATCTAAAGAAGAACAAGTCAAGATCCAAGAAGTAACAGAAGAGTCCCCCCACCAACCAGAACCTAAGATAACTTACCCGGTAAACTCCAATTCTGTAAAACTTAGTCTCTTTGGGCTATTCCTAATTGTTTTGGGAAAATACGGTTATTATAAGATTCTTTTGTTTTCACTACCCCACAGTAGGCCTAGGGTTTCTTCTGGTATTAATGAGCTCAAACCTGTATTCCACCCCTGATACCTAGAACCTTGTTTCTAACCAATCATCAAGATGAAAACACCCTCAGGTCAGTTTTTATTTGAGTGCCACGAACCTAGCTAAGGTCAATAAACACAGAAATTTGACACAAAAGCATTCTTATAGATATATGTAAATAAGTGAACACAAAAGTTGGCTTTATCTGTCTCAGATGATGAGACTTGCTGACTACATTTTGTTGTCTCTGTGGGCAATCATGTTTCTGGCTTGTATGCTTTTGTAAAACCTTCCCTTTGCCAGTTCTCTCTCAGCTAGCTGTTATGAGGGAAACCTGATGGGAAAAAAAAATGGAAAGAAATCTAACATCCCCTGTGCTTTGTAGCTACTCCTCTAAAACAGTTGTTCTCAAGTTTTAGCATGCATTAAATCCCCTGGACCTCTGTTAGCAACACTCAGTAAAAAATGTCTTCTACATATGACCTCCTAAAGTGGAGTGTCCACTCTCCACAGCATCAGTTCACTTTAAACAGAAAATTAACAACCAGTGAATGGGAACTTGATTTCTTCTTGAACTGCCTTGACAACAGTATGATGATTCAGTTTTCACTAGGTTATGAGAATGTGCCAATGAACAGAGTTTAACATAATAGATCTTAATTCTGCCTGTTATAACACCATAGATGTTTCTAAAAATAATATGAACACTGGCCTCTGAGTCTGCAAAGTGACAGACATATCACTTAGCAGAAATTAAGCTTCTGGCAACTTTAGTTGGCTAACACTGATAAGTTGATTTTTTGTCTATTGCAGCTTCACACTCAAAGCATAATATTTTCTCTTCTAGTTTCACGGATACAATATGGGAAATATACCCACTCAAATCTCAGGGTCAAATTACTACCTGTATCCTTCTGATGGGGGGCAGATTGAAGTGGAAAAGACAATGTTTGAAAAAGGTACATTTTGAAAGCAACTGGTTAATGATTGGAAACATAATAATGCATTTCAGATAACCAGGGGCCCTCTACTCCTGAGTTTGATAGGCGAGAGTGTTATTCTGTCCCCCACAATACATTTAGGTGCCACAGTCAGCATTTTCAGACTTCACACTTTCTTCTATTATAATTGACTCTACAAGGCATAGGCCAGTCAAGGGTTTAGCTGGTACATGCTAATATGACCATTCCAGTTGTTAAAATATTAAAATACTTCCATACAATTGGTAAATAGTAATAGTAACTGCAATAAGCAATTAATTAATAATATTCATTACAGCACACCTTGTTATCCCAGAAGCCAAGTGCATTCTGTGAGTTTACAGCATTTTTCTGGTGTAGCTCTGGAGCACAGAGTTTGGGACCTGCTTCCAATATCCACCTATTGTAGCTCTTACTAAGATTTGCATATGCATACAATGCGTATAAGTTTCAGGTGATTCGTAGTAAATTCAATATTTTCTCCTAGTTCTGTCAATTTTGAGGGATGATAGCTCAATCCAAATTGAAAGGAAATAGCCAATTTTTTTAAAACAAAAAGAAGGGAAATGAGTCCAAACACTAAAAAAGAGAATGCGTTGTTGGAAAAATTTTTATTAACGACCACAATAATAATAGCTACTATAACATAATTTTTATAAGTTGCAAAACCATTTAACATTAATTATATCATTTGATGAATCATAACATTGATTATAGGCATACATTGCCTCAGCCAGTTCATTTTCTCTTCTGAAATTGAGTTTGAAATGTGACTAGAAGGCCTGCAAATACCTCCTTGGTCTACCTGCCATTCATGCCTGGAATTCCACCATTACTTTATTTCCTTAGGCATTCTTTTATAGAGGTGACATCTCTAAGCATTTCCTCTCCCTGGTTTTATATTCTATGCTGCCTTTTTATTTTCGTTTCAGGGATATCTATTCAGGTTGGTTCTATAGGTAAATTGTGTATCGCAGGGCTTTGGTATGCATATTATTTTATCACCTAGGTAATAAACAGAGTACTCGGCAGGTAGTTTTTGGTCCTCACCCTCCTCCCACCCTCAAGTAGCCCTGGTGTCTATTGTTCTCTTCTTTGTGTTCATGTGTGCTCAATGTTTAGCTGCCATTCCTAAGTGAGAACATGCAGTGTTTGGTTTTCTGTTCGTGTGTTTGTTTCTGTGCAGCATTGTGTAACCATCTTGTCGAGGAGCTTAATGTGGCATCCTAATCAGCCCATCTTCTATTCTATGGTTCCTCCTCAGGCCCAACTTTTATCAAAGTGAGAGTGGTAAAGGACAACCACAATTTTATGATTCATTTAAATGACCCTAAGGAAATTGTGAAAAAGGAAGAGAAAGGGGATTATTATTTAGAAGAGGAAGAAGAAGGAGATGAGGAACAAAGTCTTGAAACGGGTAAGCTGCTGTTTAGTGGTTTCTTTCTTCTGACTAATACTCCTGTCTCTGTCCACTCCACTCCATTAAATGAATGGCTTATTGCATGTTCTTTTTCTCAAGTTTCTACCAGTACACTCTCTTATTAATAGTGCATGAAGTTGCCTATTTTCCTGAACTGAACCCTAATGGATATTAAGCGTTATCTTTTTTCTTTACCAGACTTTATTTTTTATAGCAGTTTTAGGTTCATGATGAAATTGAACAGAAGTTACAGAGATTTCTCAATGCCCTCTTCCCGTACACATGTCCAGCCTCTTCCACTATTAACATGCCTCACCCAGAGCGGTACATTTGTTACAGTTGATGAACCTACATTAACATATCATTATCACCCAGAGTCTAAAGTTTACATTACCCTTGGTGTTGTGCATTCTAAGGGTTTGAACAAATGTATAATGGCATGTGTCTACCATTATACTATCATACAGAGTAGTTTCACTGCCCTGAAAATCTGTGCTCTGTCTATTCATCTCTCCCTCCTTCCTAATCCCTGGTAATCACTGATCTTTTTACTGTGTCCATACTTTTGCTTTCTCCATAATAGCATGTAGTTGGAATTATACACT